>NC_000001.11:176517920-176820950 GCF_000001405.40 Homo sapiens | reverse complement strand
TTGGAGCCTTTGTTTCTGTAGCTAAGCTTGGAGAGGTGGGAAGATGCTTCCCATGCATGAAGTATCGTACATTCCTGGGTTAGAACATATTTCCTTTGGGGGTTGTTGTGGTTTCTTTCTTTTTCTCTTTTCTTTTCTTTTACTTTTTTTTCCCCAGCTTTGGAAGCCTCTAATGTTTGCAATAACAATAACAACAACAAAAATATGAGGCTGGCCAAGTATGAATCAGGAGAGAATTTGCACATGCTGTGGGTGTAGGAGATGGGAAAAGAGGGTAGGAGGCAGAGGGAAGGGAGAAGAAAAGAAAAACGCTGTTGCCAGGAGTTTAGCAGAAGAAAATGCCATGCATGACATGTGGCTGGCACAGTGGGCAGCAACATCTGTTCTCGATGAGGATCCCCAGTGTACACTGCCATGTGCATGTGCATGTGTAAGGAAACACCCCGGCTGTGTGCTTCAGGAAGGCTGATCATGGCTCCAGTCT
The DNA here is from genome assembly GCF_000001405.40 of Homo sapiens. Taxonomy (NCBI): domain Eukaryota; kingdom Metazoa; phylum Chordata; class Mammalia; order Primates; family Hominidae; genus Homo; species Homo sapiens. Next base: position 176,820,466 of record NC_000001.11, on the reverse strand, counting down.
CCCTATTCTGAAATGCTGCCTCAGTGGCGGCCTCTCACCATGGGTTAGATCTCCAGCCAATTTATTCTTGCAAAGTATGTTGCAGGCTAGAATGAACTGTGGAAAACAAGCCCGAGAAAAGCCACAAGAGCCTCCTGACCCATTTGAATCTTTCTCCTGCCAAATTCTCATTACTGATCTTAAATAGAAAAACAATGTATACGACTGAAAAGGCTATGGAGAACCTACTGGAACCAAAAGGCTTACTTAGGATCACTGGGCTTTGGAGACAAGGATGGGGCAAGTCCATGTTTTCAAAATAGGTGCGTGTTGTTTTTTTTTGTTTTGTTTTGTTTTTAGTTTGGTTAAGTATCCAAAGACTTATTTGCTGTTTTCTTGTCACTCTGTTCAATGAAATAGAGGCCAAATAAGGTAGAGGATTTGTACCCCCTATGGAGTGTGGGCATCCTCCCAAGAGGAGCTTCTGAAGGAAAGTTACCCCAAGTTGCTCAGCTGGTGCTGGGGGGTTACTAGGAAGCCCCAGATCTGGGCTGTTGTTAGTCTCCTTAATCAAGGTCTGATACCCAGTTTGGGGGCCTGCACTCAAGTAGATTCAAAGAGATGCAAAAACTAGTTCCAGGCTTTAAGCTGGACTGCACTGAAAGTGCAGAGGCTCTCTTTCTCTTTATCAGATCACGCTGCAGCTTTATGTATGCAACTCCTGGAAGGCATTCTGCTTCCTTGGTCAGGACTCAAAGTGGGCAGCACACAGGATGTATCACCTGCAGTATGGCTATGCCTCGGCTCAGCCTTGGCTTGCTTCAGAAGACTTCTCACACGGGGATGACAATGATGATAATCCCATATGTGTGTAGCATTTTAGTGTCTACAAATGCCCTCACAAACATTATCTCATTTGAGAGCCAAAAGAACTGTATATGTCAAGCAAGGGAGATACTTTTTCATAAGAGTTAAATGTTAAATGACTTTGATTGAGGTCACACAACCAAAGAGAATAAAGGCAAGAAGTGGAACCAACTCTTCTTTCTCCAATGTACAAACAGCCTTCAAATAGCTGAAGAGACCCTCAGAGACCAAACTTCCTCATCCCCAGAGTCCCAGTACAGAGTGATGCTAACCATAGGCTTAATTTAACAACAACAACAACAACAAAACTGTCAATAGAAAAGACTTTTAAAGGACTCATAACATTCAGGATCTCTTGCCAACTTTACTCTTCTCAAGTCAGCAAAATTTTCCTTTCTCTATCATGGTCAAGTGGCTTCTGAAGATCACTACCCTGCTGCTGACCCTCCCCCTGACATGTGGATGCCCTTAACTTCTTACCTCCATCATTCACTCAAAAACTATTGACCATCTGCCATGTGCCAGTCACTACGTCACTGTATTAAGACTTGAGATATAACAGTGAATACAATCTGCAAAACTTAATGCCCCGTGGAACTTATATTCCAATGGGGAAAACAGACATCAAGCATAACAAATAACTCTACAGCAAATTAGAAAGTGATAATTCTACTAAATAATAGGGCCAGTATAAGGGAATTGGGAGTGGTGGGGAGATGGGCAGAGAACAAGAGAGTGAAGATGGTTGCAATTTTCAGTCACAGGTTCAGAGAGGGGACATGTGGAGGGCTAGGTAAGCCATTGCAAAGATTGTGGCTTTTATTCTGGATGAAGTGGGGAATTGCCACAGGGCTTCAGCTGAGGAGCATTATTATTTCACTTACATTTTTAACAGGACTGTCTGGCTGCTATGCTGGGATTAGGCTGTGAAGAGGCAGGGGAAGTAGTGAGACCAGTCAGGAGGCTCTTGCAATAAGCCATGTAACAGGTGATGATGGCTCATACCAGGGGGGCAGTGGGTCAGATGGTAAAATGTGGCTGGTGTGTGGATATATTTTAAAGGTAGAGCTAATAGAATTACCTGATGAACTAAATGTGAACATGAGGAAAATGGAGAAATTAAGATGACATCAAGGATTTTGTCCTGAGCAACCGGACGGCAGATGTTGCCATTGACAGGAATGGGAAAGTCCACACAGAGAAACAAGAAACCATTGCATATAAAATACCTTGAATTCTTGAATTCCATCTGCTACTCTATAAACTTTGTCTTTAGTTATTGTTACTCCCTTCTCACTTGACTCTTGACTGAGAGGCAGCAGTATCTGTAATCCCTTATATCTTCTCTTTATCTTTAGTCTTCATGCTCTCAATCAGATTATTACTCAAAGCCAATAAACATGTTCCAGTCTCTTCATCTCAAAAGTCTTTCCATGAACTGTTTTCCACTCAAGTTACTGCCATCTCACTTCTTGTGCTGGCCAACTTTTGGCAGCATTTAACACTCTTCACCATTTCTTTTTCCCTTAGGCCTCCCTTCTTAAATGGGTTTCCTAAGACCACTCCTTCCTTTTCTTCCTTCCGCCTCTCTAGTCATTCTTCCTCTGTCCCCTTGACTGGCTTCACTTCCTCTGCTAACTTCCTGCCTCTATGTCTTTCCCCACCTACCTCCTCTCCCCATTCACACTCCTGCGTGACCTCATCCATTTACCTGCCTTCAATTAGCATCCATACGTTCCTCCTTTCTCAATATAAGTCCCCAGCTGAGACTCTGTTTCTGAAATCCAGATTTTTATTTCCAATTCTACTGAACAAACTCAGTCTAAAGCCAAGCCCATTATCTTCTCCTATAAGCCTGCATCTTTTCTTTTCTTTCTTTCTTTTTTTTTTTTTAACAGAGGTTAATGGCATTCAACATCTACCCAAGCACCAGGGAGTTAGATTCAGAACCTCATTTCCTCCATTGGATGGAATTCTAGAATCAATTTTATATCTTAAAAGAAAAGCTTTCAATGATTACTTCTTCCTATCTATACTATTGGTGCCTTGTCTGGGCTGTCACTATTTCTCTCTTGAAATACGGACACCGTCTCCTAACCATTCTGCTTATCACCCGTCACTCTTCCATGGACTACATTTCCAGCAATGTATCACATCTGATCTTGTCATTTCCTGGTGATAAAATGTGTCAGGCTTCTCAATGCCTTCAGAAAAAGTTTACATCCCAAGCACGGCAGCATTCAACACTCTTCCTAATCTGGCCCAAGACTCTCTGCAGACTCCAGTTTTCCACATGCTCCATCCTCTAGTGGTTCTCTAAATATCTTGTGTTTTCAAACTCCTGTGCCCTGTGCTCATAGTATTTTCTCTGCCCATGGAGCTTTCCACTTTGTCCCCAACTAGTGGAATTATTATTCTTCAAGGCCCCAGGAGTGAGTGCTACTTTGTTATGAAATCTTCCCCAAATTTATGTCCCATGCTCACCTCTTGCCTGCTCCCCAAACACAACCACTTTCTTTTCTCTGATCCCCTAGCGCTTAGAACATACCTCTCCCCAAGGCAGACTGGGGATTCCTAGGAGATGGGGTCTGTGCTTTCTATTGATTACCTTTATATTCCTAGGATCTAACATGATTCATTCACAATAAATATACAGTCCTTTAATAAGTGCTCCTCTATCTAAAATTTATACTTTCAGGAGTTAACCACCTTGAAGAGATCTTTGCTTGACTTTAGGTGAAATAAGAATTTAGAAGAGACAACAGAGAGAAAAAACAGCAAAGTAAGAGACATCTTCTCTATCAGGTGCCTCTTTTTCTTCCATATAGGCACAGACTCTGTTGAAGGAAGTAGTTAGTAGTAATAGCACACTGGTCACCAAGCATTTATTATCTCTCAGGCTTAGAGCTGGCAAAGTGTGAACACTTGAATTTGTTTTTATATCTTTCCCTTCCAGAAGTTCCACTAAAATATTAGTATAAAAAAGGAACAAAAAAGGCATGAACTCATAAAAAAAAAAGACAACAGGAGAGATGATGGCAGCTGATAAATAAGTCAACAACATTAGAAAACTGGAAAATGGATGGATGAATAGTAGCTGACACAGCAGATGCAGGAAAGCAGAAACCTAAATGCCTAGAATACCTAGAACCAACAGAAAGCTCAGGAATTAGAGGCATCTGGTACCTCTAAAGGCAAAAGTGCAGGAGTGTGTATGCGTGTGTGTGTGTGTGTGTGTGTGTGCGTGATGATGTCAGAGAGCTAAAACCTCATCTATTGTATTAGGAAATCAGGAGATAAAGTTCTAAATCAAAAAATTAAGATTAGCAGTAGAAGCATTATATATACGTGTGTACATACATACATATATATATATATACACACACACACACATAAATTTTATATATGTGTGTGTATGTGTACATATATATATATATATATATATATATATATATATATATATATATACACTGTGAAAGGAAAATAAATCTCAGGATCCCACAATCAATAAGCCAAAGGAAAAGTCAAGCTGGGAACTATGTCAGACAAACCTGCCTTCCATTTTATTCCTAAATAAGATAGCTACAAAGATAAGAAGCCACATACCTTCCTCCCTCACAATTTGTCCACAAGAAGGTTCCTTGTGGAAAAAGGACGGAAAGAACTCAAAGGCATCCCTCTGAGACTCACCTGAGACAAACGCATATCTGAATACTTCCTCTGCCCTACTGTTTATGTAAAAATGCAGATTCACTGAACCAGACTAAATTGTGGATTCAGTGGAAGGCTGATCAAGTTCTCAAAAGAATGTAACCTTTTGCCTCTTGTCTACTTATGATCTGGAGGCCCATGCCTCAGGTTGTCCTGCCTTACCTTACAGAACCAGTGTAGATCTTGCACGTGTTGATTGACGTCTCATGTCTCCCTAACACGTATACAAGCAAGGTGTACCTCAACTACCGTGGGCACATGTCCTCACAACCTCCTGAGGCTGTGTCATGGGTGCATCCTTAACCTTGGCAAAATGAACTTTCTAAATTGATTGAGACCTGTCTCAGATAACTTTTGGTTTACAATACATATACATGTATGCATGTTTATGTGTATATATGTAATTTTCAGAAGAAATAAGTGAAACAGGTGAAGCAAAAACAACAACAAAAATGAAGTGATGGCCTCTGCTGAGAGAGGCTGAGGTTAGGAGCAGAGGGGTAGGAACTGCTAGTCTTCCAAATAAACCTAGAGGTGTGAACTAGCTTTTCAAACTAGGTACATGTATCACTTTTATAGAATTAAAATTAATTTTTTAAAATATTACAAATAAATATAAGGGTGGAGCTGAGATTTAAACCTCTTAGTCAGGAATTGAAGTGTGCATTATTTTCATTATGCATGCTGTTTGCTGCAATTTACAAATATTTGTAATCAACTTAGGAGTGTTGCCCTTTCCTCTGTCATCACTTTACTGTTGGGTTAGTCAAAAGAACAGATACATATGTATACACACATATGTATGCATATACATATATACTTTAAAAAATAAGGTGTAATAAACAGAACTGAAGACAAAAACCACATGATTATCTCAACAGATGTAGAAAAGGCCTTCAATAAAATCCAGTATCTCTTCATTTTAAAAACTCTCCATAAACTAGGTATTGAAGGAACATACCTCAAAACAATAAGAGCCATATATGACAAACCCACAGCCAACATCATACTGCATGGGCAAAATCTGGAAGCATTCCCCTTGAAAACCAGCACAAGACAAGGATGCCTTCTCTCACCACTCCCATTCAACACAGTATTGAAAGTTCTGGCCAGGGCAATCAGGCAAGAGAAAGAAATAAAGCATATTCAAATAGAAAGAGAGGAAGTCAAATTATCTTTGTTTGCAGATAACATGATCCTGTATCTAGAAAACCCTGTTGTCTCAGCAAAAAGGTTCTTAAGCTGGTAAGCAACTGCAGCAAAGTCTCAGGTTACAAAATCAATGTGCAAAAATCATTAGCATTCCTGTACACTAAAAACAGACAAGCACAGAGCCAAATAATGAATGAACTTTCATTCACAATTACTACAAAGAAAATAAAATACCTAGGAATACAGCTAACAAAGGAAATGAAGGAACTCTTCAAGAAGAGCTATAAATCACCACTCAAGGAAATCAGAGAGGACACAAACAAATGAAAAAACATTCCATGCTCATGGATGGGAAGAATCAATATCGTGAAAATGGTCATACTGTCCAACGTAATTCATAGATTCAATGCTATTTCCATTAAACTACCATTGACATTCTTCACAGGATTAGAAAAAAACTATTTTAAAATTCATATGGAAGCAAAAAAGAGCCCAAATGGCCAATATAATCCTAAACAAAAAGAACAAAGCTGGAGGCATCATGCTACCTGACTTCACGCTATACTACAAGGCTACAGTAACCAAAACAGCATGGTACTGGTACAAGAACAGACACATTGTCTAATGGAACAGAATAGAGAACTCAGAAATAAGACTGCTACCTACAACCATCTGATCTTCAACAAACCTGACAAAAACAAGCAGTGAGGAATGGATTCCCTTTTTAAAAAATAGTGCTGGGAGAACTGGGTAGCCATATGCAGAAAATTGAAACTGGACCCCTTCCTTACACCATATACAAAAATTAACAGAAGATGGATTAAAAACTTAAATGTAAGATTCAAAACTATAAAACCCTAGAAGAAAATCTAGGCAATACCATTCAACATAGGCATGGGAAAAGATTTAATGACTAAAACACCAAAAGCAATTGCAATAAAAGCCAAAATTGACAAATGGGATCTAATTAAACTAAAGAGATTCTGCACAGCAAAAGATACTATCATCAGAGTCAACAGACAACCTACAGAATTGCATAAAATTTTTGCAATCTATCCATCTGACAAAGGTCTAGTATCCAAAGTCTACAAGGAACTTAAACAAATTTACAAGAGAAAAACAATGCTATTAAAAACTGGGCAAAGGACATGAAGAGACACTTCTCAAAAGAAGACATACATGCAGCCAAGAAACATATGAAAGAAAGATCAACATCACCGATCATTAGAGAAATGCAAATCAAAACCACAATGAGATATCATTTCATGCCAGTGAGAATGGCTATTATTAAAAAGTAAAGAAACAATAGATGCTGGTGAAGTTGAAGAGAAAAAGGAATGCTTTTACACTGTTGATGAGAGTGGAAATTAGTTTAGCCATTGTAGAAGACAGTGTGGCAATTCCTCAAAGACCTAGAGGCAGAAATACCATTTGACCCAATAATCCCATTACTGGGTATATATCCAGAAAAATATGTCATTCTATTAGAAAGATACATGAAAGTGTATGTTCATTGCAGCACTATTCACAATAGCAAACACATGGAATAAACCAAAATGCCTATCAACGGTAGACTAGATAAGGAAAATGTGGTACATATGCACCAAGGAATACTATGCAGCCATAAAAAGGAATGAGATCATGTCCTTTGCAGGGACACAGATGGAGTTGGAAGCCATTATCCTCAGCAAACTAAAGCAGGAATGAAAAATCAAATATCGCATGTTCTCATTTATAAGTGGGAGCTGAATGATGAGAACACATGAACAGAATGGGGGAACAACACACACACTGGGGCATGTCGGGGCAGGTTGGTTGGGGGAGGGAGAGCATTAGGAAGAATAGCTTATGGATACTGTGCTTAATACTTAGGTAATGGGTTGATCTGTGCAGCAAATCACTATGGCACATGTTCACCTATGTAACAAACCTGCACTTCCTGCACATGTACCCTTAAACTTAAAATAATAGTTTAAGAAAAAAAAAAGGTGTAAGAAAATTAGTAAAATGCATTGCTAGCACTCAGTCCTTGTAATAAATAAGTATTTAATAAAATAATTTCACTTAAATGAACATCTATGTTAGTAGAATGAATTGGAAATGGTTCAAATTTTATGAACTTTCTGAAAGAGCCTGTCTATTGGATTATTTAATTAAGAAATTATGACAATTACCATGATGGTAAATTGTAAAATAAGCAATGCCTTATAGGATTCACGAATAATCTCAATAATGTATTTGTGCCATGATTAGAATGCATTTAAAACACAGTTTTGAAGCACAATTAGAAGTCTTAGTTGAGCAAAGTCCCTGTGAAAAGAGGAGAATCTAGAGTTATCTATAGACATAATTTTGCATGCTGCCCATTCTTATAACTTCAGCAAAATCATTAAGAAGCAGCTGAAGGTCTGGCAGGTTAAAGAAAAGATGGTAGCATTTCTGTGATGGCAATTCTGCAGGCGAGTAATATTTAAATTATCTGCAAGTCTGGGCTAAAAAGGGAAGGACAGTGAAAGAGAAAAAGAACCCTCCCCCCAAAAAAAAAAGAACAAAAAAGCCCAGAATAAATCAGAAAAAGGGTGGAGTGGGAGGAAAAAGGGATAACAGATGTCATAAAGAAAATTAACAGAGTGAGAAAGTGGCCCACCCAGAAGGCCAAGAGGACAAAAGAAGCAAAAATGCAGCCTGTCAGAGAGCCTACCAGGAAGTCACAGCACGGCTCCAGAGGAATTTTAGACAAGCATAAACTCTCACGAATGTTGTTAATCTAGATGAGGTTTTACAATTTGGACGGTTGGTTGTGCTTTTAATGTTTTACTTTTTTAAAAAGCTGGAGGTGGAAAGGTAGGGGGTGTAGGGGTGTGGGGGCAATGGTTTTAGCTTTCAAAATGAAAACCTAGTCCTAATTAACATTTGGAATCTGATTTTCAGAGATTCCAGCTGGAGAATCTGAAGTTGAGCCCTGAACCAAATGGGACTCTAGACAAGCTTAAAGACATGCCGGGATTTTAGGCTGGTGCAGATATTGCACAAAACTGGCAGTGAAATTCACAAACAAATCTCAAGGGGATTAGAATTTGGCAGGTAGTGAGCCTGGAAGACAGTTCCAACTTAAGCAAATTTTCAATTTTTCTCTGGATTTTAATATGTCTAACACATATTTAGATTTAGATTTGTAAGGACCTACACCATCCCTGCTAGAAGTCTAGTAGCTGTCCCTATTATTGGCTTGTAGGCCATTATTATCCCTACCCTAATTAGCATTTTTATAACCCCTTTTCACTCATAGATCCTAAAAAACTTGGCAAGAATTAAAAGAAAAATCAGCCCTGAAGATGTGCCTTCTGAGAAACAGGGAAGGAATGATTATTATATCTGATTTGTAAACAGCTGAAGTGTGGCAAAGAGAAGTTTAATTGTTGGCTATAATTTATATGACAACATATAAATAAAGAGGAAACAAAAGAAGTTAAACAACTATCACACAATGCACAAGTGATAAAGTTGAAATAGAACATTGGTTTTTTTATGCAGATATCACAAATAAGATTCATTTTTCTCTTTATAATAAGAATTCATAGAGACATACTCAAGTGAGATGCTTTTTGAAAGAGCAGTAGCAATTCCATCTGGTCACACTTCTAAGTCCATTTTGGGCTGTGATTATACTTTCAAGCCTTGACATTTATTAAGAATAATCCGTGACTATCCAGTGATAAAAAATATATTACTAAAGTGTAATAATAGAAGTCTTACAGATAGAAAAGACTGAGGAAGGAAGAGTTGAACAGGTTTCATTATGAAGCTGAGGGGAACAGAAAGGAAAGAGATTCGGGATCAGAGAAGCAACCTTAGTGTTGATGTATTCTTCAAGTCCCTCAAAACTGTCATTCTTCTGCTACTATTTTCCCCACACTCTAGACCAGCGAATCCTGCACCTGCAAGTACATCAGAGTCCTCTGAAAGGCCTGGTAAAACTGATTGCTGGACCTCACCCCCACAGTTTCTGATTCAGAAGTCCAGAGTGGGGCCTAAGATTCTGCATTTCTAGCAAGTGCCCAGGTGAGGCTGCTGCCACTGGTCCAGAACCACACTATTGCCCTAGACCAGAGGTCCCCAGTCTGGTCTGCTGCCTGTTAGAACCGGGCCACACAGCAGGAGGTGAGTGGTGGAAGAGCCAGTGTTATAGCCTGGATCTGCCTCCTGTAAAATTTGTGGTGGCATTAGATTCTCATAGGAGCACGAACCCTGTGGTGGACTGTGCATGTGAGGGATCTAGGTTGCACGCTCCTTATGAGAATCTAAATAATGCCTGATGATCTGATGTGAAATAGTTTTATCCTGAAACTCCCCCCACCGACACTGTCCATGGAAAAATTGTCTTCCATGAAACTAGTCGCTGGTTCCAGAAAGGTTGGGACCCCCTAAACCATTCCAGTTCTTCACAGGTCCAGGTTTCAACTGCTGTCACTTGGAAGTCCTGAGCATCTGAGCTCTATGGATGAATGCAAAACTGCCTGCCTGAATTCTGTCTTGAAGTATGTAATCTTGGGAGAAAATCCCTTTCCTGTTTTCCTAAAGGTGGGCCTGAGCCCATTTTCACTGCCACAGAGAATGTGGGGCGTCTGCACTGGAGTGTCTTAGCCACATATTTCATTTCACTTTTTAGAACAAAGAGCTCTAGAATTTCTGAATGTGCTGACAGATTTTACCACACTACAGGGGTGCTTCACAGGGTCAAATGGGAAGAACTGTAACACACACACACACACACACACACACACACACACACACACACACACACACTGCATCTTGTCCTAAAAATAAGGAGACAAAACTCCACAAAGTGACAAACCCCTTCCTCTGAAAGGGTCCGACATGATGCAGAAGCCCGTGATTGCCACTATTCCTCGGGCAATGTCTCCGGCAAGCTAACCTTCCCCATCCCCTCCTCTGATCCTCTCATTTCCAGGCCTGTATGCAGCCTTTCACATCCCAGAATGAAGTACATCCCCTCAATTACGACTTGTTAGTCAGGCTTCAGCTACTCTCTACCTCTTCTTGGCTAAAACTCTGGGCAAGAAAAATGGTACGAAAACCCTCAATTTTTATGCCCTTATTTTCCACCACCTGAGTTATATATTGGCCTCTGCATCCCATAGAGTTGCAGCAGGATAGCAGGCAGTGCCCATGAGTGATCAATAAGCACGTGTCCCAGACACAGCTAACAGGGCTACCATCTGGAATATAAATAATAAAAGGGAGGCAGAGAGAGGTCCAAGACAACAGAGAAGAAAGAATCCAAGGAATAGTGTAACAGATGGATTGAATTAGTGATGGAACCATTGTTGGTATCAACTACTAAATGTGTAAAAACAATACAACTTTCCACCTCCATTTCAGTAATCCAGCCACTCCAATGAAGTTAAATTTGTCCCAAGGCCCCACCTTTCTACTCCCAACTCCTTCCTACATAAATTCCTTTGGAAGTAGTAGTCAGATGATAATGACACATAAAATATCTCTATTGACTGCTTTAAGATAATACAAATATAAACACATTTAAATCCATGGAGTCCTAGATTTACAGGGAAAGAGAGTACCAAACTATAAGCAGTGTTTGAGATAGAAGCAAATGTGTAACCATATCAGAGAGGGAGAATATATATCCTTTTAAAACTCTCCAAAGACTAATATGCCTTTTCAACACCTCCCTTTATAACCTTGTATAAAGTTTAACACTTTTAGGATATTCTCACATAGATTTACTTTAAATAGTTCATTGAGTATTTTAAGCCCATTATATTCTCTTCTGTTCTCACTGGGGGATGGTGACTGCAAACTTTTCTCTAAGTAAAATATTCAATACATGAACATGTTTACTACATTAACCTTTATTCTTCTCATTTTAGACTGGGAAACCTCACTTCTTTTGATTTTTTCCAAAGGTATTATTATTATTAATCTTTTTATATCACTTTTTTGGCCCTCAACAGGTTCTGTATTTTCTAATGCCTGTGGAAGCTAACCCTAAAGGGAAAGTAGAATGAGATCCATGGTGAGATTAATGACAAAACAATGAAATACTCAGGTTTTCTGATAATCTTGCTTATAGCTATTTGCATGTGGCTTGTTGTCTCAAGACCAGAGCCATGCTGCTGTTTACCCAGGATAAGTCACAATTTAAAAAAAATAACTATAATTTTAAAACAATTCACCTTTTTCTGGCTTAGGATAATTACAGTTTTACCACTGTTTGTCAGATCTTCTGACTTCTATCCTTGACCTTTCTGAACTTTATTCTATTCCAAGTGATTTCTTCATTTATTTGAGAACCACTGGAAGATGATTCCTTTTCTCCCAAAATGCGAGCTGGGCACTGCCATGTAACTATTTGCCAGCATATGAATTAATCCCTGCCTAGTGTTTCTCAAAGCACAGTTGAAGACCACTTGCATTAGAAGCACCTGAGGTATTTGTTAAAAAAGCAAATCATTGTATTTCACACCTGACTTGACATAAAAGAATTGGGAGGGAGGGGCAGAACCTAAGAATCTGCATTTAAAAAATAAATACCCCGCACCCTATATAATTCTTAAGCATTTTTTTTTTTACACTATAAGCTGAATCCATTGCCAATGTGAACTACTTAAAGACAAGGTGTGACCAGAGACAGCCCTGGGCATTGCACTGGCTGGGTCTTCCCAATCAACAGAGCATGTAGTAATGATCCGAGATGGGGTCAACTCCTTTGGCTGCCTTCTGAAAGCAGGAGTACATCATTTGGGTCAGAATAACATATCTACTAAATTTAAGAAGTGGCTTCTACTTTATCTTATAGGACTCATTGATTCTTTCACAGAACACGGCATCAGTATAGGAGAGCATGTTCCTTATAAATTTAGGGTCTGTACTTAGAGAAATTTGTTCTAAAACTTTTTCTAGTAGAAAATATCAAACTTGGCCTTGCATGGTGGCTCACGCCTGTAATCCCAGCACTTTGGGAGGCCGAGATGGGTGGTTCACCTGAGGCCAGGAGTTTGAGACCAGCCTGGCCAAGATGATGAAACCCTGTCTCTACTAAAAATACAAAAATCAGCCAGGTGTGGTGGCACATGCCTGTAGTCCCAGCTGCTTGGTAGGCTGAGGCAGCAGAATCGCTTGAACCTGGGAGGCAGAGGTTGGAGTGAGCCAAGACCGCACCACTGCACTCCAGCCTGGGTGACAGAGTGAGGCTCTTTCTCAAAAAAAAAAAAAAAAGAAAGAAAGAAAGAAAATATCAAACTTGGCAGGCAGGTAGCTCTTATTGTTCAACTTCTTTTTTTCTAAAATGGCAAATACTGCTTGGCTTTTCTGACAGCTCCTCATTCTTTCAAGAAAATCAAAATACTTAGGTAGGTGATATAAAAGGTCTTACTGGTCTTATTAAACAGTCCTTTACCAACTCTCTCTCCAGCCCAGCTCAGCTTCTCGCCCTCTCAACATATACACACACTTGTATTGCCTGTCACTGTTCTATGAGAATTAATAGTGGGGAGAAGTATCCTTGTGCTTTGAGTAACAGAAGTGATTCAGCATTACTGATAAATGCAATTTGACTAACCTTTATCACATACTCAATTATGTTTATCAAATATTCACACAGTAGGTACTTGTGCATCCTTTATCATGTCCTGACTCTCATATCCATCCTATCTTAGACTGAGTTTTCTCTTGCGGGTGGGCTAGTCCCATGGTAGAAGCAGTAAATCCAAAACCAGAATTGGTCTTGAAATGAAAGTCAAGGAAGGAAGTACTAACAGATTTCCAAAACCTAATCCATCCAATGAATAAGAAGTTGAGGCTAACCAAGAAGAAGGCTGTAAATCTGAAAAGAGGCCCTATAAGAGAAGGACCTGTGGGTGTAATGAAAACCAAAATCTACTTGGAAGGCAAAACATTCCCAGAAACAAGAACAGGTTTGCCGTTATTCCTGAAAAATTAGCACAACCATGCTTTACTGAGGTGTGACCTCTCTGAAGGCCCCAAACCACATCTCCACAGTTTTCTGAACCTGAATCTTCACAACAATTTTAAGAGATGAATTTTATCTGTCTAATTTAAAAGATAAGGAAACTTAAATTCAGAAAAGTTAACTGACTTGCCCAAGGAAATAGCTAATTAGAGATGGAGCTGTGTTAAGCCTTTGTTTCTGCCACCATGCCACTTTCACTGAGGTTACAAGGCCTTTTGATTCCACTCATGACAGGGTTTTTATTTTCTACTTCTCCATCTGTATTGTCCCTACTTTACTTCCACTATGCAACTTCACAGAAAACTGATTCAGTCTTTTCCATTTAAGACTCTCAAAGTCAAAGTTCTGTCTGCAACTTTCCATCTCTGTCTTTAGGGGAATAGAAGCAGGTGTCACTGAAGAATTAGGTGTCTCTCAAAGAGGATACAAAAGTGAACAAAACACACTTCCTGCCACTCAGGAGTTGGTAGACTACTGGAAGAATAGACCTATTAGATAACCTTGAAATATGTGATAGATGAGACAATAGGCATCTACAAAGGTATGCATTGAATTTAGAGAGGAAATGGCAGCTCAGGCTCAGACAGAGTTATTGGAAATTTCCTCCCAAACTTTAAAAGGCCTTATAAGTTGCATTGGTAGCCCCAAGGATATCAATTAACCATGGATACTTGCAGTGTATAATAAAAAGTCATAAAGATATAAACTAGATGTAATTGAATTGCTTCCTTTTTTTTTTTTTTTTTTTTTTTGAGAGAGACAGGGTTTTGCTCTGGCACCCAGGCTGCAGTACAGTGGCATGATCATAGTTCACCGTAACCTAAACTCCTGGACTCAAGTGATCCTCCCACCTCAGCCTCCTGAGTATCTGGGGACCACAGGTGAATACCACCATAGTTAGCTGGCTAACTTTTCATTTTTTTGTAAAGATGAGGGTCTTGCTATGTTGTTCAGGCTGGGCTCAAACTCCAGACCTCAAGTGATCCTCCTGCTTTAGCCTCTCAAAGTGTTGGGATTACAGGATTGAGCCACTGTGCCTGGCCTTGATTCTTAATATCTTGTTTCAATATGACCCTGTCCTCACAAAGTTACATGTGTCATTCCTTAGGCAGTATCACTGCTAGTACGTTATATTATTTGACAATTCATAAAACACGTTAAAATCAGTTATTTCACCTGATTCTCACAGAAGTTCTAAGAGAAAGCCTGACAGGTACTGCGCATAGCTAACGAAGGGTAGAGTCAGAATTTGAACCTAATTCTCTGACATCACTCGGCCTCTGTCCTTCTCTGCAGCTCTCTCTTTTTAAAAAGAAAGGGCACAACTCTATCAACAAAGAGTTGAAGAGATCAAAACTGTAATTCAAAATGGAGACTGCTGGAAAGAATAGGATGAACTTGCAAGAAATACATGCTCACAGAGAAAGCAGAGCCAAGAATTAGGTGGATTTTAATCATCCCATAAGTATGAAGAAAACTAATCAGTTCTATGTAAAAGGAGACTATAATTATAAGATAAGTCTTTATCCCTAGGTACATTCCCTAGAGAACAAAATCTTCTTGGCTTAAGTAGAATCTAGGATTGTGGACTTTGGTAGAATTAATAAATATGGCTTTATGAAAGAGAAAAAAAGAAAAAAGGAAAAATAAAAGGAAGGAAGGAAGGAAGGAAGGAAGGAAGGGAAGGAAGAAGGTAATCTATTATCTGATAATATCACAGTGTTCATGGATGGAGTGAACACTCACTTCAATTATTACCCCAGGAGATGAGGAAAACCATTTTTCCTCTTTCTTTTCCTCTCTTCCTTTCTTTCTCTATGCTGGGAAGAAAGTACACTTTATTGGACAAGCATTTAACAGGTCTTTTATACAGTTATCATAAAATATTTGCATACTTATCTATAATTTTAAAATCCATGTGCAAATTAAATTACTTTCAATCAATAAATGTTTTCTGAGCCCCAGTTATTTCAAACATTCAAACATCGTGTTGAGTAGCTAAGATATAATAATGGAAAAGACAATATCTTCAGCTTGTAAGTAGTTACAGCATCATAAAGCAGACAAACAGGAAACTAATACTTTCCCTAAGGTGGTAAGTGGTAAAATAGAGACCAGAGTATGATTATATAACCCATCTGTGGTTGAGGGTGGGTGGTGGGTGGAGTGCCAGTCATTAAATACTCCAAGTAGAAAAAATGTGTTGAAAGATCAAGAGGAGTTAGTCTACAGCAGTGTCTCAAGGGCAGTATTATTGGCATTTGGGGCAGGATAATTCTTTGTTGTGGGCTATACTGTGCACTGTATGATATTCAGCAGCATCCCTGTCCTCCACTCACTATATTTCAGCATCTCCTCCCATTCGCCCAGTCGTGACAACTAAAAATGTCTTCAGACATTTCCCCTAATGTGAGAAGTGGTGGGTGCAAAATTGTCCCTAGCTGAGAATCACTGGCTTAGAGAAATAAGTCACAGGATGAGTCCCGGGAATGGGTTTCAACATGCATGAAGATACAGGGAGTGAAGTAACATGTGGCAACAACAATACTTCTGTGATGGATAATGAAATAGATAAGATTTATAATGCACAATTATGTACAAGACATTAGACTGAGCTCACTGCCTATAATAACTCATTTATCTCATTTATCTTCACTGTAACCTTATGAAATAAGCATTACTATTAAAACCCTGTTATAAAAACTCTATTAAAACTATGTTGAGGCTAATGAGGCACAAGAATCTAATACAACTTGCCCAGTGTCACCCCACAGGTGGGACAAATATTCAATCCTAGATCAAGCAAACAGACAGTGCAAAGCCCAAGCATTTTTTAGAAAACTATGTTGGAAAAGGCTTTTTATGCCTGGAGTAGAGTGTGCACAAAGAGATTTGAAGAGACAGAAGGCTGAAAGACAAAGACTTATTTACTACCTGCAAAGGAGTCTGGCTTAAATGTGAAAACAATGGGGAGTTCCTGAGATATTTTTAGCAGAAGAGACACAATAGAAAGAACCCTGTATTAGCAATAGAGAGAATGAAGGAAATTGATGGGCACAGGTCTGGAGGAAGGGAGAGCAATTAGGAAATCACTGCAAAAGTCCAGATGAGAAATGTTGAGGTCCCAACCAGTGTGGGCAACTGTAGGAATGAGTAGAGCTACTCATATAATGATCTGGTGACCGACTGACCTGATGACTGATTGGACACAATCGATGTCTCCAAGTCATTTGTGAATTATGGATCTCAGTTGGTCTTTATTGGTATGACCGATTTCCCTTTTCTTTTCCTTTCCTTTCCTTTTTCACATCCTCAGTTTACAACTAATTACATTGGGGCTACACCAGCAGCAATGCCCCTGCATTCTGCTTTACTCATTCAGTAAACATTCACGAAGTGGCTAATAGCTTAAATAAATGACACCAGTAAGAATCTCTTACGGGCCAGGCATGACACTCAATGCGTTATGTATGCTATCACATGCATCCCTCTTAACAACTCCTTAAAATAGCTTTGTTGACCCAGTTCCCAATACAGAGGCTCACACTACTCAGCTGACCCAGGATTGGAATCTAGGGTCGTTTGACTTCAAAAGTTTTCCATTAACTAAGTTGCCATTCCTTGCCCATATGCAGTTTACGAAAGAAACAGAAGATACAAGGAGTATTCAGGTCTCAAAGGCCAAATGCAAGCAACAACTAGAAAAATAGAATTGAACGTACCAACAATTTTGGATTGCAGATATGTAGCATACGTGTGTTCTTGCTGGGACAATGGGAACACAAGCAGCAACAACTGGCTTATGACCTAACATAAGAAGATGGAATTATTTAGATAAGAGTTTTTAAAGAAAGTCTTAGTGGCACCTCAGAAAACATAAGCAGCACAGAATAGTGGATAATTGAAAGCAAATCCTTATGCCAAGAGAATATGATGCAAACAAAAGTGCTGAAGTAACATGAAGGGCAATATGGGCTGAGGATACTGAGCTGGTGGATTTACTGCCTTGGGCTTATTGGGAGAAATAATGAATGAGGCACTCCACCCTTACAAGGCTAAATATTAAAAGGAGGCCTCTTAGAATGATATTCAGTACTGGGAAGCAAAAAGCAGAAAACCCTTTTAGATACTGGGTAACAAAATACCTTATTTGAGCTCAGATTTCTGTGCTGCACTTTTAAAAGCTTCCTCTCTCCTACCTGGCCGGCTTGGCTTTATCTTGCCTCCAGTCTGTTTTCCCTCCATCTGTCCCTGACACTCTTCTGTTCTCCCTAATATATTTTGCTGACTTTTTCCAGTAAAGAATTAAGTGTCTGCCAATTTGCCCCTAGAGCATGCCAGTTTCAGCCTCTCTTGTCCTTTCTTTTTCATTTTCACCCGCCTCTTTGCATTTTTTATTACTTATTTCTTCAGAGTTGTTTCTCCTTCTCCTCTCCTGTCCAGTTCCCCTTCCTTTCCTACAGGGATTGATTCACCTGTATCGTTGTATCTTCCTTCCACCCTCAAAGTGGCTAAATAATGTTAGCTACAATTATTGCTGCACAACAAACTCTCGGTTGGGGCGGTGGTTCTCAAGTATTAGCAAGCCTCAGAATCATTTGGAAGCTTGTTAAAACAGTCTGCTGGGCCCCACTCCCAGTTTCTGATCGAGTAGGTATTCGGGGGCCTGAGAATGTGCATTTCCAGTAGGCTCCCAGGTGATGCTGAGAACCACTGGAGCAGGGGAACCAACAGCTGTTGCCTGGTAGCAGTTAGGCAGAGGAGACATCAGCCCAGCAGTCAGGCAGAGGAGACATGGAGCTTTTGTTCCTTGTCACATCAACAAAGGGACTGACGACAGCCTAGGAAGCTCTGGATAAGTGACCCCGCTGATGTGCTGGGGTGCAGGGAGGAGGGGAGAACAAATGGGAAAAGGTCTGTATTATAACCCTCTGGGAAACACGGAAGCCAGCTCCAAGCCCTGTCATCCACCCTCCCACTTGAGATCATGCATAGAAGCAGCAGAAGGGAATTCTCAGGATCCCTTTGATCTGTTCCCAGCTCCCCAGTCTTCTGTCTGTTTATCTCCCTCCTTCCCTGGCCTCCTCTCTTCCCTCCTTCTTACCCCCTGCCCAGTGGATGATTCACTCCTTCTCTCTCCCGCGTCCCCACCCCACTGCCATCTGTTTTTCTAATGATGGCAGAAGATGAGCTGTTTTGTTGGCCCACACCATAACAAAGCACACTCCATGCTAGCATTTTTCCTGATGCGCTCGCAGAGTGCTGTTTTATTGGTATGATTTCCCCAGCCAGTTTTCCCTTTTCTCTCAAACCCCACCCTTTCCCCCTCTCCAGTCTCATGTGGATCCTGGATTCCCAGAATTAGATCAAGAAACACAGAGATACAGAAGAATGGACTTGACATGCATGTGGGTTGGGTGTGCATCAGGGAAGAAGCTGGAAATCAGGGCAGTTAAAGGGGTCTCTCTGCAGCACCTACAGGAGCCATAATTACCCAAGATTGCTGCTAAGTGGCTTATTTCCTTCCAGTGTGAGATATGGATGACAAAACCTGTTGTGACTGAGACGAGAATGCTTGTACTTGTCACTGGCTATTCTTAGGTTGGGAGGGCTTAAATGGTGTGTGTGTGTGTGTGTGCGTGTGTGTGTGTGTAAGCATCTCCTTCCCCTATGACAGAATTTCTAGGTCATCGTTTCTTAGAAATATTCTGCCCTATTTAAAAGTTGACTTTTAAAATTAACTTCAATTTAAAAGTTGACTTTTAAAATTAACTTCAGTTAATCTAACTAAAGAAATCACAGCAGCCTACATCCCCCCACTGATTGGGGAATCTACTATGTGAAGAAGTAGACAAGATTTCTTGAGGTGGTAAAGGTCTAGTTTGGTTAATCAACAGTGGACAACAGGTCTACCTAAGAGATTGCAAGCATAGATGCCTGCATGACCCAGGCAGTTATTTTAAACAAGGGGTGCCCACCAGGTAAGTAGCCATAGGGAAAGGTAAAAGCTGTGCTAACTGGAGAGAGTTGCCCACCTGGGGTGCAGCTGCTACTCAGATCCAGCTAATTGTCATCACGGTTGCCAGCTAGTCTTGTTTTTCAAGAGAAAAATCTTTGTGCAGAGTTTTAAATATTTATTTTTATTTGGGATGTGTGCATATGTGTGTAATGTTATATATGCACATATGAATTTTATGTAAAAATCCTAATTTTTAAACATTGGCAACCAAAAAGAAAATTGGTTTTAGACATTGTGCTGGCCAAATAAACCTGTCAGTGGGCCATCAGTCTCCAAAACCCTGAGTGAATTAAGCTCAAACAAGGCCCAGTTACAGAATCCCAAAACCATAAATAATTCTGACTTGCTTTTTAAGTTAGCTTTTATTAAGTCATTTAAAGTGGATCTCCAAAGATTTTGCTAAAACAAAACAAAAATCAGAACTCCTAATTTCTGTAAATTTAAGATCGTGGAACCAACTTAATTTAAGAAGTTAAACAAAGGACAGAGGAATAGGAGAGGGACCAGGTCCTAAATTAGAAGGATTCAAGCTCCATAAGTTAAATCCACCTGAGTTCTCTAGTCTGAGTTGGGGAAGGGGAGGCTATCTTACCTCACATGACTGGATGCAGTGGACTAAGACGGGGTCTGGGTGCCATTGACGCCGGCCAGTGCACACAATGCTCTAAGGGGAAAGACGGGAAAAACAGAAAACAAAATTAAAGACATTTGTTGTGTGTGAGAAGGGGCAAATCCTGAGCTCACCACAGGAGTCCAACTCCATTTCTCAAGCAGCTAGTTTCTAATTGTGTCCCATAAAGTGGATTGGGGCTATCTAGCCTTTCCCGTGCACACTGCCCACCCTGACAGATGTGGTTCAGGCAGGAAGTCTCAGTGGAGGAGATTTCTCGAAACTTTTCATCCTCTTTCCCAAGATACCGAAATTTTCAGAGTGGTGTAGTGTGGTTTAAAAAAGCATCCTCAATATTATAATGAGTTTCATCTGGTTTCAGGCATAATATTAGTTCCACTTATTTTGAAATTTTAAATAATGTTACAAGAAATTGTAAGATGGTTGTGTTGATCACACACAATGGGCTTTTAAAGATCGACAAATACAGTTTTACAGATTCTTCAACTAAATGTGGACCTCAGAAATGCTAGATTATAAGATGTGAGTGCCCACACCAGGACTGGAGGTGAAATTGCACTCTGTAATTCTTGGTATCATCATGCAGCCTGCCCTGTAGGAAACCAGACAGTACACATATGCAGGACACACAGGGCTAGTGTGAAATCACTGCTACTCAAAATGACACCAACATCAAGCTGGTGGGAGCGCAGTTACGTTCATCTTGAGATGCTGTTGACTGCCTCTTTCCTGATGGCCATTTCCAGATGCATATTTAAACAAATAGTCATCTACTTTTTGTTAAATAATAATAACTCATTTTCACAAAACTTTTTTCTTTTTCTTTTTATAGTTTAAAATTCTCAAAGAATATGCTTTTCTAAGGATAAAAGAAAGTCCCATGGCAGGTTTCAAAGAGAAAAGAAGGTTCTCTCCATAGCCTGCTACCAACCCACCCTTCTGCAGACCTGCATATTCACATTTTAATCAGTCCAACTGAAATTCCATGCACTCAGAAGAAAAAGAATACATGGCAACACAGGAGCTTTACACGAGATAGCACCTACAGGAATTCTAGAAAGCTAACAATGTGTAATCATTAGATTGGAGACATTCACATATGCTAATATGCAGGTCTATAAATATATACCTCATAGTCAGGTAGGAGAATGGGGATCTGCAATATTTTTCTGGAGTCGTACTGCTAAAAGCTAAAACTCCTCCTTCACAGCTTCTCTAGAGGGAAAATAAGTAGTATAAATCCTTATAAAGTTTGATATTCAAAACTTCATATTGCAATATTTGAAAGTGACTTGGCTTAAGTCATTATTGTATTAAAAAGGGGTTATCAAAATAAATATATAAGGTAAACACAAAAGGGGTGTTCAGCCTACTGAAAAAGTGAGTTATTCTCCTGCACTTACAGCCATTTATGCAGAACCATTTGCATATCAACAGTAATTCTGTTAACTAGAAATAATTCTTGTTTATGCTTTAAAGCAGGTTCCACTGGAGCTCTACTGAGCAGTGGTCATAAATTTTATTATTTAAAATATCAATGGTTTGTACTACTTTGGGGTCCCAGATAGTAGCAATGGCAAAATACAATTTGTTCTTTGAAAGGTAAATGTATGAGAACTTTATTCCTTCTCATAGGAGGGTATTCACTATGGACCCCCAGTTCCCCACCCTAATCAGTCAGTTATTCAATTCAGACCAAACATATAAATACCTCACTCACTCACTATGGGTCAGATTTTCCAGTGAGCAAGGGGATCTGAAAATCCATAAACCTAGTCAAGGCCCTTAAAGAGTTCAAAATCTTTAATCAGATCCCTGTTGATGAATATTTTGGTTATTTCCAGTCATTTGCTATAACAAACAAAGCTTATATATAAATCATGTACAAGTATATCTGAAGAATAAATTCATAATAGTGGAGTTGACAATACCCACCTTATAGATTTTTAATGATGCATAATTCAATTTTGAGACTAATTAATTTATACTGACATCTCTCCTTAACTGCTACAGAAATTGCAAAAGTTGGTGGTACCTGTGTCATATCCTTTCCTAGATTGCAAAATCCTTTAGAATAGGGACTATCTAGCATTCCTACTTCTTACCTCAGTGACTTATGGAAAGACGAAATTTTACAAGCATTTGCCAGCCACTAATTATGATATCGTGTCTCTAGCCTTCTTCTATGAAAATCATATATCTCATAAAGATGTTCCCTATTTATAAATATATGTATATGCCATTAATAAAACAAGTACTTAGCAATTATAATTGGAGGGAAATTTCAAATGTTTTTCAAGACTCAATTCTATGGGAGCATTTGAGGAGCAAGAGGGCTGTGAAACAGGAAGAAAAGCAAAGCAGTGAGATGGACAGGGAAGGGCTGGCTCCTGGTGAGAGGTGAAACAATTTTCTTTTCTTTTATTATTTATTTATTTATATATATATTTTTTGAGACAGTCTCAGTCACCCAGGCTGGAGTTCAGTGGCACAATCATGGCTCACTGCAGCCTCAATCTCTCGGGCTCAAGTGATTCTCCTGCGTCAGCCTCCTGACTAGCTGAAACTACAGGCATGTATCATATCAGGCTAATTTTAAAAAATTTTTATTTTATAGAGATAGGGTCTCACTGTGTTGCCCAGGCTGGTCTAAAATTCTTGGCCTCAAGCAATTCTCCTACCTTGCCCTCCCAGAGTGTTGGGATTACAGGCAGGAGCCACTGTGCCCAGCTGATTTTCTTATTTTCTGAAACACTTTTGAAAAATTACAATCATATAAAGCTATAATGATAAGAAAACTTTATATCCTTTGCCTAACTTTATCAAAAATTGTTAACATTTTCCAGAATATGTCACTATAGATTCAATTCATGTCTCCTATATATGTCCCTCCAATATAATTATACTTCCTTCCTCCCTATTGGTAACAACTATTCTGAATTTGTTATTGTACAAATGCAAATCTATGCATTACTATGTTATTGCAACTATTGCAATTATGCTATTAGCAAGCAACTTCTTGCATGATTGAGTTCCAGTATCTAAATGCCAAAGATTTGTTTTGAACTTTCCAACATAAAAAAAGTTTAAGAGAAAATTAGTTTAAAAATTTCCTCCTGATTGGACAATTTGAAAGTTTCTAAAAAGCAAGGGGAAAAGAAAGGAAGAAAAGAAAATAGAGGGAGGAAGGGAGTGGGAGGGAAGGAAGAAAGGAAGGAGGGAGGAAGGAAGGACGTGGGAGAGAGAGAGGGGGTCAGAAAGAGAAAGAGGGAGAAAGAAAGAGGAGAGAGAGGGAGGAAGAAAGACAGAAAGAAGGGAAGAAAGAAAGAAAGAGAAGGAAAAGAGAGAGGGAGAAAGAGAGAAAGAAAGAAGAAAGAAAGAAAAAGAAAGAAAGAGAGAAAGAAAAGAAAAAGAAAAAGAGAAAGAAAGAAGAAAGAAAAAGAAAGAAAAGAAAAGAAAGAAAAAGAAAGAAAGAAAAGAAAAGAAAAGAAAAGAAAGAGAAAGAAAGAAACAGTAAAGGTTACTAGGATGGTCATAAGTCACCATGAAGGCCGTTGCCTGGTTAAATGTCTTGTTAAAGGTCACAAAACTCAAGAATAGCCAACAATAAAGGCTAACAGAAAATTGCTCAATTATTTTTTAATGGGAGTAGTTATTTGACAGAATGGGCTGCTAATCACATCAGGGCACAGAGTTCTGCCAATGTCCACATTTGTGATAATTTCCTTATTGCTACATGTATGTGCTCCTGAGTAAAACATCCTTTGCATGTTTATTTAGACCATAGCACACTACCCTGCAACTTGCTTTTCTGTTCCTCCTCCCCTTTCCTCCAAGACGCTCTTGTCTACTCTCCTCCAGTGATGGGACACTTGATGCCTAGAGGGAATGATTCCATGCTTAAAAATGATGAAAAAGAAGACCTTTCCATGACTCATGTCTGAGTCTCCAATGATCTGCAGCCAGTGTCACTGGAGCTGTTACACACAGTTGTACCCATCAAGAGGACACTTTGGGGGTGGGGCTGAGCATTAAGAGCCAGAGGGAAGAGTGAGGTCATTTGGTTGGAAACTGTGGCTTTTGCCAGTGTATTATCTTCTCGTTTTCTTCCTCCTTCTCCCTTCTCTTTAAAACAGTCATTTTTATTTAAAGCACTATTTATGTTTTGGGGAACAATTTGGGAAAACAAAGTTAGAAATTATAAGATTTGATATAACTGGAGAATTCTGTTGAAAAGCTGGGAATTTGGGAGAGATTTCATATAGTGTTAAAGGCTCTTTGCAAACCTATTTCATGTATCCACAGGAAAATCTCATTTATTTGGACCTCACTAATTCATAATTATGGTATTCCAGAAAAATAGTGCTGTTTAGTCTGTGGAAAAATGAATTTATGAAGCAAAATAATAGGGGAAATGAGATGTCATGATGAATGTCTTTGTACTTCAGAAGGAAACACTTTCAAATGCTATTTAGAAAAACTCATTTACATGCAAACAATTGCCACAATATGTTAAAAAAATTCTCCATGAAATCAGTCTCCTGAAGGACTACTACTTTGCAAAACATTAATTTTTCCTATTTTAAAGTCATGAGATACAGTAAAACACTCTCTTGACATCATGATTAAGGATAATCATAAAAATTCAACTTAACATAAGCTTTTTGGGAAAACAAAAAGGCTTTCTTTGAGAAATGGCTCTGTGGCAGTCATCCTTTTCTGTGGGCCCTTTGATTTCCTGCAGCCACCTCCTCCTGAGTAAAAGATGAAATGAATCCCGCATTGAGGAGATACCGGGGGTGAAGGAGAAGGTATCATTTCCACCCTCAGCAGTAGTACAGTTTACTGGGGAATTGGGATTAGCATGGCAGAAAAGAAGAAAAAGAATAAGAATCTAGAAAAAAAAGGGATGAGAAAATAAAAAAGTGCCTCTAGTGAAAGTCTGAGGGAGCTTCTCCCACTTGCTGGGTGCAGGTGCCTTGGACAACAGGAGTGTCTGTGCTGCTGCAGGTGCAGGGGCATTGGGCAGAGGCCTTTGATCTGGGCACATGAGGACATGAGCAATGGGCATCACCATTGACGATTCGGCTGCCCCCTGCCTGTCGCAACTGCCAGGTCCCACTGCTCAATCACCTTGGCTGGCAGACATAGATTGGTCTGGCATCCTTCCTTTCTGTCAGTATACTCCTTACCCCACCAGAAGGGTCTAGATCCCCATGCGTAACAGGTGAAGGAGGAAGACACCATTGCAATGACAAGGGCCTAGAAAGTCCATCTGAAAACTTCAAACCCTTACATCTCTCACATCCAGCATGCCCTTGTCTCTCACATCCAGCATGCCCTTGACACATCTAAAAGTACTATATTTTCATCCTGCCTCTCTTCTCAGTCTCACAATAAAAAGCTCTTAGAAATTGCTTCTGTTGTCAGAGGTGTTCCAATAGGGAACAGTGAATAGCCATTAGTTCCTTTCTCAGCACAGTTTATAAAAGAGACAAAAAAAGACAAATGACCTAGACATTATTGTATATACACACACGTGCACACATATACACACACACAAACTATAGAACCCCATTTTTCTTTATTTTGCATGGAGATAGCTAGTGATATCTTTTCAGGGATGGAGGATATTTCCAAGGGGTAAGATTTGTACTAAGTGAACTGAAATCTCATTTCTATTTAATTAAGAACTATGTGCTAGAAACTGTGCAAGACATTTCACATGTGTTATTTTAAATTTAATAACAACCATGCAAGCTAGATATTACCCTCACCCTTGCAGGTGAGCAGACAGAGGCTCCAAGGAGTAAGTGACATTGTATTTGAACCCCGGAGGACCTCATTCTTCCTTTTATGTCAGTTGCTACTTCGATATGTTTTTCATCAAAACGCCAGACTACCTAAGACCTCAGAAATTCTTCCTTTAATAAAAATGTATTATTCTATAAGTCAGGCAGGAATACAAAGCAGAACCCCCAGAGCAAGGCAAATAAACTCTGTAGGCATCTAAAAGTATACTTGATATACTTGAATTTTTTTTTGAGATGGAGTCTCGCTCTGTTGCCCAGGCTGGAGTTCACGCCATTCTCCTGCCTCAGCCTCCCAAGTAGCTGGGACTACAGGCACCCGCCACCACACTGGGCTAATTTTTTGTATTTTTAGTAGAGATGGGGTTTCACTGTGTTTGCCAGATGGTCTCAATTTCCTGACCTTGTGATCCGCCCACCTCGGCGGATATCTTTGTTTTCAAGCTTCCCTCTTTTTTCTTTTCAATGTTTAATCCTTCTTTCTAGGAATAATCCATGTGGTTGTTTGCTTTGAGGATGCTTTGAAAGCCTCTGAAATTACTCCAAAAAATAATGCTCCAAGTGTTGCTCAGCAGACTCATGTCTTTGGCACATAACAATGTCCCTTTCCTCACCTGGACTTTGACAGGTTCCATCCAGTGCTCCAGAGTGTCAGCAGTGATATTCTCAGGTAGCATCACGGGGTCACTGGGGGGGATTACACACAATGGGGAACACACTGCACCTGAAAGAACAGAAGTTTACAGCAGAGACTTGAACTTCCCAGATCTCATTCTTTTTCTTTCAGGAATCAATAGCTTTGAGTTTTTAAAGAACAACTGCTTTCATCATGGGTCACCATATTATGACGTTGTAGGCAGGGCTGATATTCATCTACTGTGTTCCTGTAGGAATACCTTCACACTAATTGGTAAAGAGACTCTGCCCCAACCTAACTCAACTTGCTGCAGGTGTCCCCTCCTCTGTCCTGTCCAGGATAACCCCTCCTCTGGAATGCCTGAATTTCTACATGATGTAGTAATTGAAAGATTAACTCTTGGCCCAGCTGGCCTCCAAGATCCCCTCCAGGACTCTAGCTAGACAAAGTCTATCCTGATTGGCTCATAACTTTTAAATATATCTAATATTCCTGTTTACATGGTCTCCTGGAAGCTTAAAATTGCAACAACTACTACCTAAGAACTTGACATGCTGGTGGTGGTGGTGGTGGGTGGCGGGAAATGGCCCAGAAATTATAAAATTACTCCAGAGACTATTCTTTCTATTGCTGTACTAAAGATAATTGCATCAGCAGCCAATAAACCTATTTGATTAAAGGAGGAAGCAGTGAAGAATCAGAAGCAGAGACTTTGGGCATGTGTTGGTCTCTTGTAGAAAAATCTTGCTCTATTCCCTTCCACACAGAGTCCAAATGTCTCCTAAAATTATATTAAGAGAAAATACACTCTCTAGGTTCTCTATTTCCTCATCTATAGATTTGATGATTTCCAAGTTTCTTTTTAGTCCTTACTGTCTAGGTTTCTATGTTTTTCAGTGACTCTTATTTATTTATTTATTTTTAACTTTTTTTTTATTATACTTTAAGTTTTAGGGTACATGTGCACATTGTGCAGGTTAGTTACATATGTATACATGTGCCATGCTGGTGCGCTGCACCCACCGACGAGTTAGTGGGTTCAGTGACTTTTAAAACAATCAAAAGAACTACATTCCTCTTAAGGCCTCTAGATATGTGAGTATATGATATTTTAACGCAGAAATTGGAGGCTTGGAGGATGAGAACCTGTTTGTGAAATACCACCCAAGAGGAGCATCTGAATTCCCTGATACTCTATGCCTGACCACAAGACATCACTGTGCAAAGAGCACCTTGAAGATGGCAATGAGCTTCCTAATTAATGCAAATTATACTCATTGGCATTGGTTAGAATGTCCGATAAAATTACTCCTTGCTAATGCAGTTCAGAATTTAGGAGTAATCTTACAAGGTTTCGCATCAGCTACAACTCTTTCCTATGATATTTAGGGCCAGCCAAGGCAAAGTTAACATGACTATAAATCAGCTCTGGCCACGAAGACCTTTAATTGTAATTGCTTGAATAAGAAGTTGTCCACGACTCTGGAGCCTATTCCTCTGCAGAGAAAGAATGGCTGAAGAATGATGCATGAAAGAGGAATGTCAAATCATCTCTTTCAGTAATTCTCCACTCCAGTAACAACCACAGAGAATGAAGTAGAATGGAGGAGCCCAGCAGACACATGCTATGTGGCTACACAGTCCCACCTTTCATCTTGGAGCTACAAACCATACCACAAATCCATCTGGTCTAGGCCCCTCAAAGTTGCCATAAATCTCAATTTTACTAAAGCAGCTAAGAGTCAACTTGCATTTCAATCCACTCTTCAGGGAGAACAGTGTCTGATTCGAGATTCAGCTGGGCGGGCTGGGTGCAGTGGCTCATGCCTGTAATCCCAGCTGAGGTGGGCAGATCACCTGAGGTCAGGAGTTTGAGACCAGCCTGGCCAACCTGGTGAAGCCCCATCTCTACTAAAAACACAAAAATTAGCCAGGTGTGGTGGCAGGCATATGTAGTCCCAGCTACTTGGGAGGCTGAGGCAGGAGAATTGCTTGAACCCGGGAAATGGAGGTTGCAGTGAGCTGAGACTGTGCCACTGCACCCCAGCCTGGGCGACAGAGCAAGACTCCGTCTGACAAAAATAAATAAAATTAAAAAAAATTCAGCTGTGCTTAATAAAAGAATGACATAGAAATTGACTTTAAGATTCACTCCTATCCTTACCAATCCCATATCCTTGTTCACATTTGTACTCCACAGAATTCAGCTCTGAGGGGGGTGGTGGGCATTCTCCTTGCAGATTCTCACACAACTTAAACTCCTGGGTCCACAGGCCCTCTTTAGTGCAGAGGATGGGAAGCTAGAATATCAAAAGTAAACATCTTAATTATTGTTTTGTTAACTTTATTGAGAGTTGAAAAAAGTGGTCTGATTAAGTGGTAGTATTCTCCAGTTCTAGAACCTGGACCAAAAGACACTATTGAAACAACATATTGTTACTGGCCAAAAAAAAAAAAAAAAAAAAAAAAAAAATTCTTTGCTTTTTCCAAGCAGAGGAATCATGATGACAATTTTTTTCCACTAATGAAATGCATTAACAATGTATTTTCCTTTATATATAGGAACACAATCAGCTATCAACCGAAGCTCATATATTCAGAGCTATTTTTGGAATTGTTTCCCAGATGGTGTTGTTTTACACTGATTCATCCCCTACTATCACACAAATGTTGCTGGTGGCAAATGTCAGATTTTTTCAAGACGAGTTTCATCCAGTGAAACCAATTCATAATATTTCCTAAAGGTGTGTTTTTGCCTGTCTGCTTAAATGGACACATCATAGTTGTTTTTGGTCTCACCAAAATTCTATTCCCTTTCTCCACATGTGTGCTGGTTTGTGTAACTCTTGGCTTCACGAATTATACTCTATCTAGAACATAGAGAGTAGCACTAACTCTCAAAACCCCAAAAAGTAAGATTTTAGAAATGTAGGTAGCCCTCCCTTCATCTGGTCAACTTGATGGTTCCTTAACCCATCAGTGCAACCGGATGTGCTTGATTTCTCAGGGGTCTCATTTTCTGCCATATTCTTTTCACATCTGTTCCATGGTGCTTACCTTGGAGTACTGGAAACTAAGATAACAGGTGCCAAGGGAGCAGACAAGGACGCTGACCTTTGCCTAGGAAGTCTGCTTGACTTCCTGTCTCATGTATGTGTGTGAGGCTTGAAAGATTCTAAAATAAAATTGCTTTTAGTCACACAACAAAGATAAGACTGTGTTTTTCATTTGAGACCTTTTGTGCCAAAATCCTAGGGAGGGGAAGAGTCAAACAGCACTTCCAGCTTTGCCGAGGAATTTGTGTTTCTGTTCAGGACTCTGTTTTAGAAAAATAATAATACTAGTATTTGTAGCCAACTTATGTCAGTGGCCATCCATGAGAGGAGATCACATTGCTAAATCAGGATCCCAGCATTCTTTTTGGAATATACCTGGTACTCTACCCATTGGATTCTTCTTACCTCAGAGGAAGTTCTGAACTCAGGAGAGAACATTTTAAAAATGTGGTATTTTCTGAATTTTCTATTGCATAATACCAACACTCCCGATTAGAATCCCAAGTCCCTGCCTGTTGGAATTCTTTAGAAATTTCATTTCTCAAATTTCTTGGATTGGGCATCAAGATTAGAGCACAGCCTGATGAAAATAAGTTCAAAAAATGTTCCTTACCTTTTCACGTTCCTGGTTACAGTTGAGCACACACTGGCTGTCCAGGCTGAAGCCATTGGTACATTCATACATGCCTTCAAACACAGGAGGGGGTGGCTCACACACCACAGGAATGCAGCTGCCTTGCTCCCAGATTCCACCTTCCAGGCATTGTATCTTCAGGAGCTTGCTGATAAAACATAAAACAAAAATAGCTCATCAGAATCTTTCAAGAAGGTCATGAAAGACTTGATCCTCAGCAATATGGCATAAGAATTAGCAAATAGGCAGGGACAGATGGTTCTTGTGAGCCATATGTCCCACTGTCCTAGGCTAATTTCTAAATCATGGAACTAAAAATAGTAATGTTCATTTATTATTCAAAGTAGTAGTAAATGTTGTATAGAAATATTTGATCTATTACTCTTTTTTTAAATTTTATTATTATTATACTTTAAGTTTTAGGGTACATGTGCACAACGTGCAGGTTTGTTACATAGGTATACATGTACCATGCTGGTGTGCTGCACCCATTAACTCGTCATTTAGCATTAGGTATATCTCCTAATGCTATCCCTCCCCACTCCCCCCACCCCACAACAGTCCCCAGTGTGTGATGTTCCCCTTCCTGTGGCCATGTGTTCTCACTGTTCAATTCCCACCTATGGGTGAGAACATGCAGTGTTTGGTTTTTTGTCCTTGCGATAGTTTGCTGAGAATGATGGTTTCCAGCTTCATCCATGCCCCTGCAAAGGACATGAACTCATCATTTTTTATGGCTGCATAGTATTCCATGGTGTGTATATGTGCCACATTTTCTTAATCCAGTCTATCATTGTTGGACATTTAGGTTATTCTTAAGAGGGTTTGATAAATAGTACAGCATCTAAATTGTAATTGGGTTTTCTCTGAGATCTTCATCTTGGAAAAGACTCACATCTAAGTACAACGAAATGTCAGGTAAGATGGGGTACAAAAAAGGTTATCACACATTCAAAGAACTGATCAGAAGTGATTTGAGGATCAACAGTGTTGATATGGCAATATAATTGATGAAGTTGCTACTATTTATTGGTTCTTCAGAGAGGGGAGAAAGTGCAGCAATATGAGTTTTCTTTTAAAACAGAGATTCTGAACCTAACTTTCAGAAGGAAAATAACTTCTGAGATGACTGCTCCATTTGTTTACAAGTTTATTTTTCCTTGGAAAGAGTTCATAACTTTCACCAGCTTCTCAAAGTAGACATGACTCAATACTGCCCTGGAAGAATTGGTCCTCCTTCTCATGCCCAGACATGGTCCCCAACCAGAGTGACAGCATTTGATGTGGATTGGAGTCAATGGAATTAGGGTCCTCCCTACTGAGGATTCCATTCCATTCCCCTTTTGACTCACTGCAGTTTGAAAGTGCTTTCCATTTGCCATTTTAACATATCCACTTCTAATGAAAAACACTCCTGGTTACAGATAAGCTTGTAATTCTAAAATATGAATAACCCTTTGGCCATTGACTCTTTCAAATATGTGGCAGCCTTAAATCACCATTTTCTAGTCTCATTACACCCCTTTTAAGGTTAAATATGCCCACCAACCCTTGCATGTTGTCTTCTAACTGACTATAGTGCAATACCTCCTGTAGCTTCTGCAGCACTAGTAAAACATTTATCACATTGTTTTATAAATGCACATGTGACTGTCTTTCCCACTAGATTGGAAGCTTCCAGAAGCCAGAGGCTATGTGGTGGTCTTGTTTGTAATTCCCAAGAACTAAAGTGATATCTGGTTTATATTCGGCATTAAGTAAGTATCTGCTGAATTGAATCATTGAACTGAAACTAACAGCATGTCAGGTACATTGCAAGGCACATTCGATAACACCAAGTTGAATCATTATAATACTAATGAAATCATCTTTTTTTTTCTTTTTCTTTTTTTTTCTGAGATGGAATTTCACTCTTGTTGCCTAGGCTGGAGTGCAATGGCGCGATCTCGGCTCGCTGCAACCTCTGCCTCCCGGGTTCAAGTGATTCTCCTGCCTCAGCCTCCCAAGTAGCTGGGATTACAGGCACGTGCCACCACACCTGGCTAATTTTGTATTTTTAGTAAAGACGGGGTTTTTCCATGTTGCTCAGGCTGGTCTTGAACTCCCAACCTCAGGTGATCCACCCGCCTCAGCCTCCCAAAGTGCTGGGATTAGAGGCGTGAGCCAATGTGCCCGGCCTATGAAATCATCTCTTTAATCCCACCTCACAGAAACACACTAAAGGATGTTAAGTAATTTCTCGAAGACCTCACATCACAGAATTCATTCAACTTCAAATAATTTTAATAATAAAATATTTTAATAGTTAAACATATGTAAATAATATATACTTAGAAATAAGTGGAGTGTTTTATTGTTAAATAATTATTTAGATTCATAACTTTATTCCCAAGGACATTTTGCAATAGAAATCTAATTTTTGGCCGGGCATGGTGGCTCACTCCTGTAATCCCAGCACTTTGAGAAGCTGAGGCAGACAGGTCTCTTGAGGTCAGGAGTTTGAGACTAGCCTGGGCAACATGGCAAAACCCTCTTATCTACAAAAAATGCAAAAATTAGCCAGGCACAGTGGCACGCACCTGTAGTCCCAGCTACTGGGGAGGCTGAGGTGGGAGGATGGCTTGAGCCTGGGAAGTTGAGGCTGCAGTGAGCTATGATCATGCCACTGCACTCCAGCCCAGGTGATACAGACTGTGTCCAAAAAAAAAAAAATCTGATTTTTATGACTGGAATTTTTTAGCATCATAGTCTGTGTGGACATGTATCTTCTAGCTATTAAAATAAATGCCATTTTTGATCTATATTTCAAGTGTTTGGCAAGATACCTATGTACATTATTTTGTTGAATCCTCCAAACAGCACTTTTTTTTTCTTTCCAACTTTCAGGTTCAGGGGTACATGTGCAAGTTTGTTACATGAGTGAATTGCATGTCACAGTGGTTTGGTGTACAGATTATTTCATCACCCAGGTAATAAGCATAGTATCCTGTAGGTAGTTTTTCCATCCTCACCCTCCTCTTCCTCTCCACCCTCAGGTGGGCCCCACTGTCTGTTGTTCCCTTCTTTGTGTCCATGTATACTCAGTGCTCCCCTCCCACTTATAAGTGAGAACATATGGTATTTGGATCAAACAACATTTAAAGGTAAATGTTATTATCCACACTTAAGAAGAAAACTGAGCCTGAGAGAAAATTAAAGCTTATTCAAAACACACGGTAAACCCTGCAGGCAGGATGCAGACCCAGGTTTGCTCACAGCAGAAGCCCCCGGTCCTCCTGCCACGTCAGGCTCTGACTGTTCCTGGCGTGCTCCACAGTTTTATTAATGCGTCCTCATCCTGGGCTGAGCACTCAGATGACCTGTGTCCCAATGCCACATCCATAAGTGGGCAAAAAAGAAGTTTCACTTTAAATTTTTGTATTGAGTAATGAATTACATATAGAAAAATATGCAAATCTTAGCGTACGGCTTGAGGAAGTTTTACCTGTGAATGCAGCTGGGTAACCACCAGTCAGATCAAGATACAGAACATGTCTAGCCCCTAAGAATTCCCCCTTGCATTCCTTCCCAGCTAAAATCCCCCCACCCTCACAGCATACTACTTTGCAACACCAGACACTTCTGACTTTCATCAGCATAGAGGAGTTTTGCCTGGTTTTAAACTTTATACAAATGAAATGTATTGCTTAGTAAGTTTCTTCTTTCCCTCCAGAAAGATGACATTTAAAAATGCCTCTCCAAATCTATTTTCAATTAAGGGTTTGCAGCTCTTTTTTACTCTAACGAGGCTCCTTTTTGTCCCTCTCCTAGAATGGATATTTTACTCCTCCTTCACACTGCAGAGTTTATATCCTCCGGGGACTCTCTTCTTTCTACCACCTCCCACAGATGAAATCCTTCCCCTACCTCTGCTGAACTGATATCCCCCAGCTGGAGAAAGCAGGCAATACCACTGACAGCAGGGGAGAAGCACGGCTGTAAAAACTTTGCATGTCAGCATGATTATAAAGGAAAACCCTTGCTTGGCCAGGACGATCATATTTTGACTTCATGTGGTATTTTTCTCTGAATTGGTTGGAATACTTCAACCATGGAAATAGTCTTCCCTTTCCTTGCCCAGAGTTAAAGAGCCATTCAAGAATGCCGATTTCATATATTTCCTTGCCAGTTTAATAACCTCAGGGGTGAGAGTAGACAGATCAAACTTGGATGGGGAAGAAGAATGTAGCCTTCCATCATGGCACCCAGACAACGAGACAGGCCCTGCGCTACAAACCACCAGCAACACAAGGAGGGGGATGGCTAGAAAGCAGCAAGAGAATAGAACAGTTACACCGGACCCAGACTGGAGAGGAGGCACTGCAGGCAGGAGTTGGGAGGGGTTGGCAGAGAGTCCCAATTCCCTAGGAAATTCTGTTTTCTTTCTGCAGGGGTTCCTTTGCCCCTCTCAGCCTCAAAGATTCTTTTTCCTTATGGTTTGTTCTCCCTTGTACAGAAGACAGCTTTGCACTGCCGTCTCTCCATGGGCCTCCCAGGACTTCTGCATCTCTCTACATCAGACAACCAACGTCTCTAAGCCTCACCCACAGCCTTCTAGCAAAGCATTTGATAGGTTAAGTATCTCGGGGCCCAATAGTGAGGGCTGTCTCATTTTGCCTGATGTTCATTTCATGGATCCCAGCTTATGGCGCAAGTCTTGAGAATTCATGGTATGGAACTTGGCACTTCAGTGCTATGAGCTGGTTGGATTGTGCCAGGAATTTAGAGTGTTCTGGATTCTTCCTAGTCCCAAGAAATTTGGTTTCCCCATAGGGCCCTTGAAGAAGACTGAAGCCTAAATCTTGCCACCAATCCTGTTCATGTTTTTGTTACCTAGCGCTGTTTGTGGCCCTCGCAAACTCATATGGTGAAATCCTAACTCCCAATGTGATGGTATTTTAGGGAGTAGGGTCTTTGGAAGGTAATTAAGTCACAAGGGTGGAGTCCTCCCAATGCCCTCATGAGAAAACAAATAAGAGCTTGCCCTCTCTGTGCTCTGCCATGTGAGGACACAGAAAACAGACAATCATCTGGCCGGGCGCGGTGGCTCATGCCTGTAATCCCAGCACTTTGGGAGGCCAAGGTGGGTGGATCATGAGGTCAGGAGTTCAAGACCAGCCTGGCCAATATGGTGAAACCCCCATCTCTACTAAAAATACAAAAATTAGCCAGGTGTGGTGGCAAGCACCTGTAGTCCCAGCTATTTGGGAGGCTGAGGCAGAAGAATCGCTTGAACCTGGGAGGCGGAGGTTGTAGTGAGCTGAAATCGCACCACTGCACTCCAGCCTGGTAGACAGAGCAAGATTCTGTCTAAAAAAAAAAAAAAAGAGAATCATCTGCAAGCTAGGAAGGTACCCTCACCAGATAAGGGATCTGCCAGCACCTTGGACTTCTCAAGCTCTGGACCTGTGAGAAACAAATGTGTGTTGTTTAAGCCACCCATCTATGGTGTTCTGTTATGGCAGCTCAAACTGACTGAGACACAGCAATGGATGGACTGATCCCCAGTGCCTCTGCATTGCTTCTAGTTTGGTGATGTTGAGGAGTGACCTTTGACACCTTTAAAATCGTTAATGAAAAAACTGGTTTTATTCACAATGATCCTTTGTGTATGGCCTATGCATCAGGAACCAAACGACTCCTTGAAGTCATGAAGTGAATAGATTGCATTTGAAAGAATGACAGCATTGGATACTAGACAAACAGGCCCTTACCAGGATAGAGATTCCAAAACATCTTTGATAGCCCATGCCAAGTACCCTCCATGTAAAACATTCTACTTGCTGTCTGTCAGCTAAAATACCTCATTTGTAGGCAGGAAATCACATTAGTAACCATGAAGCGATTTACCCAATGTTCGCACAGCAATTCATAGATTCAAAGTTTTCAAATCATAATATAACATTCTGATCATGAGATCAATGATTTCCAACTTACATGTGTAGACCAATCCCATCAGAATTATGTAGAAGCCACTTAAAAATCTAGATTGCTAGGCTTACTGCATTAAAACTCCTGAGAGGGGCCCAGGATTCTGTATCTTTAAACCTGCCAGAAGTTTTTATGTGCAGCCAGGTTGGTAAACTACTAAAATTCATGCTACCTTCTCATGCTAGTAAGGTGTAGAAACCAGAGAGCGAGATCATCCACCTCACAGCCCTGTAACTGTCCCATTTGGTCTTTGCTAAGCATCCAGTCTTTTGGCTAGGGTTGTTAGTTGAGCGTTCTTGCTCTGTGATTTCTTCCTTACACTGTAAATGGTATCACGAGGAGTCGGGGTTAGGGGAAGGTTTGTATTTATTTTCCCTCTAACTTCTCCAGACAAATCAGCACAATTTCCAAGTTAGAAGGTGCGTTTCCCAATTTCCAGAACTTATGGTATCCACCTAATGCTGAAAACCCAGCTGTGCTCTTTCTGCTTCTTACATCATTGCTAGAAATAAAGATCTTGTCATCAAAACTTGGCTGAAAGTTTGATTGATGTTGCTTGAGGCACACATAGTCCACCCCATCCTTCTATCACCATTGTAGGGTTTTCGAGAGTAACATTTATTTTCCATTTGTGAAAATAAAAGTATGATTTGTTGAGTCCCAGAGAATTATCATGTCTTTGCTGACCAAGGGGACCTGATGTCTCCAGTGGGTACTCCCTCAGGAATAATAACAACAACAGAAAAACAATAACACATAGAGCACTTAAGTGCTAACTATTGTATAGGAAAATATACATCTATACTATTTTGTCCTCAGACCCACTCTGTGTGATAGGGACTATTATTGTTTAAGTTCTTGATTCCCTCACTCCAGATATTAGCCTCCTCAACCATCCCCAACTCCGTAAATGATACTATCATCTGCCCTGTTGCTCAAGCTTGGAACTTAAAAGCCATCACTGATTCTATTCTTCCTCTCAATCTTACCTTTTTGGTCACCCCATCTGCTTTCTTCTAACCCATCAACAAGTCCTGCTTTACCTCCCAGGTGTTTCTGAAAATTGTCTCTATACTTCAGCATTACCACAAACATTAACACAAGCCACCAACTCTCACCTCTTAACTGGACACCCCACTTCTCCTTCAGATCCCTTCCCAGCCAGTCAGCAAAGATTAGTCGGAGGGAACTTTCAAAAAAATAAATTTCCCTGTGTAGAATATTTCAATTGCTTCTGTTAGGATGAAAAATGAAATCCAAACTTCTTTCTTTAGCCTACGAGGTCCCGTGTGTTCTGGTTCCATTTTCTCCAACTTTATTCAATGCCACATTCACCTTCCTTAATACACTTCACCAACACTGGACTTAGAATCCCAAGCACAACCCATGACCTTCCCAGCCTCAAGAGTTGGTGCCATTCTCTCGAGTCATGATGCTTTTCTTTTTTTTATCTTCTCCTGACTGGCTCCTTTTCTTTCTTCCTATCTAAGCATAATTCTTACCACCCAAAAGCATCCTTATTTTGCCCCTCTAACTTTTTCTTTTTTAATCAAAGCATCTTTTTTCCTTTCATAGGATGCATACCCTGAATTATTTTGTGTATTGGTTTTACTTGCTTATCATCAGCTCCCACCATGGAAAAGAGTTTGGTGAGGGCAAAGCATTATTTGCTATGATATTCCCAGTATGCAGCACAATGCCTGGTACATAATAGCTGTCAATAAATATTGGTTCAATGAATGTATAAATGTTTATTTTATAGATGAGGTAAGATTTAGAAACATAAAATAACTTGCCTGGGGTTATCTAATTGGTTGATGGCAGAGCAGGGATGTGCACTATGATGAGTCTCATGCCAAATGCCTATATTATAAAATGGAAGCATTCAGGTTTCTACCAATGGAGCTATGGATAAATTACCTCTCTTCACTTAGTGCATTTGTGCTGAGGATCCCCAAATCTTATCATTTAGAATATCCCTAAAAAGAAGATGTAAGGGAAAGAGGCAATTGCATGATTTCCATTGCATGAATTAGAAAACTAAAGCATTAATTAGTTGTTTTGTCTGATACATGGTCCATTTTTGAACTGAAGTTAGAAAGCCTTTTCACTCCGAATACACTTTAGCCTCTTACTACACACAGTGTGGTACCTAGAGCAGCAATATTAGAATCACCAGGGAGCTTGTTAGAAATAAATCTCAGGATCCACTTCAGACTGACTCAACAAGAATGTGCATTTTAAAAGGACCCCCAAATAATTCCTATGCATATTAAAGACTGAGAAACAGTGATCTAGACCATTTTAAAAGACACGGTTCTCTACTTAGCCCCAAACAGAACCATCAGCACTTCCAAACCCCATGCCAGTTTTCCTCTAACAAATTGCAGGCCTGGTTTCCCAAGCCAATATCCTAAATAGGGAGCAAGCAGACTTCAGACATGGTAAGTCTACAGCCCATCATAGTTATTGTGCACTCTCTAATACCAGGTCTCCTGATGTCCTATTCTAGCCCTTTCTACAGGATAAGAAATAGCATCAGCAGGACTATCCAACAAGACATATTAGATTTGGCCTTCTTCCCTGACAAAAAAAAAAAAAAAAAAAAAAAAAAAAAAAAAGCCCCTTACAAAGCTCTTCTCACATGTAAAATAGAGCCTCTCTGAAAAAATGAGCCACCTGCTAACTCCTAAAAGTGTGTAGACCATTTTACTTCCATGTCCCGCCCCTCACTTTTATCTTTGGACTTTCTTCTAAATCTTATGTCTCCAGATTGGCAGGTACAATAATGCCTGGTCCCTAGGTCTGAACACCTAAACCCAAGTTTGGGGCCCCTTCTCCATTTTCCATTGCTGATGTCTTAATCATCTACATCTCCTTTCCTCGTCTCTCTCACATCAAGTTCAACAGCTCCTACTTCATCTATTTTCATGAGTTTCTTCCATTCTCCATGCAGCCAACAGATTTTTCTGCCAAATATGCCCAGGTTACACCCCAAACTAAAAACAACATGAGGTTTCTCCATTTCATGTGATTTAAACACAAATGTATACAATAGCTATTAGCATTATTTCACAAAGTCCAAATATCAATTCTCATCAGTGCATGGTTGAGAAACTGGAAATTACACCAAAATTCAGGGGTGAACTGGACTTGAAACATGAAAACATTTAATAGGAACCTCTTTCTTTAACCATTCAATTACTTGTCCATTTATACATTCATTCAACAAATATTTATTGAGCACCGAGAATATGCCTATTTATTATATTAGGTCTTGCGGTTGTAAAAACAAATAGAAATATTATAATAGGGTTGGAATACTGACCTGACAGAGCTGCCAACACTGCCTGCAGACATGAAGAATAACAGTAAAGGAAGCCTTTGAGTGGGTTCACCAGGTAGAGGAGCAGAGGAGGATATGCCAGGCAGAGGGAACAGTGCAGGTGAGAACCCAGAGATTTTCAAAAGTCTTAGCCAAAACTGTAAATGGAGAAATGGAGGAAATATGCATATCCCCTCCACCTCTCCTTCCCTCCCTCTCTTTTCTACCTACTGTTGGGGAGAGTCAGGGCAGGGGAAGAGCCTGAGGGAAGTCCACTGGAACAAAATTCTGGCAGAAAAGAGCAACACACTGTATACACTCAACTTCAGGGGGCAGGCTGATCTCATTTGTAAGAACTTTTGCATCTTCACAAAGTTTTCAGCACAAGAATTCCTCCAGGTATTGTTATATTTCTGTTCCTGATCAGTCTGACTCACAGACAGGCGTGATTGAAAGTGCTCACAGGTATATACACACACTCACACCCTCACCTGGGAATTAACTTAACCACTGCAGGTCACTGTTGCTCCTTGAGAAAGCAAAGTTATTTGCATTGTCCCTTATCTGGAAGCCATAGCAATGATAAGACCCTAGTTTGCTAATGTGTTATCAGAACTTCTAAAAAGTTGTGGTATACCTAAGGACCTGGAATATACACAGGTGGATCCTGCATTGGCCATACTCCTGACATTACATCCCTTGATGTGGGCTGGAAGAAAAAGAGCTGATTAGCATTTACGTTGCCCTGACTGAAAAGGGAGAATCGGAAGTCATGGTGGCTTCAGCAGGCCTTTAGTGGCTGCACCTGGGAGATTCCCATCAGGAAGAATGTGTAGCAGCGTGGCTGAAAGCAGGTGCTTTGGAATCAGGAGATGTTAGAGCTCTAGCCTTGGTGCTTAATAAATCTCTAACTTTAAAAAAATCACATAACCTCTATTATTCTCAGCTTTCCTAGCTGGAAAATAGGGATAGTCATACATTCTTCACAGGGTAATGAGTAGATTATGTGAGGCAGTATATTTAAACCACGCAGTACAATGAATAGCACATGACCATGATCAATAAGCAGCAGAAATTACTAGCTATCCCTGATGATCAGAAGATCTGCTCAGCCACACTCCTCTCTCTCTCTCTCTCTCTCTGTGTGTGTGTGTGTGTGTGTGTGTGTGTGTGTGTGTGTGTGTGATGAGTATGGAATGTTAACATTCTGCTCATTTTCTCCACCCTACTTAATTCTTCGTATTTCTGTCCCACCCAGAATCCCTCAGGAGACAGTTTATGAATCAGTTTGGCCTGGCTTGACCCCATCACTAGAGAGCAAAAGCAAAACCACAACCAAAATGTTCACTCAATGGGCTTGAAGAAAGGGTGAGCCAGAGACACAGGAGGAGTAGGACAAACGAAGACCAGAAAGAGCAGCAGGGGGTGAAGTTACAGGTTGAATAAAGTCCTACTGGTTTATATAAAACAATTAAGCTCTTACTCAAGTTTTTAAAAATGTACTCTGATTAATAGATATTAGCAGTCAATATAAAACAGAAAGTTTTACAATATGATGCTCTCTAGTTTGAGGTTGAAGTTAATAGGGAAATTTATGAATTCAACAAGGGCTGAGTTTGAAGTGAGAGCATGGATGCCAGTCACCAGGCCCCTTGTAGCCCGCAGTCAAGATCTGGCCTGCACCCAGGTGTGTATGTGAATGGCTAAGTCTTGGGGCAGAGATTCAATCACTGTGAAGCCAAAAGGGGCTTTAATAAATTAGCCTGAAGCACACATTATCCTACAATGGCAAGATATTTGAGGATTTCAAGGATAAATTTTGAAGGTATTTACTATAAACACTAATTATAAAGCCAGGCAAGGTCTTATTGGAAAGAAAACAAATTTCTATTTCTCACAGATACATGAGTGTACATAGAGATTAATGTGTGTTCTTTCCTTGAGCAATCATAGATAGAACATGTGTATATAAGTGTATAGGTTTAGCACCTATTCATTAATGTATAGGCACACCGCTATGACACAGAGCTTAACAATTAGGTAGATTACTTTTATAATTTTTTAAAAGCTATGAATCCAGGATACTTAATGAGTTTTAGCTTGCCTTAGCTGCACATTTTCAGTTTATTAACCAAGTCTTTCTTTCCCTTCCTAGGATAGGATAAAATCAGTTTGAATCTTCCAGAGTTTCAAGCTATGGTTCAAAAAGATCAAGAGCCTAAAAATCTGGGTAATGTCTCCAGGACATGCCCTTGCCCTTCTCCTTCCAGACCAGCCTGACTTTATTTGCTCATCCTAATTTTTTAAATTATGACCAGATCTATCTTGCTGATTATTTTGTTTCTTTTTCCCCCTCTTTCCCCTATTTTCCTTGATCTATTTGAAGCCACTGTAGTACTTGAGTTGTCAGCAGGATGATATAAAGCAGACAGAGAGTGTACTAATTGGGGGAGAATAGTACATTTTTTTTTAATTTAATAAAGTTTCTATTTTGGTGTGTTTTCTTTTATAGGCAAGGGAAATGCACTTTTTCTGCTGGTAATTGAAGACCTGTACCTCTGACCTCGAATGCCAATTCCAGTCTTCCTGGACTCTGTGCTTTTTTTTTTTTTTAATTTGTTTTGTTTTGTTTTGTTTTTAGCATAGGAACCAACAACAGATGGGAGACAGTGGCCAGTGACAAAAATGTAGCTGAGTATACTCCTTGTTAAAGAAGAAATTTCCCTATTGCACCAGAAGGAT
Source organism: Homo sapiens (assembly GCF_000001405.40). Lineage (NCBI taxonomy): Eukaryota > Metazoa > Chordata > Mammalia > Primates > Hominidae > Homo > Homo sapiens. The sequence goes on along the minus strand of NC_000001.11, from coordinate 176,777,919 downwards.
AGCTCAAACAGCAACAGTTATTTTGTAAGAGCCATTAACCTGGTAGAAATTATTATGGTGATGATGATGATGGTAATGATAATGATGATGGTGATGATGATAAACAGCAGCAGTGTTGATGAACTGAAGCTTAATATGACCAAAAATTTTGCTCAGTTCTTTCCATCTATTATCTCATTTATTCCTTACAAAAACCTGTAAGTACACCTATTATTTCTATCCTGTAAATTAGAATAATGATGTTCACTACAGATCAGTAACTTGCTCAAGGTCAAAAAGCTAATAAATAGCGGAGTTGAGATTCAAATTTAGATCTCAATAATGCCAGAGCCTGTATAATTAACCAGTAAATGAGGAGATAAATCTTGGACTAAGAAAACCCTTCTTAGCCATTTGACTACATTACCTTCTTTAGAAGTTTTAGGGATGTGTTTAATTCTAAAACTTAATTCTAGAAATTCCAAAAAAATTTTCCCAATATTCTGTCTTCAAGGGAGAACTAGACCCAGTCTCCTTGAATGTGAATGGAAAACAATGGACCAAAACCCATCAAGAAGGAAAGAACAAAACCTTGGCTGTTCATGCGGACCAAAAGTTCACCAAGTATTACTCTAACAGTGCCCTAAATACTGTCTACTAAGTCCATGTCTGTGCAGCATTTGTGTTTTAATATATCACTGCTTTTTTTCTGATGGTAATAAATTGTTATGTATCTACCACTTCTCGCAATGATGTTTTACCAAAGTGTTGCTCTTCTCATTGGTTCTGTTGAGATAGAAAATAAAATAGAAACGTTTGGAGCTAGAAATCACTCAATTATTTCCCTTTATTTTACAAATGCAGGAAAGGGCTGAGAGAAATGAAGTGATTTGCTGAAACTAAAAGCATTTTTAGCCAATAGCACAGTTTTTGGAGTCAGAATGGTTTTCATCCTAATTTTACCATTTATTGGCTGAGTGATCATGGGCAGGCTACTTAAACACACTGAATCTCAGTTTCCTCATCTATAATAGGGGATAATAATAATACACTAAAATATTATAATTACTATATCAAATTATATACTATTATATAATAATATATTTTACTATACTATTATTTTGTTAAGGATAAAATGTATTACTGTTATGAGAAATTATGGGGTATTGTGTACAAAATACTTAGCATATATAGCACATAGTGACAAATCATCATCACCACAGTCATCCTCATCAATACCCAACAGAACAGAGCCCAGCCTTTAAGCTTTTTAACACTCTGCCACACCAATCTTTCTGTGTGTGTGGAAATGGGTCAAACACACATGCCCAGCTCCAGCCCATCTCAGGCTCTCCCCCAATTTAGGTCAGACAAGGCTCCACTAAAGGCATTCACCAACCAAACATTTGTTAAACAATAAATAGTCACAATGTGGGGCCTATTAATTTCAGCCTTGACCTTCATTTGTGTTTATAGAACTTAAACAGATTTACGTACTTTGGAAAAGTTGATGCTGTGGGCAACCCTCAGAAAGGATGGATGTTTACAATTACCCACAAGAAGATCTGACACTATAGCACCCCACAGATGGCATCTTGACGAGTGACTTATAGAAACAGAGATTGACTAACTAAAGTTGGAAGGTTTGAATCGTTTAGAAGTTAAATTAATTATGGGCTCTAATGACGTTAACCTAACCTTCACACAAAGATAACACATAATGAGAAAAAGGCAACCATGGAAGTGAAAGATAAGGGAGAATATAATATGGTTTTATTGACAAAATACAAGTCAAACACACTTACTTTAGCTTCCCAGGAAATCAGGTTAATGAAACAGCAGAGGAGTGATTAATGATGATGTGTATGTGGAAGTAAATTGCATGGGAGGAAAAAAGAAAGGGTCTTAAAAGAGAGTTTGTGCCTATTATACAATGTGAGGAGGAAAGAACTCCTGAAACTACATATACTTTACAACCTCCTTGGAGTTACAATTCTGCTTACATTTTCTCTATTACCTTCAAAAATAAAAAAGTCTCAGAGACGTGTTAAAATCTACCATGCAAAAGTGTTGCTACAAAAATTTTAAAAAGAGAAAAATCTTATTCTGGATCTTTCAGGAAAGTCAAAATCTCATAACTGATGTTAATCTAACAGGATCAAAAGTTCGACTAGACCAGTGCTTCTTGACCTTGGCTGTACATGGTAGCGACTTGGGGAGCTTTGGAAAATACTGATGTCTGGGCCCCACCCCCAGAGATTCTGATGTAATTGGTTTGGGGTGTGATCTGGACATTAGGATTTTTTAAATCTCCCTGGGTGATTCTCATGAGCAGCCAAGTATGAGAAGCATTGTTCTGGTGAGCTTGTTGAGAGGTAATCGTTTTTCTGTTACCATTAACTTGCATAGAGTGGTACTAATCAGGCATAAATGTCTGTTGAATAAATAAAATTGAAACTGTCTTTGAAGAATGAGCTTTCTTTCTATGTTGTTGAGATAATTGTTAGAAAAAAATTACTTATATATGTTTAAAGTTCTCATTCACTCTAAAGCATTTGAAACAGGGATCTCTATCACCGCATAAGAAAAACCTCTCCTTTCCTTTACTATTTTTAGCATCAACTTTAACATCAAAATTCTATCATAAGTTTGCTTATAAATGCAATGCTTTTACCCATTTAGAAAGTATTGAATACCTGCCAATAAGTAGCTAGTCACTGGGCACACGATGCTAAGCAAAATATTCATGGTCTATTCGTGAATATAGATGAGTAACCAGATCATTTGTAATCAGTGAGATAAGTGATATCATCAGAGAAGTTTGGTGTACAATGGCAGCCTATGAGAGGAGTCCTACAGTCTAGGGAGACCTGGTAGGCTTCCTGGACAACATCATACCTGCACTAAAAATAAGAGAGTAGGAGTTAGTCAAGCAAAAGGTCACTGTCACGGAGAGCTCTGGGAAGAAGGAATTCCATGTCTGAAGGCCCTAACTGCCACGGCTTCCACGAAGATATAAAAGAAGTCCAGTAGTATTAGAGCCTATGCTAAGAAGGTTGTGTAAGAGCTGAAGGGTCTGCCAGGGAAGATAGTGAGCAATGAGGCTGGAGAAGTAAGCGAAGCCCTGCTAGATTGTGCAGACACTGAAACTATCTTAATATTCAACTTTTCCCCTTAAATAGAGTGGCAGGTAGGCTGGTCATTCATTTTCATGTGGGGAAATAACATAATTGGATTTGAGTTTTTTGAAGGCCATTTTTGCTGCAAAGTGGTGAATATGTTGAAGGAGAAAAGACTGGAGACAGAAAGATCAGTTCAGAGGTGAAAAATGATAATAGTCTATTATAGAGACTTGGCAGCAGGGATGGAGAGAAACAAGCATATCTGAGTCAGTAAGATAATGACACTCAGAGTTGATAACTGATTTGAGAGAAGGTAAAGGGCGCTGAGGAGTCTCAGGTGATGTGCAGGCACCCGGTTCAACCAGCTTCATGGAACACAGAAAGATATGCATATTTGAAAGGAATTATAATAGGCTCTGTTTTGCATAGTTAAGAGTTTGAGATGTAGACACGATATCCAAGCAGCAATATCCATAGGCAGTTGGTCTTATGGGCCTTATGGCCCTTAAGGGAAGATACTATAGTGGCAGGTATGAATTTAGGAATCATCAGCACGCAGATGGTAACTGAGGCTACAGGGTGAATGAGCATCATGCCTGACAAGTTGGAAAAGAGAACTCAGAGAAACATCAATTTTAAAGAAATAGGCAAAGGAAAAAAAGCTAGAAAAGGAAATCAAGGGTGGACAGACAGGAAGAAGGAACATCAATCAGGGAGCAAGATGGAAGAGAATCAAGGAAGAAGAGTTTCAAGAAGGAAGGTGTGGCCAAAACACTATAATAAAGATCCTGACTCCATTTTTAAGATTGGACAGCCCAGGTCTTATTTATGTGTCTGTCTTTATTCCTAACCCAGAGACTGGCATAGAGCATGCAGGGGATGAATATGCCATCCGTGCCATCCCTGGGTAGAATGAGACAAAGCTGGAACAGGGACATCAGAGGAAGTCAAATCCAGCACTTATCATTCTTTTGTCTTGAAACTATGGACTTGAAAAGAAGCAGGAAGGGAATGTATTTGGCTGATATTTTAGTAATTGTTTCCTTCCTTTAAAAAAAAGATGAACAAAAAGTAATATAGCATATGTATTGAAAATACATAGCATGTGTATTGAACTTCAAAGTTTGTAAAATGCTTTCACGACATTACCTGACATTCAGCCTCAAAACAACATTGTTGGATAGAAATAGTTACTACTTCACATATTATAGATGCAAAAACTGAGATACATGGATGTTGAGTATTTTGCTCAGGGTCATGCCCAGCAAGTTTCAAATATAACTCCCAAATTTTTGTTTGTTTGTTTGTTTGTTTTACTACACTGTACAGTAGCATAAAATTAGCATGTGCCCATTCTCTCTGGATTGATTTCCCTTCTGCTTTTCTCAATTTCTTCTCTTTGTGCTTGCATATCATAGAAAGAAGTTGAGGGCCTCATTTGTACAATGCTGGGCTTTTTCCACATACAAGGAACCAGGCTGACATAGTTCACTGAGTAAACATGAGCAGCAAGTGGCAGTGATTTATGCCAGACTTGCAAACTTCTGATTACCAATCCGCCACCTGCTATGTAAACAGATGTAAACTAAGATTTAATCAGCTTACATAACGTGGTAAATAATTTAATCTTTCCTCAGAATGGTGCTTGTGAATGTCAACGTTTAAGCCCAAACTGATGCTGACATTGTGATGCAAGCATCCACTTTCTCAGTCAGAAAAGCTGTGTCCACAAATGCCCCTCAAACCCAGAACTCCACCCAGAGTTCTGGGTGGAGGCCTCGTTTTTTCCCAACATAAAGCTGAGACATGGCCCAGAAAACTGGTGATGATCTTGCTGTCTTTAATTCCTCCTGGTCCTAAGACATTTCTCTGGCCCCCTGGTCATTTATTCTTCATGGCACTATTCTGCAGATATCTGAGGTGGCTGCTGGTGTGTAAAAAAAAGAGGCAAGACTAGAGAGAAAAAAAGCAAGAAAACAGCAGCCTTCAGGGTAATTGTAGTAACATTTTCACTTGAAGATTACCTGGGTACTCACTGTCTATCAGTGCATGCCTATGCAAATTGCCTCTAGATGCTATGAAAATCACATGCAAATGTGCTCTTGGTTGTCAAAAACTGTTTACTACACCTGCTAGAGCCCACTGAACCAGGGAGTGTTGCCTCCTATGAATTTTTCATCAGTATTGTTTATGTTCTAATCAGCCTGGCCCTTCCCTCTGGTGGAAAGGGCAGGGTATGGGCTTGGTCTTCCCCTCCCACATATGAGCCTGGGCCTTTTCTAGAGTGGAAGGCCCTGGGAGAGGCCATTGCTCTAATGGCCAAATGTTAACATGGTTGAGAGATCAACTAGAGAAAGGGTAAATGTGAGTCAGATAGTTTCCTGATATTTTTTTCTGTCCCTTTAGACCATCCTAGCTTACAAGCAAAGGTTGTATGCCCTGGCACCACTGGTAATACCATGGCTAGGATTTTGTTAGTTCAAAAACAAAATCTTAGAAGAATACATATCAACAGGCTTTCAACTAAGTGCTAGGTAAGAAACAGATTTGGTTTTCTCTTGTAGCTACATAATTTACGGTAGAGAAAGAATAGCTACTATTTCCTAAATGCAAGGAGTTTCTTTTCCTGAAAGCTTTTTGTTCACTCAGAAAAAGTTTCTTTTCCTGAAAGCTTTTCGTTCACTCAGAAAAAGTTTCTTTTTCTGAAACCATTTATTGAGTAATTGGCACAAGCCAGGCACTGGGCTGGATATTGAGTTAACCTTGAGTTGGATATTGAGTTGAAGGTTGAATTATCCTTCAACTCAACATGGATGCAAGCATTATTCTAAACTTAAAAGGATAAGAATGAGACCTAGAAGAAAGGAAGGAGACCAAGACCCAAAGAGTTAAGTAACTTGCTTGAGGTTACTCAGCTGATAAAGGGGAGATGAGGATTTGAACCCCAAGATGACTCTCTTGGAAGCCTTTCCTCTTAAATTACATTATAAAGCTTTTGTTCTTTCGGATCCCCCACGACATTGGAGGAAAAGTGTTTCTTGCCATGGGTCTAGGAGTGCACATACGTAAAATTCAGGAAGAAGAAAGGAGAAAGATATAATAACAATATTAATAGCCAAAATGAGTTGAGTTTTATATTTTTAAAATAAATTTACTGAATTTTATGTTTGATTGATATAATTCATTTAGTTCCTACCTCAGCCCTAACTGGCGGATATTTTTAATCATCATCTCCTTTTTACAGAAAGAAAATTGAGGCAGAGAAAGGAAACTTCCCAATATCCACAGCTCATAAGTGTCTGCACTGGGGACCAGGCCAGGCCTGCAATTGTAAACTGGACTGATGAGTATATGCAGGCACAGAGTTGGATTCAGGTAACACATATAACACCTGAGACGCTGCTAACTCTTACTTTCAAGAAAAGCGATCATTAGGGCAGAAATTATTTTAAAAAGTATGCAAGTGAGACTGTGGGATCTTCTATTGGAGAGAATATATTTACAGAAAGCACAGCAGGTTGCCTGCCTGTCATGACTGGAGAATATAGCCCTGCAGGTAAAGAGAGATTATACAGAAAAACAAACATAACAAGCAGCGAGGTAGGTAGAACTCCAAAGACCAGGAACATTCAACTTACTTCCTGACTTTACCCTCTGCACTTTCTGCCACATAGTACCCTGGTTTGCATTCATATTTGCAGATGGTGCCCACGTCGTGGTTGTCCTGGAGGCAGTGAGGCAGGAGCAAGTTGGCATTCAGAATAATAGGGGGAGCATCACACTCCAACTTGCAGTAGACTTCAGGGAGAGACCAGAGACCATCTTCAAGACATGTCAGCCATGGGCTCAGTCCTGACTCCAGGAAAGAGAAGCACAAGATGCTCAGAACAGAGAGCCCAGAAAGATAATCATAGCAGATGAAATAAAAACCTCTGAACTTACTGGTGCCTTTCAAAAGTCATATTATTCTTTCTTGAGTAGCATCTCAAAAATCCCACATCAAATGTTAGTCCTACATCTTTTTACTTACAGAGCATCCAGTGTGATGCTCTTACATAAAACAGAGGTCAGATAAATCTTTCTTGACCCAAATGAAAGAAGGGCTACCAACTAAATCATTACTTCTTTTCCTACCTACATATAATAAAAATATAGCAGTGATGTTATCATAGAAAGCATTAAAATAATAGTAGATGACACTTTTATAGTGCTTATTATATGGCAGGCACTATTCTAAGCATTTTACATGTATTAACGTGTGTAAATTTCAAACCTCAAACAACCCTATGAAATAGATCCTATTATTATCCCCTATTATGCAGATCAGGAAATTGGGGATCGGTAACTTGCCCGAACTAGTAAGGGGCAGAATCACGGTTTGAACAGAGGCAGTTTGGATGAAGAGTTCTGTATTTAAACACTATACCATATGCCTTAGTACAATTCATGGTTTCTCCGAATGCAGTCCATGGACTATTCACCATAACATCATTATCTCACCCCAGACTCACTAAGCAAGAATCTCTTGGAGAAAGGTTCAGGAATCTGCAATTATAGCAAGCCTCCTGAGTCATTGTTAGGCACACCAAAGTCTGAGAAGCCATCAGCTAGAGCAGGCTCCACTCCATCTTCATCTCTAACCAGCACTAAAGCCAGGGACAAATTCACACATTGCTCAAAGGATGGCTGTAAATATTAAATTTTAAAATGTGCACAATAAAGTGTATCTTGATTATGAATATTATCAGGACAACCATTCCAGTAGGCTTGCCTCTGGGGTACACACTGTCAAATAAAAATAGAGGAAAGTCTAAGATTCCTTCATTCATTAGAACCTGAGCCAGTGCATCCTTTCAAGTAGTTGGGGACAAAGAGTGGTGTTGCCTTTTGGGACTTTTCTGGAGTTATCAGAAGATGGTGACACAGTGGAGCAAATAGGAAAGGTGTTGGGGTAACGAAAAGAGTCCCAAAGTACCCTCAAGAGCGAGGGATGGCAGAGAACTTGCATACAGTTCCTGGTTGACCAGACAATACCTTGCAGCTTGGCTGGTGGGACACAAGAGATTGAGCAGCGTTTCAGAAATTTGGTTCCCTCTGAGCAGGAGAAGTTTGCATAGTTCACCAAAGACGGGTCGGGAACACCGCAGTCCACGGGAAGGCAGCTCACATTCTGGTCCCAGTGCCCAGAAGAACATGTGAGCAGAATTTCCTTCTAGAAACAGAGAAATTGCTTCTGTCAAAGTCACATTAAAAGGCGTATCAGAGTAGTTTCCAGGCTTTAGAAGAGTCTTGGTGATTATCTGTCTAAACATTTAAAACGGGACAAATTATTTTGCCTTTCTCCCTCTTCAGGCCTCACTGTTTTAATATACATTCTTACAACACTCAGTATGATGCTGATAAAAGAAGCCTGCTAGTGTCAGAGAATCACGACATGGCAAGACTCCTCCAGGCCAGCTCTGTTGTCTGCTTTCCAGTTGCTCCTCCAGACCTGTTCTCTACCCTTCTCTACTCTGCTCTGGGCCAGGGAAACTGACTCCAGTGGGTTTCATGCCTCTGACTTGTACTTGCATTCAGATCCAGGACACAGTGTCAGCAGCCTGGAGAGGGAGAGGAGAAGAGGGAGGCCAGGGTGCTGATTCTCCCCACTCTCTCCCAAGGGTCGCTGCAGATTGGCTGCATCTTCTGGAAGCCTGCTCTACACAGTTTCTGCTCCTTCCTGTGATTCTGCACTCCTAAGGTAAACCTTTCAGGCCTAGGGGTGATGACTGAGTCCCTTCACCTGGGATACTGCACCATCGCCTTGTGATTTTCCTATATCCTGCCTGCACATTTATGAGTGGTCTCTTGATTAAATTCTCTCAAATTGCCCACTTTTGAGTATGTCATCTGTCTCCTGCTGGCACTCTTATTAATAAGCCAGCTGATAATGCTACTGAAAATAATTACCTCCACTGAGAATGGTGCTGAGAGTTAATGCATACAAGGCATCTTCCAAACCTTGTGGTTAAATGTGAGAGATTCTAGCCATTTCCTAGTGCCTGTCATTTCAGTAGGGCAGCCCTACAGCACACTGCTACTAATTCAATCAAGAGATATTTATCGAGCACCTAAGAGGGCCAGGTCCTGTCCTAAACAAAATATCCTCCGGGAACTAAAAATCGACCAGGCAAGCAAATCACATGTTGAAACAACGGTTCAAAAACATGTGAAGGAGGAAGAATAGAAAGGAGAAAAGGAGGGAGAAAGGCAGAAAAGAAAGTAAAGAAGGAAATGTTAGAGCTACATTTTGGTTTGTTATATCCTATCCCCTTCTGTAATGGTTGGAAAGAATGCCATATAAAGACTGAAAACCATAAAACAGAAGTAGAAAACTGGGATCAAGAAGAAAGAAAACACAAATATGCAACAATAAAGCCATATTGTATAATGCATGCTCCTGTGTGATGGTATAACAGGAGCTGGAGGAGGAACTGCCATCCTCGGCCAGGGAGGAGAGCATGTAGGAGAAGTTCCACAGAATAGGTAATACAGGATTGGCCTTTGAAAAATGATCAGGACTTCCCAGCAGTACAGGGGGAGGTGGGAGAAGAAGGTGTCTAGGGTGGGGGGAATGTAACAAGGCAGGACCTGGAGACCTAGAAGCTTATGGCTTGTTTGAAAAACGTGCAGCCAACATTCTAGCTACTGGATTATCAAAGGTCAAAGATAGAAAGGGGAGTTTCTATGGCTGAGCCAGCCATCCTGCCAGGAAATCACAGTGGCACCAAAGCCACAGGTACAATGACCGCTGAAGGCACCTGTCACCCCTGACACCAACTCCTGGCTAGCTGCTCCTTCCCGCTTCCCAGTGTTTCTCCATTGCTTGCCAGAAGGACCCAATTCAAAGCCAGACACATTTTTCTGTTTAGTTTCGGTTCTTGCGTCAACAAAAAGCAAATATCCCCACTGTCTTGTGATCACGACCAGGATTCTATAATTTTCTTCATGGGACCAGCCTGAGGTGACAGCACGTTTGGTCAGCTGGAGAGCACTGTTGCTGACTGTGCCATGTGGTTGGCAAAGCGTGAGCTCCCACCCTTCTCCCAGCCCAGATGATACCCATGCTTAACACAGCCTGCAAGTCTGGCTCTAACTACAATGAGCCACTATCACCTCATGAATGCCTCTCAAGGCTGGGGGCAGTGGCTCACACCTGTAATCCCAGCACTTTGGGAGGGCAAGGTGGGCGGATCACGAGGTCAGCAGATGGAGACCATTCTGGCTGACATGGTGAAACCCCGTCTCTACTAAAAATACAAAAATTAGCTGGGTGTGGTGGCATGCACCTGTAGTCCCAGCTACTCAGGAGGCTGAGGCAGGAGAATCGCTTGAACCCGGGAGGTGGAGGTTGGGAGGTTGCAGTGAGCTGAGATCGTGCCATTGCACTCCAGCCTGGGCGACAGAGCGAGACTCCGTCTCAAAAAAAAAGAATGCCTCTCAAAATCTGCATCTATTGCCTGGTGCTTCTCCTGTCTCTGTTAGGTACTGTCCATTTTGTTTTGAATTTGCTTCTAATTTTAATGCATTATACATGTTGTCTTTTCTTCTCTCCCCTTCTTCACCTATCACGAGTGGATTCAGTCCCTGCATTTTTTTCCATTCTTTTTATTTCTTTTCTGGAGTGGACATTCCTTTGCCTGAGTTGAGATGGGTAAAGAACAGGTAATAAGGGCTCTGCCTTCCTGGCTAAAGCTTCACAGACCAAGAAGTTGGTGCCTCAAGGTATATTAAAGCTGTTTCTCTCTAGGCAGAACCTAAGCCAGCTGAAGCCAAAGTGTATACCTTTAAATACTGACATCTCTAAGCAAGTGGAATTCTCCCACAGGTTCCCAACCTGTTAAGCAATCAATTGGCACAAAAAAAAAAAATCAACTCTTGTAAATCACTGATGTCTAGCTAACAGTTGTATGTCCACTCTTTCCTTATGAGACCACATCTTTCTGTTTTTTTCCTCGAGCACCATCATCTCTTCCCTGGTGCATCCTTTTTCTATCTTATAATATGGTCATGTTTTCTAATGGCTGATTTTATGTTTAAAATTTCTCTGTGGGGAATTGAAGACTCTCTAAAGGCAAGATGGAAAACAGAATTCTTAGTTGAGAATACATGATCATGCTCATAATACTGACAATTTAACAAATAGAGTGCTATGTACCTATCATTTTGCTAAAAGCATTTAAATTATTTCCAGCCATCATAATAACTCAATCAGATAAGTATTCTGTTCTAATCATTTAAAAAATGTGAAAACAAGCTTAAGGAGATTAATTTCTTTTGTTTATTTTTTAATCCAAAGTTACACATCTTATATACAGTGGAGCCAAAATTTAATTCCGATCTGTCTCCTGAGTCACCCTGTTAATCTACATATTCTACTACCTCCAAACCATCTTGAAATTCTGAAAATGGTGCTGTAGAAATTTGAAATGGAGCTTGTAGAAATTTGGAAAATTTGGCCAGAGTGAGAATCATGACAGAATCTCTGCCTCAGTAACAGCTTTAATGCTTCTGGGGAGAAAATCGGGTTCTATTTCTTCAGTCTTTTTGTTGGAGGGTTGTTGTGGGGTGGACATTGTGAACCACAGACATGCTGATTACAACCAGTCTTTCCTGAAAATTACAGACAAGTCTGAACTTTGGCATTCTCATCTTAAAGGCAAAAGGAGGGAAAATAATTTCTGACAGAAATAAACAAGGGAGAAGAACAGAATAAGCATTGCCCTTTACTGCCCACCAACCCACTTAATCAGCACTGTACATGCTTTTATATACCTTGCATTTCTATTAAGCCATCATTCTCTCTGCTTGTTAGAGCCCCCATGTTTTGCTTTCAAATGGTTTAAAAACATCTGCTCTTTCCCTGTGGAGCCAGAGAGAAGAGTGTGAATACCTCCCCTTCCCAGGAACTTGGTCCTGGTGATAGTGTTCTTTCAACTCACCTGCATGGGCCTGATGTACTGCCCACTGCTGGCCTGAAGGGCAAATCCCCTTTGACAAGTGATAGCACACTTCATGAGACCTGGGCCTATAGAGGTACAGTTCACCACATCAGCATGATCAAGCAGCAATGACGGACAGCTGTCCTGCTTCCCACAGGGCCGATGGATACAGCTGGGATAAGAGAAATAGAACCATCTTAGGACTGGTTGAGAACCAGTAAGGAGGAGCAATGACTTTGCAGCTCCATCTGGGAGGGCTCCTAAACCAGAGAGAACAATTTTCTCCAAAACTGATATTTAACTCATCACCTTTTTTCTCTACTACCCAACACCATGCAGCATAATAGACATAAAAACTAACAGCTAACAAGTAACAGTTAGTTGACTTTCTATGGCTCTTTCTTCCAGGAGGATCAAATGGTGATGAAATGAGGTGGAGAACAGATTCTGAGAGTTCTGTGTGGCTCAGAAATGAATAGATCATGGGATGACACTCAAAATATTTAACAACCAGTACTGTTGGGTCCCAAGCAATTAGAACAAATCCAGGACAAAGCTCAGGAGTGAATCCTGGAGGCCCCTCATTATGTCAGGCATGAATCTTTCAAATGTTTGATCACAAGGTGACACAGAAGGCCATGTCTGAAGGGCCTAGGTTTCTAAGGTGACAGAAAGGCAACACCAATTAACCGATTGGTATGGAAATATTTTCACAACTGCTAAAGCCATAGCAGTACATACCACTGAATATTAGCACAGACTGAGCAGAAATTGAACCGATTACTGGAAGAGGAAATTCACACCTCTTGAATCCATGTCCCATGCCTAACTTATGCTAGATGCTTCCACAGACATCCTCTCAGCAGAGAACTGCTGCTTGGATTGCCAGGGCCAATCTAGACTCAGCCTGGATCATAACAGCAGCAAGAATACACTGGAGCAGGCCGGATGCGGTGGCTCACGCCCATAATCCCAGCGCTTTGGGAGGCCAAGGCGGGCGGATCACGAGGTCAGGAGATAGAGACTGTCCTGGCTAACACGGTGAAACCCCATCTCTACTAAAAATACAAACAATTAGCCGGATGTGGTTGCAGGCACCTGTAGTCCCAGCTACTAGGGAGGCTGAGGCAGGAGAATGGCGTGAACCCGGGAGGCGGAGCTTGCAGTGAGCCCAGATCTCGCCACTGCACTCCAGCCTGAGCGACAGAGCGAGACTCCGTCTCAAAAAAAAAAAAAAAAAAGAATACACTGGAGCAAAATGAGTGTCACCCTCTTGCCATGGCAGAACCATAGAGGTTAATAATTAGGGCATTAGCCTCAGGCTCTCTGGAATTGAATCCTGGACCCATCATTTAACATCTGTGCGATTTGGATTGAGTTATTCATTCCCAAGTGTTTCAACTCCTTCCCCTATAAGACGGGGATAATTATGGCAACCTCACAGAGTTGTTATTCCTCTACTGCATGAAGCACTGCAAAAGGCCTCACTGGTCTGTTTGCTGTTTGTCACCCCACTTTTTTGTTCTCCCATTTGTGTACCTTTGCTCAATTTGTTGAGATTTCTAAAAGGCCTTCTGCTATGGTTTGGATATGGTTTGTCCCCAAAAAACTCATGTTGAAATTTCATTCCCAATGTGGCAGTATTGGTAGGTGGGGCCTAGTGGAAGGTGTTTGGGTCATGAGGGTGGATCCCTCATGAATGGCTTAGTGCTGTTCTTGTGGTAGTGACTGAATTAGTTCTCACTGTAATAGGTTAGTTCCCATGAGAGTGGATTGTTATAAAGTCAGGGTGCCTCTCAAGTTTTGCACCTTTGCATGTGTTTGCTTCTGCCATGTATGACACAGCAAGAAAGCCGAGCATACACCAGCGTCATGCTTCTTGCACTTCCCAGACTATAGAACCATGAGCTAAGTGAATCTCTTTTCTTTATAAATTACCCAGTATCAGGCATTCAGTTATAGCAACACAAATTGAGCTAAGACACTCTCCTTCTCAAAGAAGTCCCTTCAGATGCCCTCTTCCTTTGAACTTCCCAGTGAAATTTAAAAAATAACTCCCTTCTAAATTTCTTTTGCTTTATCTTCTGTTATAGTTGTGTATGCATTTTCTCATTCTTTAATCAGTGAATTAACTTATTTATCCTTTTATTCACAAGGTAATTAGTATCTGAGTGTCTCTTAAATGCTCAATGTTCCAACTAGATTATGGACACTCTGAAGAGGAAAACTGACTCTTACCCACTTTATATTCAACGCATGACTTGCTGTAGTTGACACAATAAAAATTTGCTAAGTTACGATTGTTCATGTTATAGAGAGCAAAGTCAGTCCATAGCTATCAAAGTGAGAAATTTGTTAAATTTTATAATGACAAATGGGGATGTGAAATATGAAAATATCATTAAACACTGATTCAACCATCTTGCTCCACCATTCATTAATAAGCATTTACTGAGCACTTACTGTTAGGAAGGCCTCGATCTGAGTACCAGTGGTATAAGAACCATGCTCTTAGGGAATACATAGTCTAGTATGGAAGACTAGCAAGATATTTTCTTGCTCTTGATGTTGTTGCCCTTGGTGCTAATTATTAGCCCAAAGATATGACTACTATGAATCTTGTCATCAGTAGTGTGCTCTGTTTGTCCCTGAATTGTGTTAGTGGTCAACTACTTTATCAAAGATCTGGGCAACAATATAAGAAAGTAGAAAATAAATATCATTGAATATGCACATACTACCTTGAAATAATTGAGACTTGACTTAAAAAGCACTAGCCCCAAAAGGGTGAATTCAGACTAAATATGCTAAAGTTGCTGACCCTGCTCTTATGCCCTTGGGATTTAAATCATATGTCAGTGATACTCTCATTTCTTTTATCTATGTTTATTATGTATAAGTTGGAAGAACTGGAGGTGATCGGTGTGAAGAAAATGTTTTCACAAGTTTAAGCCCTGGTTATTTCCTGAGATGATGAAGTATCCATTATGAGACCTGATGAAGGAAGAAATATATAAGGTGGGGGTTGTTAATGAGTCAGCATGAATTCCCCAAATTCAATGCTGATATGCAATGTAGGAAATGAATTTTTGTCTCCAAATATGTATTTAATCTATCTGATAAGGAAGCTAAAATCTGACCATCCTTTATGAAATGTGATCAAGATGCTTCATTAGTGATTCTAAAGAACTCCTAGTTCTCTAGATGCCACATGCCATGGATGTCCCAAACATAATCTCTTCTTCAGCATGCTAAACAGGAAGTACTGGGAAACAGAGAGTCATTAATACTCTGGTCCACATTAGTTTATTGGAAAGAAGTCAGGGTGAAAAGAGCAAGTGCTGTTTTTGAGTGACTTCGTCCAATTAATCCATGCCATCATTGAGGACAAATACATGTTGAGACAAGACACAAAACAAATGCTCTGAATGAGCCTCCCTCCATCAAAATGGGAACTACTATTGTTATGACTGCCAGTGTGAGAAGTCCATCCAGCAGGAGAAGCAAGGGAGGAAGAATGAGACAGGGGAGAATATGAGAGGGAAAAGTGGCATGAAATAAGACCAACACGAAAAAAAAAAAAAAAGGACCAAACCCAGACCTGTTTATGAAGTGAGAAATGGTTTTAGGGCAGCTGCTGCAAATTCTTTCACTAGCTTATATTTCCATTTGCTTCCTTTTTAAGGAATTTGTTTTATGAGGACAGAGTTTGTCAGGTCGTTAGCTTCTGATGGCATCTGGTACCAATTGTAGACTTCTCTCCCTTGCACCCCAACCCCAAAACCCCTTTTGTGTTTCTCTTCCACTACAAACACTGCTTCTCTGAGTGAGATTGTTGTGTTCTCCATTATCCCACCCTCCCGGTACATTCTCCTTTCTACCTAATACTACATAAGTAGTAAAAGTAATTCATCTTAAAAGTTCTCAAAAGCTTTCTTCTTATGATCTTTGGACAAACCTTACTGAAAGTGGCAGAAGTGAAGCCTTACAATGCCCCAGAGAAGTGGGAAGTTAGGTATTTATCTTGGTTTGACATACAAGAAAACTAAAGCTGTTTGGAGACTGGCTGGAGGCCACACAGCAAGTCAGAGGAAAATCCTCAGGCTGGATCTCAGAGCCCTCACTCTCAGGGCCAGCCTAGACCACCGGGCCATCTCCCACGGGATGAGGTTGCTTTCCTGTTGCTTTCTTCCCAATTCAGGAGCTAGCAGCAGAGGCCAGAGTGAGCCAAGGAGCTCCTCAGCAGGGTAGGCAAGGGAAAAACATAGCATATCTAATAGTCCAATAGTTTTGAGCAGTTCTCTTTTAAATAGCAGTAAATCAAAGTGATGATATTTGTCCAGCTGCTGCTGTCTGCACGATGTCCTGCCCAGTGTGCATCCTCTTTTGGCAATACCCTCTCTCTTTCCATCTATGTTTCCAGCTCTTTCCCCACCCCATTACAACGTGTTCTCAGGTAAGAATATGATGTACCTTGTCAGATATGATTCATAGGTATTTCCATTTTAACAAGAGTCAGTGTTTTAAGCCAAAGGATTGAGTTTTTCACAAGGGAGGTTTAAGTCAACAAGTTCTTAGAAATCATACTATGTAGATGGCCACCTACACATAACCCTAGATTTGCTCTTTGTCTCTCCGCTCTGATAAGCCTCTACTCTCTTTCTGCTGGTCTTCACTTCCAATGTCATTGTGTTGCAATGTTTTAAAACATGTTTTTGGCCGGGTGCGGTGGCTCATATCTGTAATACCAGCACTTTGGGAGGCCGAGGCGGGCGGATCACGAGGTCAGGAGATCGAGATCATCCTGGCTAACACGGTGAAACCCCATCTCTACTAAAAATACAAAAAATTAGCTAGGCATGGTGGCAGGCGCCTGTAGTCCCAGCTACCCGGGAGGCTGAGACAGGAGAATGGCATGAACCCAGGAGGTAGAGCTTGCAGTGAGCCGAGATTGCTCCACTGCACTCCAGCCTGGGTGACAGAGCAAGACTCTGTCTCAAAAACAAACAAACAAAAAAAACAAAAACAAAAAAACCATGCTTTTGATTGAGGAATTTTTGTTCAAAATGTATGTTAACCCTTGGCTATTGTCCTCTTGTACAGAACCTGCCTGTGGGCACCCGGGCACAATCCTAGCAATGCCCTGCAATAATGATGTGTGTTTTTCCCTTGTTGGTTGTGTATGTGAATGATAACTGTACTTGGGAAGCCTCTAAGAGTGGCCCTCTTATTCCATAAGGCAGGCTTTACCATAGCTGTGCATTAGACTCACTTAGGAAGCTTTTTAAAAAACATATACTCCTGCTTTATCCCCTGAAAATTTTGATTCCATAGGCCTGCAGTGGGATTCCAGCATTTGATGTTTATAAGTTTCAAAGTGTTGATACTCACTAGGAGTAAAGCTCCACCCCATAAAGATCTAGATATATGTAACCTGAAAGATATGTCAATAAATTCTATAGGCCAAGACTGACTCCAGAAGGAGACATTGGCCCCACTGCTTCATCATTATGTTTTACTATATTAAACTCAAATTATCAAAAAGAAGCCACAAGGTAGATCAAAAGCATAAAACATATCCCCTTTTCTGAAGAAACTTTGAATACAGCTAAAGAGAAAAAAACAATTAAATCATGTGTTACTGATTATAAATTCATGGCTATTTCTGAAAAAGTTTTATTATTGAATTTGATTTGACTTTAATGAAAATAGAATTTGGAAAGGCAAGAGATGTCCTGGAAAGTTTTCTTCAATTCTTTACAGACAGAACAAAGGAAAAATAGAAATCTCAAAACATGGATAAAAATACCATTTCCCCTATCACCGTGAACTGAAAAAAATTCAGTGTGTGCAGATCTCTTAAATCTTGACTAACAACTTTAGATAATTCTATACTGAAAGGTGTCAACCTTTACATCTGAAAACAGACTTAGGGGTAGGTTCAGACTTAGGGGCAGGTTCCCAAAGTCTTCCTGCATCTTTCAATGGTTAGTGAGGAACAGGGTAAGGTAGACACCAGAAAAAAGACATCATTATTTGCAGATAGAGTGGCCAGCCCCATCAATAAACTTTCCATGAACTGTCCCCCAGAGAATGCCAAACCAGGCACCTCTTTTAGTTGTCCACTTTTTGAGGCTATCGCAGGGACATTGGCATAGCTTCCAATACAGGTCCATATTCGGGGAGCTCAGTAGTTCCTAGCAAACAGGCAAAGTCCTGTTATTCTGCCTACAGCTGCCCTGAAGCTTTGGTTCAAGGTTTCCCTGAGGTTCTGAGCCACCCTGAAAGAACTCCAGAAGGCTATAACAATACTTCAGAGTCGGTCAGAATCAGTACTAAAATAATTTTTTTTCCTATGTAAGAGTGCGTGAAAGATTAAAAACTCCATTTCCTGATGGTGATGGAGGTGGGGAACGGTGGGCATTTAACAACAATTTTAGAGGAACCAGAGCTCATTAAAACAGAAACAGATCTGAAAGATAATTCAACTCAAATTTCTTGTATTAAATGAGAAAAGTTAGCCCAAAAGAAATGATGGGATATTTCAGAACTTCCTACAATACTAAGATTGTAATATAATAACAAAGAAGCACTTAATTGAGCTTTAGCTCAGACTTAAAATCAGGGTGACATCAGCTCATAAACTTCTCTAAAGTCAGTATCCCACCCTCCCCCAGGCATTCATAAAAGTCTGATCACAACTTTTATCTAGCGTATAGCTTTGCTTAAGAGAAACTGGCATCTGTACTACACTTTTCAAGAAACAATACAATGTGATGAAGAAAGTAGTAGACCAAGGCCACATGACTTGGGTTCTGGTCTTGGCTTGCCCCTGCTGGCCTCTAGGACCTTGGGCAAGTCTCTTAACCATCTTGGCCTTCCATCTGCAAATTAGTAAAATGATGGGGTTGAACTGACTTCTATCAAAGGGCCCTTCCAGCTTTAACATGGTATTGAGTTTCACAGATGAGGTGATGGTGGTATTGGGGTGGGAGTGCAGAAAACCCATGAACAGGCAGGATGTGGTAGAGAACTCAAGAAAGAGTTTCTCATAATCTTTCTTGCTCAGTATATTTTTTTAGCGTAATGTCCCAACTTTTCAGTTGTTCAGTTAAACAAAATATTGCAATTCATTTATCCAAGAAGTGCCACCCTTGACTAAATAGCAGTCCCAGAGGTCTTTCTAGAAACAGCTCTTTTAAGGTTAAGTAGTAAAAGAGGATCCAATTTTTCTCTACTGTTTCACTTCATTGTATTGATTCTTATGCAAATAAGAGGGTATGGGCTAAGAAGGAATGCATGCTCTGAATTTGGCAGCAGATAGGAGTAGGATGTACAGAATGTAGAGTGGACTGGATGAGACAGAGTCCTCATTTAATTTTCCCACCACCAAATGCAAACCATTAACAACAATAACAGCATTCATCCTTAGATAGCTTTGCTATTTATCCAAACTAATAGAGAAAAAAAGTCTTGATTCTGACTCCCCATTCTGCTTCCTCCTCACTTCTGGATTCATCTCTGCTTTGTAGGACAGGAACCAGGTTAAATGTTAAATATATTTCCTTCTTGGGAGGACCAATGCTGGTACTTTGAGGTGTTGAGAACCCTACTAACTGGGAAAATAAAATTAATTCAAGTTCTTCTCCTCTAAAGATTCTCATCTGAGGGAAACAGAAGAATCTCAGCAGTAATTCGGATTCTTCCTTCGCATGATAGAAAAATGTTGAATTATCACGCCAAACTGACTTATCCTTCCATTCCTACCCTGGGAAAGTGGAAGTTTCTCTGCTCCTTTATTTAAGTCTCAGCACAGAGTTTGGGTCCTCAAAATAGATCTGTCAGGATGTGTCCATCTCTTCCTAGAATGCGACCTATTTGTAAGTTCAGAACTAGACTTGGGGGTCCTAGTGCTGGGCAAATTGCTTCACTTATTTTTGATTCTGGGTATGGGTTTTACCATGGTTGTCTGTAGATGGATTAAAGACCTAAATGTAAGACCTAAAACCATAAAAACCCTAGAAGAAAACCTAGGCAATACCACTCAGGACATAAGCATGGGCAAGGACTTCATGACTAAAACACCAAAAGCAATGGCAACAAAAGCCAAAATTGACAAATGGGCTCTAATTAAACTAAAGAGCTTCTGCACAGCAAAAGAAACTACCATCAGAGTGAACAGGCAACCTACAGAATGGAAGCAAGTTTTTGCAATCTACCCATCTGACAAAGGTCTAATATCCAGAATCTACAAAGAACTTAAACAAATTTACAAGAAAAAAACAAGCCCATCAAAACGTAGGCAAAGGATATGAAGAGACACCTCTCAAAAGAAGACATTTATGCAGCCAACAGACATATGAAAAAATGCTCATCATCACTGGTCATCAGAGAAATGCAAATCAAAACCACAATGAGATACCATCTCACGCCAGTTAGAATGGTGATCATTAAAAAGTCAGGAAAGAACAGATGCTGGAGAGGATGTGGAGAAATAAGAACGCTTTTACACTGTTGGTAGGAGTGGAAATTAGTTTAACCATTGTGGAAGACAGTGTGATGATTCCTCAAGGATCTAGAACTAGAAATACCATTTGACCCAGCAATCCCACTACTGAGTATATACCCAAAGGATTATAAATCATGCTACTATAAAGACACGTGCACACGTATGTTTATTGCGGCACTATTCACAATAGCAAAGACTTGGAACCAACCCAAACGTCCATCAGTAATAGACTGGATAAGAAAATGTGGCACATATACACCATGGAATACTATGCAGCCACAAAAAAGGATGAGTTCATGTCCTTTGCAGGGGCATGGATGAAGCTGGAAACCATCATTCTCAGCAAAATACCACAAGGACAGAAAACCAAACACTGCATGTTCTCACTCATAAGTGGGAGTCGAACAATGAGAACACATGGACACAGAGAGGGGAACATCACACACCGGGGCCTTTTGGCGGCGGGGCTGGGGGAGGCATAGTGTTAGGAGAAATACCTAATGTAAGTGATGAGTTGATGGGTGCGGCAAACCAACATGGCACATGTATACCTATGTAACAAACCTGCACATTGTGCACATGTACCCTAGAACTTAAAGTATGATAATAATAATAATAATAAGAGTCTTATCTACAGGGCCCCTGTCTTTCTGAAGAGAAACAGATTTACATTACACAGCCAAAAGTGCTCTCTTTCAAAAGCCCTGTCTCACCAAGTTTCAGAACCCATGATTTTAACATAGATTATAAAATCTCTGGAATACCAAAGAAAGAACAAAAGCAATTCAATTGCAGACTAATATACAGTTAATGTGCTTCCTAGCACTTGCCCTGGGAAGCAGAATCATTTATTTGAAACGACAAAAAGATATGTATATATTAGCTGATCCTTGAACAACATGAGTCTGAACTTTGCCAGTCCGCCTACATACATATTTTCTTCCACCTCTCCCAACCTTGAGACAGCAGAACCAGCCCCTCCTATTCTTCCTCCTCCTCAACCTATTCAACATGAAGACAATGAGGATGAAGATCTTTATGATGATACACTTCCACTTAATAAACTGTAAATATGGCCAGGCATAGTGGCTCACGCCTGTAATTCCAACACTTTGGGAGGCTGAGGTGGGTGGATCACTTGAGGTCAGGAGTTCGAGACCAGCCTGGCCAACATGGTGAAACCCCATGTACTAAACTACAAAATTAGCTGGGCGTGATGGCACATGCCTGTAATCCTAGCTACTTGGGAGACTGAGGCAGGAGAATCGCTTGAACCCGGGAGATGGACATTGCAGTGAGCCGAGATTGTGCTGCACTCCAACCTGGGCAACAAGAGCGAAACTCTGTCTCAATAATAATAATAATAATTTGTAAATATATTTTGTCTTCCTCATAATTTTCCTAATAACATTTTTTCTCTAGCTTACAATATTATAAGAATAGAGTATGTAATATGTTTGATATATCAAATATGTGTTAATGGACTTTATGTTATTGGTAATGCTTCCAGTCAACAGCAGGCTTTCAGTAGTTAAATTTTGGGGAGGTCAAAAATTATAGGCAAATTTTTGACTGTACAGAGGTCAGTGCCCCTAATCCATGTGCTGTTCAAGCGTCAACTCTAAATGCTTTTCTCCTCCCAACACACATGATTTGCAAAGGCAGTAGCCATCTCCTTGTGGGGCACTTCCTAAAGAGCAATGATCACTGGTACCCTCCAAGGGACTGCACTGCTGACTCTCTCTCTATTATTTATTCCTGGACACAAATTAAGCTATTCACTAGGGAATGACACTTCCCCAACTACATTCATAGCCTGAGCTTGGGAAATTGTGAAACATGAAGAGTTAGGTGAGAACAATACAGCCCCGTGATGAAGTTTAATGGGCATGAGCTTCAGACTGTGTCACTCCTAGAACAGTATCTACAGGGCATGAAGACAGGGTAGCCTGGCTGCTCTGTGGGCTATACATAAGCTACGGCTAAATGGAAGTCTTAAGGATTTACAATCCAGCTCCTTGAATGGCTCCCAAATTCACATGCAGAAGTAAGAACATAAAACACCTGTGGGGCCCCTTTGGGACTCTACCTCTCCCTACTTCTCCTTGGTTTATTTTCCTTGTAAATTTCTAGACTCCCCAACAGAAGCTTCATGTTGACTCTGTCATCTTCTAATCCTAGAGTTTGTCAGTCCTTTGTTGATATCAGATTTGGAATATTATTGTCTTCAGTTCTTTTGCTCTTCCTAGCCTACTGGAGCCTTGCAACACTGATGGCTCATTTGCTTATGGAGAAATCAAGGGTTGAGGAAGGGAAGAGACTGTGCTAAAATCATGCTGTGAGACTAAATGATGTAGACAAAAGTGAGAAGCAGGGGTCTGGGCATTGGGTTTGCTGCCACTTCAATCTCCAGACTTCCTCTGCCTGCAGTGCTATGGTTGCACACAAAACCAGACACGGCCTGAGAGTCATTTCAACCAGAGCTTACGGTCAAATCTGTCTACAGCATCTGCCTCCTTGGCAGGCTGGCAAAATGACAGAACCTTGGAAATACTACTGGTTTCCTTTTATTTTCTGTGCTCTCTCCACCAGCTGCCATGAATACAGACTATACTGACAGGGCCAGCTCTGAGCAAAATTGGGAAGTAGGTGACATTTTTAATTCATCCCTCTTTTCAATACTACTTTTTCTACTTCTCTTGTTCCCTAAAACTTCTAAATGGCTATACTAGGTTACATTTCAGCAGGGCCATGGGGCTTATTTTTGAATTATCAAAATCCATAAGAGAATACTTCTGGTATAAATTTCAGCAGGGCCATGGGGCTTATTTTTGAATTATCAAAATCCATAAGAGAATACTTCTGGTATAAATAGTTGGTAAAGACTTAAAACACTTTTACTTCTAGTATATAGTTATTTACTATTTTAAAGAGGCCTCTGGAGATTGCTGAGACTCTGGAGATTGTTGAGACTTAAAGAAAATAATTCTTAATGATGGAATTTCAGGAACTATGATAAGTCACTAGGGAGGAGTTGTTTTAAAATCAGTCTATTCCTTGGGGGTGGACCTCAACCCTAAGTCTTCCTAAGCTGGTTTCACCTGTTCCTAGCTTTTGACCAAAAGCTTCCACCCAGCTAGTTCTCAGAATGTATCCCACTAAGAACAATCTCAGACAAAGTAATGTTTCAATAAAGGCTATTCTGGAATTGTCTTAGCCATACTTCATTAAGCCCACCCAAAAGACCATGTCCATGGCCTCTTCATTTTTCCTCTATAACCTCATGAGTTGAAAGAAAAAAAAAAAAAAAACAGTTGAAAAGGCTCAAATAGCTCACTGTGCCGCCCAAAGCTGACTTGTCATACAGCCAGCCATCCATCATCTGCCAGGGGAATCAGAATCCTCTCTAGTGGGTTTTCCTTCTTCCTTCTTATTTTATGGACAAATCATTATGGGAAAAGGAAGTTGGGCAAGAAAGCAAGGGAGCAGTTGAACAGCTATAATTCTTTCCTTGCTTAAAAGAAACTGTGTAGAAAATAAGAGACTCAATGTTAATTTGTTAAACTACTTTGAGGAGGCAGATAATCAGATGAGTAGAAAGGCAATACATATTTCATTTCTATAGTGCCTTTCCCAGCAGCAAGAGAGAACATTTCCCATCACTCAGGAACATTAAAAGGAAACCTTATGATAAAAATAATAGATGAGGAGTCAAAAAATAAATGCTTTAAAATGCACTCCCTAAGCCAAAAAAAAAAAAAAAAAAAAAAAAAAGGAGGAGCCTTCACATCTTGAGGCTATCAAAAGGGAAGTAATCCAAACGTTCTACATAGGACTGAGCAGAGGAAGAAGAAGGCTGGAAAGGTTTGGAACCCAATCCAGGTGGAAGAGGAGGGAAAAGAGTTGGCATTTCAAATCTGAGCTCCAAATAATTGAAGCACAATAGGAATCCGTAAAGCAGCAGATGAGGGTTCCAGGGAAAAATAAAGCATGAAGCAGCATGACAGATAATAGAGATGAAATAATACTATTACCAAGACCAGACTCAGAGACTGATTACAGCAGGGATGGAATGGCAAAGTACTGAGCTGTGCCCCGGCTTCCTCTCCCTTGACTGGGGCTCAGATGTCCTGTAAGCTGGCTCCAGCTCAATTTGTAACCTATAGTGTAACCAAGAAGAAACATTTTCACACCTGAGTCTACCTCTCCTAAATGAGACAGCCACTTCCTTCCAGAAATTCTCTGGGGACTATTAGGACATAAAAGTGAAGTTCTATGGAAAAGTTCCTTTTCTTTCTACTGCATCCCTCTACTTCCCACCTATAATTCCGTATCTACAGTGAATTCTCCATGAACAATAGAGGTTAACACATAAATTATTTGCACTGGACTTAATGATTCAGATTACATTTTCTCTGCCAGCAGATCGACCTTCTCAAGAATAGCTTTCTAAGGCTAAAGACATCTTTCGTGTCACTAGCACACAGTCCCATTGGAGGGGATCTGAGGAGTCCAGGCAGCCAGAGTAAGTCAACCTGAAGATAAGATTAACATGGCATGTTACCCAAATTCATAAACTGCAATGGGAAAATTTGTGTCATTTGGATGACTAATTGTTGATTTTTCTACCAGGATTATTTATTTTTGCAGGCCCTGCTTCAGGGAACAGTAAACTGAAGAACAGAGGTTAACAGAGACAATGAAGGTGACTAAATTAGTATTCATGTCACAAATTTGCAGGTCTCTATCTGTGAGTCTGGGGCATTGCAAGCCAAACCAAATATACATTATTCACTGATTACTCATTTTTGAAAATTACTTGGTACTCTTCTTTACACAAGCATGGTTAGCAAAGCAAGGCAGGTATGTTAATTATATGTATATGTTCAGTTTTATGATAAATATACAACAGCTAGAGGCTGGACTCCAAATGATGTACATAATAACAGCCTAATGGTAAATGTTTTTTTTTTTTTTTTTTTTTTTATTATACTCTAAGTTTTAGGGTACATGTGCACATTGTGCAGGTTAGTTACATATGTATACATGTGCCATGCTGGTGCGCTGCACCCACTAACGTGTCATCTAGCATTAGGTATATCTCCCAATGCTATCCCTCCCCCCTCCCCCGACCCCACCACAGTCCCCCGAGTGTGATATTCCCCTTCCTGTGTCCATGTGATCTCATTGTTCAATTCCCACCTATGAGTGAGAATATGCGGTGTTTGATTTTTTGTTCTTGCGATAGTTTACTGAGAATGATGGTTTCCAATTTCATCCATGTCCCTACAAAGGACATGAACTCATCATTTTTTATGGCTGCATAGTATTCCATGGTGTATATGTGCCACATTTTCTTAATCCAGTCTATCATTGTTGGACATTTGGGTTGGTTCCAAGTCTTTGCTATTGTGAATAGTGCCGCAATAAACATACGTGTGCATGTGTCTTTAGAGCAGCATGATTTATAGTCCTTTGGGTATATACCCAGTAATGGGATGGCTGGGTCAAATGGTATTTCTAGTTCTAGATCCCTGAGGAATCGCCACACTGACTTCCACAATGGTTGAACTAGTTTACAGTCCCACCAACAGTGTAAAAGTGTTCCTATTTCTCCACATCCTCTCCAGCACCTGTTGTTTCCTGACTTTTTAATGATTGCCATTCTAACTGGTGTGAGATGATATCTCATAGTGGTTTTGATTTGCATTTCTCTGATGGCCAGTGATGATGAGCATTTCTTCATGTGTTTTTTGGCTGCATAAATGTCTTCTTTTGGGAAGTGTCTGTTCATGTCCTTCGCCCACTTTTTGATGGGGTTGTTTGTTTTTTTCTTGTAAATTTGTTTGAGTTCATTGTAGATTCTGGATATTAGCCCTTTGTCAGATGAGTAGGTTGCGAAAATTTTCTCCCATGTTGTAGGTTGCCTGTTCACTCTGATGGTAGTTTCTTTTGCTGTGCAGAAGCTCTTTAGTTTAATTAGATCCCATTTGTCAATTTTGGCTTTTGTTGCCATTGCTTTTGGTGTTTTGGACATGAAGTCCTTGCCCACGCCTATGTCCTGACTTCAAACTATACTACAAGGCTACAGTAACCAAAACAGCATGGTACTGGTACCAAAACAGAGATATAGATCAATGGAACAGAACAGAGCCCTCAGAAATAATGCCGCATATCTACAACTACCTGATCTTTGACAAACCTGAGAAAAACAAGCAATGGGGAAAGGATTCCCTATTTAACAAATGGTGCTGGGAAAACTGGCTAGCCATATGTAGAAAGCTGAAACTGGATCCCTTCCTTACACCTTATACAAAAATCAATTCAAGATGGATTAAAGATTTAAACGTTAGACCTAAAACCATAAAAACCCTAGAAGAAAACCTAGGCATTACCATTCAGGACAATGGTAAATGTTTTTAATGCAAAAGGTAAATTCTCAGTTCAAGGATTTTTGCTTTGCATATAGGACCATATAATAACACAATGCGTGAACTCATTATTTTTCCTTGACTCAAATTTTATATGTTTTATAATGATCCATTTCCACTCAATAAATTGTAAATGTATTTTCTCTTCCTCAATTTTCTCAATAAGATTTTCCTTTCTCTAGCTTACTATTATTTTTGTAAGAATACAGTATATAATACATTTAATATATCAAATACGTGCTAATTGTTTGTTGTTGTTGTTGTTGTTGTCACTTTGTTTTGTTTTGATTTTTGAGACAGAGTCTTGCTCTGTCACCCAGGCTGGAGTGCAGTGGTGCGATCTCGGTTCACTGCAACCTCCGCATCCCGGGTTCAAGCAATTCTCCTGCCTCAGCCTCCCAAGTAGCTGGGATTACCAGTGCCCACCAGCACACCAGGCTAATTTATGTATTTTTAGTAGAGATAGGGTTTCACCATGTTGGCCAGCCTGGTCTCAAACTCCTGAACTCAGGCGATTCTCCTGCCTTGGCCTCCCAAGTGCTGGAATTACAGGTGTGAGCCACCGCGCCTGGACAATTGTTTATGTTATCAGTAAGACTTTCAGGCATCAGTAGGCTATTAATAGTTAAGTTTTTGGGAGGTCAAAAATTATATGCATTTTTTTTTACTGTACAGGGTTGGTACTCTTAATCTACATGTTCAAGAGTACAGGCTTAGTTTTATTTAAGTAAATAGAAAAATAAAGATTTATGATGAAAAGAAAAAAGGAAAGAAGGAGAAGAGGAAAAAGATCTGAGGATGCCATTGTTCTTTACAACAATATTTATGTTTTTCTTGAAAAACAATGTATCTTCATATAAAACTAAATATCCTCTTAACCATATGATCCAGCAATCACATTCCTTGGTATTTATTCAAAGACATTTAAAAATTTATGTCTATAGAAAAGCCTGCATGTGGATATTTATAGCAGCTTTATTCATAATTGCCAAAACTTGGAAGAAACCAAGATGTCCTTCAATAGGTATATGGATAAATAAACGGTTGTACATTCACATAATGGAATATTATTGAATGATAAAAAGAAATGAGCTATCAAGCCATGAGAAGACATGAAGGAAACTTAAATGCATATAACAATGTGAAAGAAGCTAATCTGCAAACCCTACACACTGTGTAATTCCAACTATATGACATTTCCAGAATATGACATTATGGAAAAGGCAAAATGATGGAGATGGTAAAAATATTAATGGTTGTGAGAAGTTTGGGACAGCAGGGATGTAGGGTATGGTGGTGAATAGGCAGAACACAGAGGATTTTTAGGGCAGTGACAATGCTGTGTGTGATACTGTAATGATGTATCATTACACATTTGCCCAAGCACATAGAATGTACAACAAACACTGAGAGTGAATTCTAATGTAAACTACAGATTTGATGTGATTATGATGTGTCAACGTAGGTTCATCAGTTGTAACAAATGTACCACTCTGGTGGGGGATGTTGATAGCAGGAGTGGCTAGGCATGGGTGGGATCATTGGGTGTATGGGAAATCTCTGTACCTTCCTTTCAATTTTTCTGTGAACCTACAACTGCTCTAAAAGAATAAAGACCTTAAAAATAAAACAACAATGCTCTTTTAAATGGCACAACCACTTAAACATTTAAATTATTTTACAAATTGGTTTTATAATTCAATGCATATCACATTAACCTTTTTCGACTGTCTTGTATAAAGTGAAACATATTCACAAACACACACATACATACACACACACATATATTCATACAGATATATGACCACATTGGTGTATGTGTATGATAGATACTGGATCAAAACTGCTAACTCTCAATTATCCATCTTTATAAAAATAATCAGAACAAAGATAATTGAAACAGTAACCATAACTTTTTAATTTTTGTGTTTTTATATACAGTCATGTGTCACTTAACATTGGGATACATTCTGAGAAATGTGTTGTTAGGTGATTTTATTGTGCAAATATCAAAGAGTGTACTTACACAAACCTATATGATATAGCCTAGTACACACATAGGCTATATGGTGTAGCCTACTGCTCGTAGGCTACAAACCTGTACAGCATGTTATTACTGTACCAAATACTGTAGGCAATTATAACACAATGATGTGTTTGTGTATTTAAACAAATCTAAACATAGAAAAGGTACAGCAAAAAATACTGTATTATAATCTTATGAAATCATTATTATATATACAGTCTTTCATTGAGACAAATGTAATGTGGTACATGACTGTAATTTTATTTTCTAGGAAACACATTAATATTACTGATTAAATTTCATTTTGATGATATTATAAAAATACCAGTTGAGCCATGAAGAAGATGGCTCTGAAGCAGACTAAAGAATAAGGGGAAAAAATCTGGACAGGTATCATTCATAAAATAGATGTGCTTTTTCTAGATAAAAGAGAGTTGCAAGGACATTCTCTGGTAGAGAACTGCTTGGATAATCCACCTACCAAGAGCTGGGGAATTTCTATGAAAAGACCTTACTCTTGGAATCACTACTTTTCCTTCATGCTTTTTTCCTGCAAGCAAGTTATTTGTGTATCCCTTCTGCCCTAAGCTGTCTAGTAAGTTGAAACCATTATAGCATGTGGCTCTTTCAGGATATGAGACACATGTAGTTGGATAACTCCAAGGTTACTGCATACATTCGCCTATCTCAGGCTAAACTATTGTGGTGAAAATAATCCCTGCCTTTTGAAATCCCTACCCTTGCATAATCTCCACAACTTGAGTGTGGGTGGGACAAGTGACATGCTTCTAATCAATTGAATACAAAGTTGACAAGCTGTAACACTTGTGATTATGTTACAAAAGATTGTAAAATTTACTTGCTGAGAGACTCTTTGTCTTGTTGGCTTTGAAGAAACAAGCTACCATAGGTGAGCTTCCCAATGGAGCAGACTATGTGGCAAGGAAGTAAGGGTGGTTTCTGTGCAACATCCAGCATAAAAACTGAAGCCCTCAGTCTGACAGTCTTTTGGAACCAAATACCAACAACCATGTGAACTTGGAAGTGGACCTTCCCCAGTCAAGCCTTCAAACGAGAACACATTCCTAACTGACACCTCATTATAGCCTTACAGATGACCCAGCTAAGCGTTGCCTAGAATCCTGACCCTCAGAAACTGTAAGATTATAAATAAGCATTGTTGTAAGATGCTATATTTATAGTAATATTATTATACAACATTAGAAAACTAATACACACATAAGCCAGGCTTTCAAAATTATGTTTCTTTTCCTGGGTTAGATGCACTTTAATCTCAGAGAGAGTAGAATATGTTTCCTCAGATTTTTTTTCTTCTCTAAGAAACAAGATTTTTATTTTTTTATTTTTTTGGTCTGGGCTAGGACCCCATAGGAGCTGGGTCAAAACTTCTCTTTTTCTATTGTCTTCAAATCCTCTGGGTTGTGCCCATAAAATTGCCCTAATCTGAATTGCATATTTCCTACACTTTCCCAAAAGTCCAAAGTATCTTTACAATTTTCCCCTTGGTAACCTACTTCATCAGGTTTCCCCAGCTTGCCTGTATTACTTGGAGCCTGAATTTACAAGTCATCATTTCCTCAAAACAAATATGCCCGTTCACATAAGTAGATGTAAAATACAGCTGTTATTTGATTATTCCAGGGCTAGTTAAACTTTTGTTACCTGAATCAAAATATGATTTGAGAGAGGGTGGCAGGATTTCTTGAAGAGTAGTAGACATGAATCGATTTCTGAAATAGTTCACCATTTATATAATAGAAGCTTTCCTTCCCAGAAACAAGTTACTTGGATTCCAGTCTTACTTTTGCTAATCCCAAATAAAGTAAATTTGTGCCCTTGAGTCTCAGTTTCCTCAGCTGAAAAATTATGCCTGTTCCATTGAGTCACTTAAATGGTTTTTGAACAACAGTCTATCTCTTTCTATACACAAACGCACATGAATACACACATGCAAACACACACACTACACATATAATGAGAGTGAGAACAAGCGAGAGAAGAACCCCAGTTTCCATATGGATATTTATTTTAAAAGATTAATATCTTATTCAATTTTATATTAGAACACCTGGCTTTGATAAGTTATAGTTCAAGGCAAACCTTAGAACCCACTATGATTTTACATTTGTGAGTATCTATTACTTGTTTTCCATCTCAATCAGAATGTGTATTTATACTGAATAAACTAATAAGGTATTTATACTTTATGTTGGTCTTTGCTTAAGTTCAAAACATTAAAAAAATATGAATTTCTAATTAGCTCAAATCTATTCAGAAATTATATTTTAAAATAGTATTCGCCTGTAGTCCCTGCTACTTGGGAGGCTGAGGCAGGAGAATGGTGTGAACCCGGGAGGCAGAGCTTTCAGTGAGCCAAGATCGAGCCACTGCACTCCAGCCTGGGCAACAGAGCGACACTCCTGTCTCTAAAAAAAAGAAAAAAAGAAAAAGAAAAACAGTATTGAAGCCAGGAAGGAACTCCTGTGTGGAACACGAAAGACACAGAGAACAGAGGTTTCCTCTTGGTTATTTGACAAGACTTTCTCTGCTGGTTATCAACTTATTGCCTCTCAGTTCCAAATCCACCCTTCATTGCCCTGCTTTATGATACTAGAGCTGGACCATGAAAACATTTCTCTTTACCAGCTAGCATGTCACTTTTTTCTTCAGTAGATGGCACTGGAGAGACATTGCAGGATGAAGAGGCTTGCCTTCATTCCTATGTGCTTTCCCGTCCTTGCTTCTCCAGCCATGTGTGGGACAACCAGTGGTGCTCACCACCTAGTGAGTTTCAGGGACACTCCACATGTCCCAGCAAGTCTTATCAGCATCTTAGCTGGCTTCTCAACAAGTCTCAGTGGCACCCCTGTGGATGTCTCCCATCAAGTTTCATTAGTGCCCAGTGGGGAGACTCCCAGAAAGTTCCAGCAGCACCACAGTGACAGCTTTCCAGAAGTCCCAATTGTGTTCCAGAGGCAGCTTCTTCATGAGCTTTTACCTGCACCCCAGTGAGCATTTTCTGACTACCAGCCCCATTCCATTCTGTAGAACCTCCACAAACTTCTCTGCCACACAATGTTCCACAGCTGCACCTCCTCCAGTGAGATCTGAACCTCAGCTTTGGGTTGGGAGCCTCTTCCACATTTGTTCCTTTCTTGGATACTCTTCTATCACTCATAAAAGTAATGGTTGCTCCCTTTATCAATCATTCTTTTATTTGTTAGAGTTCTCCCTGCCCTTTAGTAGTTAATTCCATTACTGGTTAATAATTACTTTTATGAAACTTCTCTATTTTAATTACTGTGTCCTTATTGGATCCCAACTAAGATGGGATGGTACTGGGGTTAATAGTACAAGACAGATTCACAAGGATGGGATTTGGGGACAAGTTTGATTGTGCCTTTGGTCTTGAGTACAATCATTGGGATATGGGATGCTAGTAATCCACGGCATCCAGCAGCATCACTATTTCTCAAGCTGCCATGTTTGGTTTATTGTGATGAAGAGCCAACTGAAAAAATGTCTGCTGTATTTGACTATAGGTGTGCTGCACACCACTGGCCAAGCATGTCACAGCAACAGAAGAGAAGAAATTACACCAGAAACAGCAGAGAAAACCCCTCCTCCTGCATTGTCTATCTAGCACCCTCTACTGATGATGTGTAACATGATACCCGTTGGCAAAGGATAAATAGTGATAAAAATCCAGCTCTACTATTACAATACATGTGATGAGGGTGGATTTGGAACCAAGAGGCAACAAACAAATTGACTGATAACTAGCACACCTGATTGGCAAAAAATAAAGATGGGGAATACTGTGAAAATTGCCACAGGTGGTACTCCAACCTGGTATTAGAAGGTGTTACAAATCTCACATGTATTATTTTCAGTCAATCTCACAAGAATACTATAAGGTCATTTCTCTTGGCTTCCCATTTAAATACTAACAATATAGAAATATATGAAAATTATTATCAATACCAAAAACCAAGATTGGCAACCAAAATCTGTAAGGATTTTCTCTTGATTGAAAAAAATATTGGAGTTAAATTGAGAAACATCATTGGAAACCAAAGCATGTACTTTTTGTTTCCTGAAAAAGAGAGAATAGTAATGAAGCCAAACTAAAAGAAAAAAACAGATCATTCTTTCTTCATTTCCTGGCCCCTGTAAAGACGAGAAAACTGGGCCCTGTTTTTCATGGGTCAGAGATCTGTTCTCCAGTCATTATTCCCATCAGTACTACCTTTTCTTTACTCATTTCAGACTTCAGGTTAGGAAGTATAGAGGTCTTAGTGAGGTAGGGTGGGGTGTGGAACCAGTGGCAAAAGCCGTTATATATTGGGAGATATATGTCCTAAAGGTAAAATGCTACTGAGTCCTAAAGAATCCTAGAGGTTTGAGGATCATGGGATAAACTTTTGGAATAAAATCTTGGAGTAGTTGGACATGGCAAAATCTGAAAGCTTTGTAAACAGTGCAGTGAAGCTATGTGCCTGGGGCTCACTGGCAGCAAAGACAGAGAAAGGTTAAAAATAAAAGAAAGGCAAATATTTATCAAACAAATACAAACAAAAGGAAGGCAGGGATAGACATTTTAATTCCAGAAAGAGTAGAATACAAAGCCACAGGCATTTAAAGGGGTAAAAGGATTGGCAAGATGTATGATCCTAATAAAGATAAAAGGCTCACAAAAAATTATATACTTAACTATCTAATATCAAATTATATAAATCAAAAACTGTTTGGAATACAAGGGAAAAATGAAAGAAGCACAATTGCATAAAAGGTTGACACCACATTCTCAACCAGGTAGACTGGGAAATCTATGCAGATTGAAGAAAAAGTGTAAATGCTGTAAAGAGATGAGTAGAGTAGTCAAAAGTTTCAATTATGGTCATCAATCCATGTCCTGGAAAAGGAGATAATGTTCTGTATCTTTTGAAGATTCAGCACTCATAGATCTTATGGATATATTATCAGGTAAGTCACAGAAGTTACAATCAATTTTTTCATTTTATCCATGTGATTGGAAGAACAAAATTCGATAGGAGAAACCACATGCCCATCAGCAATTCTTGCCTGCTGTTAAACTTTTCTATCTTGACCTTGTAAATTCCCAAAGTAGAAAGAGTCCTGTTTGTCTGTAAACTAATTCACTCACTTAGGTATGTTAACATATTGGTGTCTGGGTTATATTTTAGACACACTGCAAATCCCATTACATTAATAAAATAGATAGTTTCCACTTCCCAAAGCCATCAACACAATCCTGGGATGGTTGGAGGTTTGCCTGATCCTGATACTGTGGCAAGTTGTGCAGAACCTATCCCTAAAGTGGCCAGAGCTGGAAACAACTGGAGGGTAAGAATGAATTAAGCTCTTCTTGAGCACTGGTGGCCAAAATCAGGAAAACTAAACTTGGTTTTCAAGACTAAAGGGTTCATGATCAGTAGAATAAGCTCAAAGGGTCATAAACTGGGTAGTCATCATAACAGAGTGAGAAACAAGACTGAGACAGAACCAAGTTAAAGGAACCAGGGAATGAAGAAAGAATAACCTGTTTCCCTCTCCTCTTTTAGTATGGCTCTATTCTTTAAATGCATTTTTTTTCCAGAAAATAAAAACCGTGCATGCTTTGATTTCCAATTATGTTTCTCAATTTAACCCCAGTACATTTGTAATCAGGAGGAAATCCTCACAGATTCTGGCTGCCAGGCTTGCTTTTTCATTTTGATAAGAGTTTTCGTATTCTGTGTTGTTAGTAGCTAAGTGGGAAGCAAGGAGAAATTACTTTGTCCAAGACAAAGATCATGAACATCACTGGAGAGGCTGACTTAGGTTTACTGGCTTTCATCTGAGATTCTGTGGGCCAATCAGGTTGGTTTTAAAGTGTAGTGTTGCAGGAGGGATGGGCCACTGGTCATTAATGTTTAAATACAAAATGGATAACACATATTCTACTGGCAGGCATCTGTCAGCTCTCCCCTGCCCATGTAAGTATCAGTGGAATTCAGGTCATAAGGGGTAAGAAGGAGGTAGCCAGGAATCCCTCTCACTATGCCCAGAATTTGAGGGTTTTATATCGTGGTGCCTCTACATATACAACTGTGACAGACACAGGCTGCAAAAACACTTTGACTCTTTGAGAATACATAGGGATTTAGGTTTCAGTTATATTCACAATTAAAGTATATGGGATTTACCAGGCTCCCGGTATATCAAAATTTACTACATTGTACTGATTTGCTGGCTGACAAGGAAAAGTCAATTTGCATGGCTCCTGTCAGTCACATGTGGTTTGGAAATGCTTATGCATTCCAGATACACAGTGTAAACTGGAGAATCATATCCTATTTCTCCTGGTTTGCATGCATGCATATGAAACTTGTTTTTCCCACAGTGCCACATGAGAAGAAGTGAAGAACTAGCGGCAGTAATTACAATTAATCAACTTCTTTGTTGAGACTTCACAGCTATGATTGTAAGGGGAATTCTTGTTCCTCATGTCTAGAAAGGCTGTAACTTCTACTTTTTTTTTTTCTTGTTCAGTTCTGTTCATGGAGCATTTAGAGATAAAGTCGGCAACTGTCATCCAAAACAGTTTCTCATACCTACTATGTGCTAGGCCTTCTGTAGATATTCAGAGATACTGAGCAGAATTATCCACTACAGGAAGCTCAGAGTTTAATGAGAAAGAACAACAAGTAAATAAATAGTTATCACCCAATGTGACAGCTGCTTTTGCAGAGTTTGCATTATGCAGTATGTCCTATGGGAACAGGGAGGAATCCGTTTGCCAAAACTTCACAGAAGGTGAATCTTGATGGTAGAGTATGAGTTGAAGTGAAGAAAGATTAGAAGGCAGTCACCAGAGTAGGAACTATGTGCAAAGCTCACCAAGAACACATGTTTCAGGGACCTGAAAGAAATGCTGTATGGCTTAAGGCCAGAGGTAGAGCCAGTAGAGAATATAATTTGAAAATATATGAGAGAGAGGCCATAATTCTAATAAATGTTATTTTAATAGTCTACATTCTTGTGTTAATATTTGGAGGCATTTGTTCACTAAGAAAGAAGACTTTAAAGTTGCAGATGAACTAGTTAACCTTATGACATTCATTACCCCTTACTGTTTCTCCCTTTCTAACACTTAGAACAATACCTGGCATGTAGTTAATGCTCAGTTAACATAAACTACTATTACTGGCCCCCAGAGATTCATGCCCCTATGCCAACCCCTCCCCTTGGGTATGGACTGAACTTACTGACTCATTTCTAATGAATAGAATATGCCAGAAGTAATGGACTATCACTTCCAATATTATGTTATAAAAAGACTGTGGCTTCCTTCTTGGGTAGTCTCTCACGTGTTCACCGTCTCTGGCTCTCTTTCTGTCTTGGATCACTGGCTGCCATGTCACAAAGACACTCAGATAGCTGCGGAGAGGCCTGCTTGGCAAGGAATTGAGCACTTCTATGTGAGCATGCTCACTGCCAGCACTTATGAGTGAGCTTGGATGTGGATCTTCTGAGGCCTGATAGTAGCCACAGGAGTGAGCTTGGAAGTGAATTCTCCAGCTCTGCTTGAGGTTTGAGTAACTACAGCCTTGGCCAACAGCCTGACTACAACCTCATAAGAGATCTTAAGCCAGAGATACCTGGCGAAGCTGTATCCAGATTCCTCACCCTCAGAAACTGTGAGATAATGTTTATGGTGTTCAGCCATTGACTTTTGGTATAATTTGCTATACAGCAATAGATAACTAACATAGTACACCAGTACTCTCTACTCCCATCCCTGTGAGGTCTGAGTATCTGGGATGCCTTGAATGAGCTTTGTGGCACCAGAATTTCTTTTTGGTGATGGAGCACTTCTTGGAACCCCAGCTTTTGTCACTAGGATCATAATCACCTAGTAACAAGTAAGCGATCTCACCTCCCTTGCTGAGGAATGAACCCTGTCACCTGTAGTCCCACTCAATTGATTAGACCATGCATAGAGTGATTCTAGCCCAAATGCAGAATAGATTATTGTGTTTGGGAGGCTCCTTCCCCTAACCTTGGGCACACCAACACTGTGAGTACAATCCCTCCAATAGCTGCTGCTGAGATGCTAGTGAACCTCATAGCCACATCTGTCTAGAGGATGACAATCACAGACATCCACAGAAAGACATATGTAGCTAATGCATTTCCTATTTCCACATATAATTCTAAATGATTATATGACACACCCTAGCAAGCAATTGTTAAACTTGCTATATACACTGTCCAGGTGGAAAGAAGTGGAAAAATATACATTGCTTAAGGAACATTGAGTTTTTGGCAGAGAATTTTTGGCAGTTTATATAACAATGTTGATTTGAAGTTGGTGGTTTTATATGTAAAAAAGATGTTAAGACCTTGTAAAGACATTAAATATTTACATAAAAATTATGGTCAGCTAAGGAAAGAAGAACAAAATATAAAACCCAAGTATGCCTTCCACAAATTATTCTTTGCTTGCTTCCTATGTCTTTTTAGTAGTTCCTAAATTCATTTTTCAGTTAGTGATTGAGCAAACACTCTATACATAACACTATGTAAATGTGAGCCAATCATTAGAGCCACAAGAAAAGGAAACAAAAGAAAGAAAGGGAAGTTTGTACCTCTGTCCCTGATGATTCTGCCCCTCGTCCTCTGAGATGCAGTTACTGGGAGCCGAAAGACCAATGCGGGAGGATGTCCTTAGAGCCACAGCTGAGATGCCGACCCGTGGGGATGAGAAATTCAGCAGCACTGAGGTGGTATGGTGGAAAAGGACATTCTGGTGATGGGTCACATTGATAATCAGTGGATTATGCTGGCATGACAGTCCATAGGTTCCTGAAGATAAACGGAGATGAATCATATTTTCAGCCATTGTTAGTACCATGTTTCCATATCTTGTATTCATTTTATCCTCTTAATAGGTGTATGATGCCAAAACCTAGATGTATGATGTAGGCAAGATCCCAGACAACATAAAAGACAGACATCAAGCTGACTTCTGGGTCTACCGGGTTGTCCTCTAGTGACCCTAAAGGGATATTTGTCAGACTCACCAAGAGAGTGGTTGCTTCCACGGACATCGGTCAGGTAGAGAGTCACTGTCGGCTGCTGATGCTCTCCGGGAACTAGGCCATCAGTTGTCAAAAAAATAAAAATTGCTCTGGCCTCTCCTGGTCTATTGAAACACACCTAAGCATAAGCACATTTATGTATAAGTCATTATTTCCATTGAGCTATCAAGACATGTGCTATACAATTTTTATTCTTCTTAGAGAGCTCACTATTTATAAAGTAAGAGCTTCCATTTTTTTTATAAATGCTAAAAATATGGAGTAGACACAGAAAGGTATTCAAGGTTGTATCAAACAACAAGATCAAATGGAAAGAAGATAATTTTCAGATGCTGAACATCCTATCTTTTTCTGAGACTGATACCTGAACTGTTTTTTTTTACTTGACCCTGTCTTTCTTTAAATTTCTGAAAACAATCATTTAAAGAAACCATTGCCAGAGACAATAAATGACTGCAGAGCCAGTGCAATAAATATCTCCTTATTGCCAAAGTGAAAACAGTGGAGAAGAATCATCAAACTAGCATCTTGCTCTAAATGGTTCCAAGTTCTGAACTGCCATGTCTAGTTATCTTTCCCCATCTTCCTATCTCTCCCCAAAATTTTTATCAGAACCTCTCACATAGCATGTGAACTCTGACATGGGAGATATGCTGTGGCAGAGTCTCTTGCTTCTGAAATTAGAATCTGCCAAACTGTTTATTCTTATGTGTCTTCCTGGTGCATCAAGCATGTATACCCAGTCCCCGGCCAGGAAAATAAGCCAACAATGGGACACAGGAAAATTCATGTATCACTCAGGAATGTCCCTAGATGGTTAGGGTGATTAACACTAAAACAGACTTTCAGAGTGAACTATGGAAGTGTTTTCCTTAGAAATCCTTTGATAGAAAAAAAAAGAAAAGAAAAAAAACATCTTAGAGAGTTTGGAAGATGAAGAGCAGATTCTTGCTACTGCTGAGACTCCAGTGTTCATCTTCCACACTGGACTTATTTGATATGGTAATTCTACTTTTGTTTTATTTCCCATAGCTGAATATTTCTCTTAATTTCCATTGAGAATAAATCTCAACTTTCCCTGGTGTTATATTGGTGTTGTATGATCAGAATCTGGAACTGAACCTTACAAAGTTCTACGTGCATTTCTATAGCTTTTTATCAGGTTCTAAGGGTGATGAAGCTCCAGGAAAATTGTTCCCAGTGTAAAAGCAGGGTACAACATCTAATGACAGGGCCTTCCTCTAAAAGTGGGGAGCAGGAGAGTAAAACATGTTTTCATTTTAACAAGAATTCTTCCTTGTCCACAGACTCATTTTTCCTGAGCCTTGGCAGTATGTTTATAGAGTTCATTTGCACTGCTGGCTTAATTAGGATGATTTTATGATTTTCAGTGGTCAAAGCAGCACGGCTCTCCCTTCTTTCTCTCCTTCTTTAAGGGAAAGACCAGTCACACTCTCTCTTTTTACAGTGTCTTTCCCCCCCTTTTTATTTCTCCTCTTTGAAGTAACAAATGTTTCTTCATAACTTAAGAAACAACCAGACCCAAGATTACACTTGCCATATGAAGTCCTTTGTCCCTGTCTGGATGAGGGCTAGACATGAAACACACCCTAAGGTAACCAAGAGCCCAATTCAATGCCCTCAGCTCCAGCAGCAAATGACATCAAAGCCCCCTGGGAATTTCCATAACCTCTTCCTTTTCATACACCACAAAAGAAACCTGAGTACTGGAAGAAAGTTCTGTGTCATTTTCTGAGCCAGGAACAGAATCCAAACAAATACCTGGTGGCTTTACCCCATTAGGACTCAGGCATGAAGAGTAGGGTGGCTTCAACAAGGAGGAAACCCAGCCTTCCCACCTTCTGTTGGATCCCAAAATAGATACCCACCTTAAGCTAGTTAATAAAGGTAGGCCTTATGGTGTGAGTGTCTACCTTTTGAACGTCGCTGCCTAAACCTCCAACCTATTTTTCATCTCCTAGCAATATGCCTCCTTGCTCCAAGGGTCTTTGAATATCAAATCACTTTGCCTGTTCCTGGTGGCAAGGTCTCTGTGCCATGATTTGTGGGAAGAAGTTATGCCAGGATTTCCAGGCCATGGCTTAAGTAGGAAAACCTCAGATGAAGCTTACAAAGGAGACACAGGCAGAGAGGAGTCTTAGGCTACACAAAGCAAACAGAGACAAGTGTTTGATCAAGTTATGGAATGCTGAGTCTTGGGCATTTCCTTTCACAGTGACACAGAAAGGTAGCCAAGTTTCATTCATTCGGACCCCACGTATGTTCACAACAGCAACTAGCACAAGAAAGTGTGAACCCTCATACAACTGCTGGATCTTCAAAAATAGAAACCAGCCTGAATCTGCATGTACATGTATAATAAATTCAAGCAGAGGCAAAAGGAACCCACTAAATTCACAGTTCTAGAGAGAGAGAGTAAGCCAGGCAGAAACCCTGAGTTCGATTCTTGGATTGTTCTTTATTTGCTGGTAAATCTGAGCAATATATCTCTCTTCTCTGAGCCTAGGGTTTCTCTTTTCTGCTACTAAGAAATAGAGATGTTACCGACAGCTTGACTATGGCTATTAAATGAAATCAGGTAAAAATACATAGAATGGTCACTATTATTTAGTAAGAATTCAGTGTTCGATAATTTGTATTTCCAAAAAAAAAATTAGTGTATTTACAATGTAGGAAAAAGGTAAAAAAAATAAAAATTTAAAACTAAACATATATTTGTATATTTTAATATAGAGGGAATTATGATTTTCTGAAATGTATAGCCTAAAAAATTTCATATATGCTATTTTCAGTTGATACTTGTAGAAATGTGAACTGGTATTCCAAGATCTGCTTCCATGGAAATGATCAATATTGTAGGCTCTTGGTACAGAATATATCTCTACTTTATAAATTGAGTCTATGAAAAATACATTATACTTTAAAATAAATATATAATTTTTCTTGCAGGCTTTTCAGAAATTTAGTTTAAAATGTATTTATTAAAAATCTACTTTTGCTGTACATAAGGACATAGAAACTTCTAGAATTGGCACTGCAATTTAGAAATCCTTTCAGATTATTCATTATTTAAATATATTTATTTTTAAGTTGCTCTTTCCACAACCAAGTAACAAATATATATGTATATATGTGACTTTAATTTAAATATAAATATATTTATATATTTTATAAGATATATATTTAAAAATATATAAATATACATTTTAACATACATAAAATATATATAAATATATATTTTTACATATACATTTGTGACTTGGCTGTGGAAAGAGCAACCTTAAAAATATATTTAAATGAGGAATACATACATATATATAGAGAGAGAATACATTTTATACAGGAATACAAGGAATTGTACAAAAGAAATACATTTTATATATATATAGAGTCCAGACTATTTTTGCTTTATTAGAGATAAATAATGAATTTATTCTCCTAGACATGAAAGACAAGCAGAAACATCAGGAAGACAGTTTGACAGTAGGAAGCTGTATGCCTGTGTCACTTTTGCCACTGCAAGTATGACACTCTTCTGATCACTCCAAATGCATGCTTGTGAACAGCTGTCCTCTTAATGACAAAGCTCTCCTAAAAGACCCCTTAGGAGCTACTCAGATCTGAGATGTGCATCATTGATGCCCCATAAGAAAAAATCAAAGTGCTGGAAAGTCAAAAGAATTATTAGCTATATCTAACATTTTACTATTCGTTTTAACAAAGAGTTTACTTTCATATATTACATGCACAATGTAAAATTAATTTAAGCATGTCTCTTGCAAGGAAGAAAAACTTTAGCTAGATATCAGGTAGGAGACAAGTACTGTTAGAAAAGCAAGTGATTCTCAGGTCTGAGAATTGGTATCATGATAGAGGGATTGCTAGTGAAATTAGCTTAGTGAATTCATTACAAAATATTTTGAAACAAAGAGAAAATGAACAAAGGATGGGTAGACAGATAGAGATAGACAGACAGATAGATGATAGATAGATAGATAGATAGATAGATAGATAGATAGATAGATAGATAGATAGATAGATAGATTCTGAGAGATGGGAAAGCCAGTCTCACACACTCAGTTGATTTTTCATCCAAAGGCTGCATGTTAACTACGCAATCTAACCATTGGCCACTGGTGAAGGGTAAGATTGAAAGAAAGTGTCTCTGATGTAGAACTGTTTGGGCTTAAGAAATCCCCCTTCAATCTGCCTGCTGGGCACAGACACACTCAATATGCTCCCAAGCCAAGCATTTCAACTTCCAGGTCATCCTTTGTGGCGCTCACTGGATAGCAGATCCTGAAACTCTACCACAAACTTGAAAAGAATCTTCTCTGAGGTTTTAAAATGCTTTTGGTTACTGGATTGTTGTTTTCTTCTGTGCCTTTTCATTTTCACTCATCTATGGCACTTCCTGATTCCACAGGGAAACAGAAGACCTTAGACCAGAAGAAAAGTAGGCAGGCATCACCTTCTTTTTGTATAGCACTTCACAGTTTGCCAAGCCTGATTACAGGCTTTGCTGGTGGGTCCACTGCGCTCATTGTGATTTTATTCCTTTTTGATATTTTTGAACAACAG
The DNA here is from genome assembly GCF_000001405.40 of Homo sapiens. Lineage (NCBI taxonomy): Eukaryota > Metazoa > Chordata > Mammalia > Primates > Hominidae > Homo > Homo sapiens. The sequence goes on along the minus strand of NC_000001.11, from coordinate 176,735,141 downwards.
TAGCCTCAAGATATAAAGGATATATTACATAAGAGGAAACTAGGATTCTGAAAGCTTAAGTGGCTTTCCCTAGGTAAATGCTAGAGAGGAAGGAACTTGGTTTTTCCCAATTTAAGCTCTGTATTATGTTGACTGAACCAATGTTCTTAGTTTGGGGTAAGCAGGAAATCATAGATTAGAAAACTTATTGATGTTTGTGCTTTTACTCCCCCCAGAAATAAAGTCACATAATCTCTTAGTCATAAAAGCTTTACACAATTTTAAGGGGGCTGACAGACACTTTTAAAAGCCATTCGTGGTCCAATTAGAGGTTGAGAGAAATCAGATTAAGAATGCTTGCACTATTGATTGAACCACATTACTTTTTTATAGGTGAAGAATTATCAAATATTGGCAATTTCTTCTGGTTCAACCTAATACTATTGCTATCTGTGTGGACTTCTGAAATTTTGTCGAGGAAGAGTTTAATAATCAAAGTTTCAAGGGATCTTACCTGAAATCCAAATCTAATGGATGAAGGGGGGATATAAGGCACTGAGCTGCCATGGTTGTCTCCATGATTGAGGATGTGGGTCAAAATGGGTAGGTGTGGTTGGAGCCTGTTTTTACTTTCTTCTGATGTTTGAGCCCCTGCCCACCTTTGTATGGCTAAAACCCAGCTGATTTCCTGAGTTATTCCTTCATAGTATAAGAAAGGCTACAAACACATCATGAGTTTGTGTGTGTGTGTGTGTGTGTGTGTGTGTGTTTCAGAAGGGTGAGATCAACTCATAATTTTTTGAAATGAAGGGGGAACCACTATAATCCCACCCGAACTAGGGGTAGACATTCAACAATGTATGATTTGTCAAGTCCATGGAAGGGGGTTAGATCAGAATCAGACGACTGGCTGAATTCTTTCTGAGAGCATGTCCTCAAACTGTGATTTTAGACACCAAGGCTAAGTCTGCAGAGATTCTGTGTTAGAAGAGCTTATAGAACTTGGAAGGAGTGTCAGAAAGAGACAAAGTCAAATTTGTATTGGATACTGTGATGTGTCAGCTGCATCCCCTCTTTCATGACTCTGGCATTCAGCTCATTGGAAAGAATCTTTCCAGAAACTGCCCTCAGAGGGGGGAAAAAACCTCTCTATACAAGGACATGCCATTTTCTTGGAGTGGGAGGTGGAGTGGACAGGCAATGTCCAATAACCTTTTGGTTGGGGTGAGTGGTATACAGAGTGGGACAACTCTGAAGGGCCATCCCAGCTCTCTGTGGGATGCTGACACCTGCCGGGGGCTGTTTCAGTTCTCCTTTGTCTGTTCAATGCTAGTTCTTTCACTCCTCCACAGATCTTGCTCTGAGTCAGGTTCTCAATAAACTATCTGCTGGCAAATCCTCCTCTCAGTCTGAATCCTGGAGAAACCCATTTAAGACAAAGCCTGACATTGAGAAAAGGTGTTATGGAACATAGCTGGAGATGATTCTTTCAGGAACAAGAATGCATAAGCAAAGAAAGGAATGAGAGCATTCCCCGGCTGGGTAGGATTCTATCGTGGATAAAAAAACATTGCTATCCCAATTATTCATGTGTCTGTGAAGTTGCCATGTCTGGGACTGGAAAAAGCTTTCATGTAAAAATCAATAAAAAGATTAGTAACAATGAAACAGGAAAGAGGGAAATGAGTGCTTTACCCTCAGAATAAACTATTGACCCACTGAGAATTGGAGCTCCTCTGTCAGCGCACTCAGTTAGTTTTTGATGGAAATGAGATTCACGTACACACAGTCATCTGTGCTTTTGCAGGATTCCCACAAAATGCAGGGATCCACATAGATTCATTTTCCAAACAACAGAAGATTTTCTTCTGAAGCACAAGATCATTTTAGAAATTTCAATCATGGATATAGAAATAACTTAAATGCACCTTAGACAATTTTCTGCCTCCTCAAGTAGAGAATCCTGAAATTCAGCAGTCCCTAACCTTTTTAGCTCAAGGAACCTATTTTATGGAAGACAGTATTTCCACAGATGGGGGTGGAGGGAATGGAGGAGGATGGTTTCAGGATGAAACTGTTCCATCTCAGATCATCAGGCATTAGATTCTCATAAGGAGCCCACAACCTAGATCCCTTGCATGTGCAGTTCACAATAGGGTTTGCTCTCCTATGAGCACCTAATGCCACCGATCTGACAAGAGGTGGAGCTCAGGGGGGCAATATTCTTTCACCCAATTCTCACCTCCTGCTGTGTGGCCAGGTTCCTAACAGGCTACGGACCAGTACTGCTCCATAGCCTGAGGGTTGGGTATCTCTGCTGTACTTAACTGAATTTTCACTTAATGAATTGGAGACAATTTTAAATCATTTTGAACATCAATTATCTTACTAAATGCTAAGGTAACAGTCTTCTGAAGCAGTGCTCCTCAAACCTTAATATGCATACAGATCACCTGAGGATCTTGTGAAAATGCAGATTATGAGTTCCTAGAGCTGAGATCCTGCATTTCTAACTAGATTTCTGGTGATGCCAATGTTTCTGCATGCCAACCACATTTTGAGTAACAAGACTTTAAAGCTATTAATAGATATAATTATCTTTGCCTTTAGCACTTAGTAGTCTAAGATTGTAATACTTTCATTCACCATATTTGCTTATTATCTTCTTTTATGAACTCACCATCAAGCTTAAACTTAAATGCAGATCCGAAAGAAATCATCCAATCCAAATGCATCATTTGAAACAAATTTGAATAGAAAACTAATGCCCAGAGAGGTAATATGATTTTTATAAGGTCACTTAACTGGTTAATGGTAAAAACAAGGCTTACATTACTGGTCTTCTGAGTGTATATTTTCTCCCAGTTTCTAAATCCCTACTAATTTGTTGCTCCTTTTATAAAACAGACTGCAAATTCAGATAACAAATACTGTTAGAATTCAATGTAAAGTCAACAGCTCTAACAAAGGATCTTGTCAACTTTCCTATAAACACAGTCAAATAATCCAAAGTAGTGATTGGACTTGGTGCCATCTGTACATGGGCTTTTTCTTTTTTTGCTAAATTATGAAATCTGGACAGTTTCCTGGGTGGTTGAAGTCATCTCTGAATAAGTGATTAGCATCTGACTAATTATATTTTTTAAATTATAAACTATTTTGCCAGATTTAGCCAAAACAAACCAAAACACAGTATGGGCACTTGAATTTGACTATCTGATAAACAATGAGGTTTAAATATGCCCAAATATTGCATGGAGATACCCATACTAAAGAAAAAAAATTCATTGTTTATCTAAAATTTAAATTGAAATGGTTGTTCTATTTTTTTCTGCAACCCAAAGTTGAAAAGATGTAAGAATGTACAATAAACTTGATTGTGGCAATCATTTCACAATGTGTATGCGTATATATATGTACGCATGTATATGTACACATATATGTGTGTATATATACACATATATGTACACATATATGTATATATACACATATATGTACACACACACATATGTATATATACACATATAAATATATCTCAAAGTATTACATTATGCCGGGCATGGTGGCTCACTTCTGTAATTCCAGCACTTTAGGAGGTTGAGGCTGGCAGATCATTTGAGGTCAGGAGTTTGAGACCAGTCTGGCCAACATGGTGAAACCCCGTCTCTACTGAAAATACAAAGAAAAGAAAAAAAATTAGCTGGGCATGGTGGGGCACACCTATAATCCCAGCTACTAGGGAGACTGAGAAAAGAGAATTGCTTGAACCCAGGAGATGGGGGTTGCAGCGAGCCAAGATTACACCACTGCACTCCAACCTGGGCAACAAAGTGAGACTCCGTCTCAAAATTATATATATTTACAGTGTACAACGTGTGTGTGTGTGTGTGGTTTTGTCAGTTATAAGAAAATAAAAAATGAAACACATCAACTTAAAAAATTCACAATAAGGAAAACAAAAATGAACAGAGAAAAGAAAGAAGTATAAGGAACACAAATTTAAAAAGGAAAAGAGCAATAGAGAAAAGGATCTTGTGGATGTTTATGTATAAAAACAAAAATAGAGATAAAATTGGTAAAAGTGGTAGACACTTTTTGGCCAGTGAATGATACTGGGCACACATTTTTACCTTGGACTGGCCCTTAATTCCTGAATAAATAAAGACTCACTATTTAAGTACTTCCTAATAAAATGTAGGGCCAAGAAAAGGAGAAAAAAATATCTAATAAAGACACAGCTGGCACAATAAAAGTTATTATGCCCTGAAAAATAAGTGCTAGAAACAAACAAAATGCTATTAAAAATCCAAGGTTTTAAAAAGAAATTATAAGAGCATTACAAAATACTTACGACTGAATGACAATAAAATCCTTATATGTCACAATTTATGGGGCACAATTAAAGTAGTACTTAGAGGGGAAAATTATGGAACACCTAAAACAAATTAGCCAAACATTTCAACACCAAAACCTAGAAAAAGAACATCAGTGTAAATCCAGACAAACAAAAAGCCAGGAAATAATGAAGATAAGAGTAGAAATCAACGAAATACAAAAAAAAAACAAAAAACAAAAACGAGAACAAAACGAGAGATGAATGAAAGTAAAAGTTGTACTTTGAAGACACTGATAAGCCAGACAAACCCCATGCATGCGTAATCAAGAAAAAGAGAAAAAGAAGGTTCAAAAATATACACAAGAAAGGATGTAACAACTACAGCTAAAATAGAGTTGAAATATAATAAAAACACATTATGAACAAATATCAGCACTAAATTTGCATATATGGAAGAAATTAATAAATTTCTGGAAATAACAAAAAATTCAAAATTGGAAAAAATAGAAAAAAATAAGACATTAATAAAAATCAAATAAATTTAAGTGACAGTCATAAGTATTCTCTCAGTTAAGCCCCATACCAGTTGGTTTTACAGGTAGGCTCTGCCAAATTTTGAAGAAACAGATCATCCTTATTTTATACAAGTGGCTCCAGAAAATAAAAAAAGAAAATTGTACAAGCAATTATATGAGGCTTCTATAATTGGAATATTCAAAAAATGAATATATAAAATAATTCTACATGCAAAAGTCAAAAATAAAAGATTACCCAATAAAATCCAACAATACGTTTAAAATATACAATAAGTATGTAGTCTTGCTTCACGAAGGCAAAAATGATTTGACAACTAAAAAGAAAAATCTACCAAGGCTATTTAACATAATTATGAATCAAAGGAGAAAAATCACAAGTTCATATCAATTAATACAAATCAAGGGGTTAATTAAGTTCAGACCATATGTACAAGTATGTTTTTCAAGAGGCAGAAAAAATGACTTAAGGCTTGTTCTAAAATTTCAAATCTAAAATTGGCTGGTTTTAATATTTTTTCTCAACAAGGAGTATAGGTAGCAAGTTCTTGAATTTTGTGTGTGTGTTTAATAATGACTTCTTGGCCATGCACAATGGCACACAAATAACGAGTAAGTGTTCATGAATAATGAATAGTTCATTCAATTTTGAATTTGTCTGCTCTTGCTTCTCTAGTTCTTCTAATTGCGATGTTAGGGTGTCGATTTTAGATCTTTTCTGCTTTCTCTTGTGGGCATTTAGTGCTATAAATTTCCCTCTACACACTGCTTTAAATGTGTCCCAGAGATTCTGGTACATTGTGTCTTCATTCTCATTGGTTTCAAAGCTAATTCAGTTTTGAAAAAGACGTATAAGGAAGTGGGAGAGGGGACATGTCCTGCTAGCTATGTTTATATGGTTAAAGCTATAGTAATAAAAACAGTGTATTGCTGGTAAAGGAAACAGATGAAAAGACCAATGGAATATAAAAGAGAGTTAAAAATTAGAATCACGTAATGTCTAGAACTTGGTTATAATCAACTCGAGACTACAATCATTAGGACAAGGGTGGATGCTTTAACAGACGATATTAGAAAAATTGGATTATACATGTATTTAAAAGTAGATCCCTGTCTTATTCTGTATACAAAAACAAATGTTGAATATATTAAAGGCTAAAGTTTGACAGGCAAAAGTATAAAACTAATTTAAAAACGAAAAGGTATCTTTGCAATCTTAGCAAAAACTAATAATTAAAGAGAAAAAAACCTAAATGCTTGATAATTATTATGTAAAGGATGCTATACCCCATTAATAATTAGAAAAATGAAAAACATAACAAAAGTAAGATACCACATTTTTCCCATCATCTTAATTAAATAGAGATAATTGGGTAATATCGGGTTTGGGCAACAATATGTGGAAATGATGTACTAGTCTCATTGCCTTTAAAGTATTATGTTTAAGGTTAAGTCTACATTTATGTATATATGTTTGGGCATACTTCTGAACTTCCCTGTTCCATTAATCTGTTTATTTATATATAGCACCTTGATGTGTTAATGACTATAATTTTATGATGTATTTTAATATCTGATAAGGCCAGGCCTCCATTACTCATCTTTTTCAGAATCTCCACACACAAAAAAATTAAAATCAACTGTATAATTCTTTTGAATATCTTGTTTGGATTTTATTGGGATTATGGGAAATTTAAAATTTAGGGAGAATCAGCATTCGTATGATATTGAGTCTTTCTATACAGGACCAGTTTGTGCCTCTTCATTTATTCAAGCCCTCATGGTATCTCTCAGTAGCATTTCTTCATAGAGATATTTCAAATTTCTTTTTAGTTTTATTTCTAGTTATTTTACCATTTTTATTGCTACTGAGATACTTTCATTTTTGTTGGTGATTGTTTAAATTAGTCAGCACATTTATTTTCACCTTAATTTTGTATTAAACTGTGATACTAAGTGAAATAATTTTCAGGTTGTTCTCTTTTCAATGCTAACTAAAATTTTACTTCCTTCTTTCATATTTTATGTTTAACTTCTTTTATATCTCATAAAGTATAAAATCAAAAGTCTAACTGCACTGGCTTCTATTTCCAGAGAAAGTAAAATAATAGTAATGATATTGAAGTTTTTCTATTTTACTAATTTCTGCTCTTTGTGATTTTCCTTTTTATTTTAATTGATTTTAATTTGATCTTTTTCTACTTATTTAAGGTAGAAACTCTGATTGTTGATCTTATTTTGATTCTTTCCTAAATATAGGCATTTTAAATGCTATAAATTTCCCTGTAAGTACTTTTTTTAATTGCATCCACAAATTTCAATTTTGTTTCATTATAATTCAGCTCAAAATATTTTCTAATTTCCTCCATACAATCTTCTTTGGCCTGTGAATTATTTAGCCATGTATTGCTTAATTTGGGAATGACCTAGATATCTTGCTACTAATTTGTCTGTATGCTTCAAACATTACAAATTCATTGAGACTTGTTTTATGGTCTAGTATATGGTCTGTCTTGGTGAAGTACCATGAGCATTCTACAGTTGTTTTGAGTGTAGTGTTTCTACAAATGTGAGTTAGGTCATGATATTTGATAATGATCTTCAAATCTTATATATCTGTTTTGATTTTTTGGCCTACTTATTAAATGAATTACTAACAGATAGGTGAAAAAAATCCCCAACTATGATTATAAATTTGGCTGTTTGCTCATTAGTTCTGTCAATTTATAATTCATTTCTTTTGAGCCTCTGTTCTTAAGTGCTTCAATTTATAACAAGATTATTATGTCTATTTTAGAAATTAACCTATTTATCATTATGAAATATGCTCCTTTATCTCTGGTAACACACTGTATTGAAATCTATTTTGTCAGATATTAACATGGCACATCAACTTTCTTATGTTTAGGATATACATGGTACATAATTTTTCACCCTTTTGTTTGATGTACATGTCTTTTTATTTGAAGTGTGTTTTTCATAAACAGTTTTGTAACTGGTTCTTTTTATATGACAATTTCTGCCTTTTGCATGGAGTTTTTAGATAATTTAAATAATGTAATTAATGATATAGGTGGGTTTAAGTCTACCATCTTGGTATTTATTTTCTGTTGTTTCCAACAATTATTCATTTCTTAGTTCCTCTTTTCCTGCCTTCTTTGAATCCATTTATTTTATTATTCCATTAATCTTCTCTTTGACTTTTCCTCTACAGTTATTTGTGCATATGTGTATTTTTATTCTAGAGATTACAATATGCATCTCTAGCTTATTGCAATCTACTTCCAAAAAATATTACTATCTCATGAATAATGTTAGGACCTTACAGAAGTACTACTCTACTTTGAACCGCCTTGTCCTTTGTGGTCATATATATTATTTCTCCACAGAAGGAGTCAGCTGAGTCTAACATTAAGGCTGCTCAACTTCCTTTTTTACCCACTTACGCTTCTTTCCATTCTCGCTCACAGATGGTGATCCCTAGACCACTCCTTAGTAAATGGCCTGTATACCAAATTCCATCTCAGAATATGTATTTCCTAGAGAATCCAAATCCAACCTGCCACAAACAAAGATAATCACAAATTCTCCTCATCCTTGAAAAATTCCCTTTGATGTGATTTCCACTCGAACTGCAGCCCATCTTTTAAAAGGCTTTTCAAGAAGAGGTGGTTTGCCACTATTTCTGGCCTCAGAAGAAATGGTAGTGGCCATTCTCTTTTCAGTCTAGACCAGTGTACAGTCCTACTTATTTACCTCTATTCTGTGTCATAAAAGATATTATCAATATGCTCCCCATTGCCAAGGCTAAGACTTAATATCTCGTCATTTATTCATGCATTCACCAGTTTTGAACACTACAATAAGCAGGCTCTGCACTCAGTGTTGAACATACAATCTTGACTACACATGGCCTCTGTCCCGAGATCCTTACAGTTCACAGGATGAAGAGATAGGTAAACAAGAACAGTGGAGTATACAGGGACTTTGAGAGAAGTGTGTATCAAGGATGAAGTGATCAATTATACCACCTGGGGCTCAGGAGAAGAGTTTAGAAAGGGTTAGGTTCTATAATAGAAATAATCCTTGAGCTAAATGACAGAAGTAGAAGGTAAGTTTGTATTTCTTGGGGAGACATAATGAGTAAATCATTTACAGAGAAGGAAAAAAATATAAGTTTCCCACCAGGAATGTTATAGAGAAGTGAAAACTCTGGCCGGGCGCGGTGGCTCACGCCTGTAATCCCAGCACTTTGGGAGGCCGAGGCGGGCGGATCACGAGGTCAGGAAATCGAGACCATCCTGGCTAACACGGTGAAACTCCGTCTCTACTAAAAATACAAAACAATTAGCCAGGCGTGATGGCGGGCACCTGTAGTCCCAGCTACTAGGGAGAGTGAGGCGGGAGAACGTGTGAACCCGGGAGGCGGAGCTTGCAGTGAGCCGAGATTGTGCCACTGCACTCCAGCCTGGGCGACAGAGCGAGACTCCGTCTCAAAAAAAAGAAAAGAAAACTCTGACATATTTCAGCACTAAAATAAATCTGTTATGATTAAAATGACTAAACCCGTGAGTGTGTGTGTGCGCGCGCGTGCGTGTGTGTGTAACCGGGTGTGGAAGATGTGATAAATGAAATAATTCAGCCTGAGATAATGCTTATCTCTATCTCCTTATGTCCAATCAGTTACCAGGTTCTTTCAAGTCTATTTTTCACTTTACTGTATCTGTAGCACATGACTTACAACTTTGTGTCTTCTATCATATTTTTGTAAACATGCCCACTGCTATGTATGTACCTTAAGGGTGAAGATGGTAATTCATTCATCTTTGGATCCCTCCATATCACAATATATTGTTCATATGAGGCATTGTTTACTAAGTAGAATTAAAAGTGAATGTTGTCATGGTGTGGAAATAAAGCAAACACTAGTAAATATCTTTAATATTTACTGGAAACATGATATAGAATAGATATTAGCACACTATTGTCCACAAGCCAAATCTGACCCACTGCCTGTTTTTGTACAGCCTGTGAGCTAAGAAGAGTTTTTGCATTTTTGAATGGTTAAAAAAACTTTAAACATGAATAATATGAAAATTATATGAAATTCAAACTTCCGAGTTCATAAATATAATTTCGTTGAGATATAGTTATGCTTGTTCATTTACATATTGACTATGGCTATGTTCATGCTAACGGAAGTAGTAGTTAAGTAGTTGTGACACAGACTGAATGGCCCATAAACCCTAAAGTAGTTTTTTAATCTGCTTTCTTTATAGAAAATGTTTCCAAAACCCTGGTGTAGAGAGAAAGGACCATGAGTTTTTCCATAAACTGGATTTCAATTTTAATCCTATCTGTAGCTCTACTAGCCAGTGCTTAACATCTCTGAATTTTAAGATAATCATTTTTAGAATGAGAAAAATCATATCTCTAGTAAGAATTTGTATGAGAATTAATAATAAAATATCAGTAATAGAATAAATTTCAATCAATGCGTTTCTTCTTCTTTGACGCCTGGTGTTAGGGATTTTCATCTTTGAAATCCAATCAATTAAACATGTATTGCGTTTTCTGTTGAAGATTCACAGTCAGTGTTTGGAGAGTCGAACCCAAACAAAGGAAGAGAGGAAATTATGGTTAATAGGCTTTGGGCTTTATGTAGCAAGGGTTTCCAGGCAGTGGTCTGTAATTTATAACTGATGTGGAAGACACTGTGAGCATGTGGTGGTTGCTGTTGGGATTGCTAACCAGTCCAGCCTGAACGAGACCATTCCAAATTGCAGACATTTTAGAGGAGCCACGAAAATAAACATGAACATATGATTTTGCATATGTTGACGGGCTCCCTATGAAACCAAACAAGTACTTATTGAGTATCTGCTTCTCAAATTGCTTCATTTGTTGTCTATATTACTTAGATACAAAGGACTTTCTGGGAAGAATTATGCCTTCTGTTTCTTTCTCAATCCCCCAATGACACCAAGAGTTGACAATAAGTATTTAATAAATCCTGTGAACTAGATTAATAGATACACAGTCTTTCAAGAATTTAGAAGAAACACAGCAAAAGAAGATAAGGAAGCCTTTCCTCACAATCCAACATATGTTTTAATTTGTTTGCTTGCTCGTGCTATGTTTCTGTCTGTCACCAGTGCTTAATTCTGGTTTTGGCATATTATAGGTGCTTAGTGAATGCTAATTGAAGGAGGCAACATAGTATAGATGGATAAACATGGGATTAGAATCAAGAGGCATAAATGTGAGCGTCAGATTTATTATTTTATTCTTGAGTGATGTAGAAAAAGCACTTTGAGTCTTTGATTCTTATTTTACTCACCTGTAAAATTGGAAAACACCTACCTTGCCAAACTCACAAGGCTATAGTAGGGATCAAATGCAAATAGTGCATGAGAATGTACTTTGTAAACCATAAATGGCTATAAAATGTGCTTATTATGTAAATAATAAAAAAGACTCTACATTTTATTATATTTAAGAAAATTCTTACACTTTTGCTCTATTGGCTCAAGATTAGAAGAAAAGAAAAACTAAGAGTATTATTTCAGTAAATGTAGACTAAAATGATAGAATTTTTTTTGGGCAAGTAAGATTTTAGTCAATGAAAGATTTTTGGGAAGATATTTTCAAGACTAATGTTTGCCACTATCATTGTTTCTCACTTGCAGTAAATTTGTCTCTGAATTACTGCATACTAATCATATTTGTGTATCAAATCAAGATTAAAGTGTACTGAAAGGAAGAATAAAGAGTCAGAAATCCTATATTTCTCTGAAAGGTTTAAAAAAAAAAACCTAACCACCTTATCTTTAAAAATCACTTTCTAAATTATTTGGTGTTGTATTGATTTGTGAAGACTACATTTTCTTAACAGGTCTTATATATTAACTGAACTTTCAATTATATTAATAATTTTTTCTAATACAAAGACTATTACTCCTGGATGAGTTTTAGTATGAACTGGGTATGCTATAGCTTAAATGTAGTCCACAAAAGTTCATGTCTTGGAATTTTGCTTGCACTGTGCAAGAGACAGAGCCTTTCAAAGGCAATTGGGTCATGAGGACTCTGCTGTCATGAACAGATTAATGCCATTATCATGGGAGTAGTTCAGTTATCATAGGAGTGGCTTTTATATAAAAGTGAGCTCTGTCTCACATGCTCTCTTTTGCCCTACTACCCTGGTACCATGTTTTGATGCAGCAAGAAGGCTTTCACCCGATGTTGAGCAGATGCCAGCACCATGCTCTTAGACTTCTTAGTCTCCAGAACTATGAGCCAAACAAACTTATTTTCTTTATAAACTAACCAGTCTGTGGTATTCTGTTATACCATCAGAAGGCAGACTAAAACACGGTACACACCTGAAATGTAAGATGTAGCTAACTGACATATATTAAAGTAATTCCAGCTGGAGATTTCTATTTTCAGCTATTATAGAGTAGCGTGTAATACAACAAACTGTCCTGGCAAGAACAATCATAAAACATGAATTAAGTATACAAAAAAGTTTAAAAGCATTTGAGAGCAACCAAGTAGTCAGGACTTAAAAGTCTAATAATAATATAAAAAAGAACACATTGAAGGGAAACTAATATTCTGTGCTACTTTAGCCTTTGAGGTATTCTTCAAATCCTAAGCAATGCAAAATAACGGTATAAAAAGCCAAATAGAAATTGGCAATAGAGAGTCCAAAAAACTAAGAAGAGTTTTTAGCAGACACACTGCTGATGAAATAGAAATTGTACTTCAAAGACTGTCAATGTGGAGGTCCTAATCCAAGCTTTTAGTTGAGACCCCTGAAGAGCCAGGCCTTAGAAGAAAGAAAAAACTAAAAAAAAAAAAAAAAAAAAGGAAATGTATAAAGGCTCACAAAGCACAAGCTATCTTAATTACTTATTGAATTAAAGTGATCTTTCCCAAATCTTACCAAATGTCCAAAAAAAAAAAATCTTGAAAGGAAGATATTAGCCAGAGCCTCTACAATTTATTGTGTTTGATATTCACTTAAAACATTATCAGTATAATAGTAGAAATGCCCAAATAAATACGATGTTTTAAAGTCAACCTAAACAGACCCCTCCATCAAGATATTGGTGTTATCAGATGCAGACTTAAAAATGATTGTGATTAATATGTTTTTAAATAGACTGTAAGATGAAGAATTTCACAAAGAATATATAGGAAAAATTGAATAGGCATTCTAAAGTTAAAAATACAATAACAAAACTAAGGACTTAATAAATAGTTTAACTGCTGATTATATTGAGCAAAATTTGGGATTATTGAAACAGAAGATAGCTCAGTGTAAAATAATCAGACGACAGCATGAAAAAGAAGGGAATAACAAACAGAAGAACAGAAAAGTTAAAAAGATACACAAAAAAAGGTGTAATGTATGTATATTTGGCAACCAAGAAAAAAAAAAGTAAATGAGCAGAAGGAATACCTGAAAAAAATTTTTTTGAAACTAAGACACTAAGCCACAGATTGGAGAAGCTTGACAAACCAGACATATGCAAAGACAGGTAGGCCTTGGAACATCATAGAAAGACTGTTGAAGACAAAAGACAGAGAGAATATATTAAAAGCACCAGGGAATAAAAGACATGGCCTTCAAAGAAATATATATCAGATGTACAGCTAACTCTCCAAAATATGGAAGTGAAAAGATAACGGGATAACATCTTCCAAAGGATAAAAGAAAACAACTGGCTACCTAGAATTTTGTACCAAAGATATCATTTGAAAATGAATGCCAAATGAAAATATTTTAGCCACACAAAAACTGAAAGAACTCATTGCCAGCAGGCCCACATTAAGAGAAATAATAAAAGTGAATTTCCTCAAGCTAAACAAAAATAGTGGAAGCATAGAAATGTAGAAAGGATTAAAGAGCACTGGAGAGGGTAAATATTAGGGAATTTAAATTCATTTTACTTTAAAAATGCAGAGAGCAATAAATGCAGGAAAAGCATTCTAAGGTATCTTATTCATTATAAAATTGTGAGAGTATTAATTTATACCAGACTCTCAACAAGTTAGAATGCGTATTGCAACCTCAAGACTAACCACTTAGAAAATAAAAGTATAGCTCACTGTGATGGTAAATTTTAAATATCAACTTGACTGGGTTGAGGGATGCCTTGATGGCTGGTAAAGCATTATTTCTGGGTGTGTTTGTATGGTGTTTCTGGAGGAGACTGTCATGTGAGTCAGCAGACTGAGAGAGGAAGATCCACCCTCAGTGTGGATGAGTGCCATCTAATCAGCTGGGAGCCCAGATGGAACAAACAGGTGAAAGAAGGGGAGACTTTTCTTTCTTCCTCTTCCAGAGCAGGAAACTCTTTCTCTTTCCCCTTGGGCATCAGAACTCTGGGTTCTTAAGCCTTTGGACTCTGGGACTTGTACCAGCAGCTTCTTGGGGGCTCCTGAGCCTTTGGCCTCAGACAGAATTATGCCATTGGCTTCCTTGGTTCTGAGGCTTTTGGACTTGGACTGAGTCATGCTACCAGCATCCCAGGTCTCCCGCTTGCCGAGGGCCTATCATGAGACTTAATTGTGTGAACCAATTGCCCTCCCTAATTGTGTGAGCCATTCCCCTGATGAATACCCTCTTATTATCTATTTATATGTAGATACATCCTATTGTTTCTCTCTGGAGAACCCTAATACACTAACAAACTAATAGAATGAGAAATCACATAATCAAACTACATATTTAAAAAAAAGCAAGAAAGAGACAAATAAAGAGCATATAGAACAAATGAATAAGAAACGGTAAGTTGGTAAGTTTAAAACTGAACATTCTTAATTACATTAAACGTAATTGTACTAAGTTCTCCAACTAGAAAACAGAGAATTTTATATTGCACATATATATATAATATGTTGATAACAAACTAAGCATATTAAATATGATTACAAAGAAAAGTTAAAAGTAATAGGATGAAAGAAGACACAATACACAAATATAAAATGTTATTCAGTATAGGTATGGCTACAATAAGGTTATGGTAAAGCAAGAAGTATTGCTAGAGGGCTTTTAAAGTTAGTTTTAAAAGAGATAATTCACCTAAAAGATACAAAAATTCTAAAATTATATACTGACAGTTTCCAGTTTACACAGTTCCCATATGGATGAATATCGGTTATAACAATTTAGCTAACTAAAACCAGTCTCCCAAGAACACGATTCATATTTCAGTTTGCACAATATATTAATTTTAACTATATAAAGTACCAACTTCATTACTGGTCCTTCAATCCAAAAATCACCATGTGAATAACAAATGTGAATAATGATGGGTGACCAATCACATCATTTCGTTCAAAGTCTGTCACTGACTGGTCACTGGGTATCTGTTATTTCATTCACACAGAAACTAAAAAGTGTATACTTACGTTACCATTTTGTCTCCTAGTGATAAATGACACTTTACAGAAATGGATAATCAAAAGAGGGAATTGGCTAAAAAGGATGAACACGTAGCAAATAAATGAAAAATGATAATACTGGGAAGTGAAATTTGAATCAAAGATAAATGGAGTTATAAAAGAAATAGCTGGCTCTGGGAATGTTGACTCTACTGCCATTCAAGAGACTCTGGGAACACAGCCAGAGAAAGTCAGTGAAAGTGAAATTATCGATATAAATGAAAAAATAAGTTGTGACAAAAAGGAAGAAGCTGTCCCAGAAGTGATGTCAAGAAAAAAACTTACGTTAAAGGAACTCTCAGAGATATTTCATAACATTGAAAGTGCAAAGGATAAAATGCTGGAAGTGGATTCAAACTTCACAGGAAACACGACAATTCATCAACACACAGAAGAACTGCTTGCTTTGTAATGTAAGTCATATAATGAGGAAAAGGCAAACAATGTTTAAAGTATTCTTCGTAAGTTTTGTTTTTTGTTTTTTCACAAAAAAGGAAACACTTTATTTCTTCATGTTTCTGTTTCAAATTCCAGTGAACTAAATATTAGTTTCACTAGTTTTTTCCATTTTCTACATACTTATAACTAAAAATAAGAGAGCATTTAATGTTGCAAAAAAAAAAAATCTTTTAGATATCACGAAGCAATTGTAATTTTTCCCATTGATTATTAAGGTTGCAGGTTTCAACTTGCATAGTTATTTTGTGGTTTCACACTACCAGGCTAAGTAAAGACTGCCTTCACATTTAATAAGATAGCCTCTAAATGTCTCAAAAATGACAAAACTAAAAGAGAAACATACAAATCCAAGATTTTTTTGGAGGAATATAATACATGTCTCTCAGTACCCGATGGAAACAGTACACACAATATTGGGAAAAACCAATATATACAAAGTATATATAGTATAGGAAATTTCAACAACACAATGGACAAACATGACATTTTAAATATATGGAATGCTTTATCCAACAATTGCAGACCACACATTCCTTTCAAAGTACATGTAATACTTACCAATATTGACCATAGACTGATCCATAATTCAAGGCTCAACAAATTTCAAAGAATTGAAATATAGAATATACTTTTGACCACAGAAGACTCTAGCTATGTTTTTTTTTTTTAAAAAAAAAAGTTACCCCAAATCCACATATGTTTTCAAGTTAAACAGCACACTTATAAATAACTCAGGAGTAAAAAAAGAAATCACAATGAAAACAAGAAAATTGGTTTGAATTGAATGGTAACAGAAATAAGATGTGAAAACTTATGAAATGTAGCTAAAGTCATGTTTAAAAGGAAATTTATGGCCTTAATGTATAAAATTTAAAAACAGAGAGGACAAAAAGCAATTACCTATGCATCACCTCAAGTTACTAGAAAAAGAACAAGTTAATGCAAACATAAAGGAATTAATGAAAAATAAGATCATATATATCTTCAGTTGGTCATATAAAAAGATTAATAAAAGGTTAATGAAAATGATAACCCTCTAGCAAGACTGAGCAGTAAAAATAAAAGAGACAAGCCACAAATTAACAATAGCATGAGTGAAAAATATCCTTATTCTGTAGAAACATGACAAAGAAAATAGCAGAATATTATGAAAAACTTAATGTGATATTTTAGATTTTTTTAAGGGACAAATTATTTGAAAAACCCAACTTATTAAAATTGACTTAAGATAGGTAGAAAACCTAAATTTCTCTACATTTGTTTTAAAATTTTAATCCATAATTGTATTTTTTTCCTCAAAGAAAACACCAGGCTCAGATAGTTTCACTGATGAATTCTCAAAAAATTAACACTAACCTTACACAAAATATTCCATAGAGCTGAGAACTGGAGCAAAAAGAAACTTATTTAAGAAACTTATTTATTTAGCTTTGATCATAAAACCTGACAAGACAGTAAAATAAAGAAAGTTAGGGCCAAACTCTAATGAATGTAGATGAAAAACCAACAACATATTCTCAAATAGAATTCAAAGCTCTGTGATTGGCTGTTGGTTTTCCAAATATCTTATGTTAGTTTAACATTAAAAAAATGTTTAATGTGAGTTAATATAGTAACAGAACAAAGAGAGAAAAAATATCATCTCAATAGATGCAGAAAAAGCATTAGATAAAATTCAACTCCACTTTCTCAGAAAACTGATGCAGGGCAGGCAAGCCCCCAAACTGGGGCTTAGCCAAGGAGAGGTTTTGGCTTTGCCCAGGAAAGAACTTGAAGGTGAGCCAGTGGTGTTAGACAGCAGCTTTTATGAAGAGGCAGCAGAGGTACCGCTACTCTCATAGCAAGGCTACCCCATAGACAGTGAGCTCAGAGTAGCAGCCTAGGAGCTTTTGGCAGTCATATTTATACCCACTTTTAATTATATGCTAATTAAGAGATGGCTATTCAGAACTTTCTGGAAAAGGGGCAAGGAGTTTTCGGAACTATATAGGGTAACTTTTGGGTCATTGCCATAGCATGCTGCCATGGCATTTATAAACTGCCATGGTGCTGCTGGAAGTGTCTTTATGCTAATGAGCAGTTAGGGCAACTAGAGGTCACTTTTATTGCCATCTGCTGGTTTTGGCTGGCTTCTTCACTGTAGGCTGTTTCAACCAGATCCTGCTCTGATTAGCAGGGCCCTAACCAATGCTTACAAAACAAGTCCTACTGATCTTCTACCTTAACCCCCTCTCAGATATTAGATACTCCTCCTTAATCCTCAGGGGGCTGCAGAAGGGTGGAGGTCTATCTTCTCTGAGTGCTTTCTGCTAATTTTACTTTGCTTTCTGCCTAGCACTGGGGGAATAAAAATCTTTGGACAGCTGGCCTAAGGGGCCTAAAGGGAGGGTGTTTTCATTTTTTGAGTCAGAAGAGGGGATGGGTTGAAAGCCTTGTGCTGCTAACATTTTTATATGGAATTGTTGTGGCCGGGCGCAGTGTCTCACACCTGTAATCCCAGCACTTTGGGAGGCCGAGATGGGCGGATCACGAGGTCAGGAGATCGAGACCATCCTGGCTAACACGGTGAAACCCCGTCTCTACTAAAAATACAAAAAATTAGCCGGGCATGGTGGCGGGTGCCTGTAGTCCCAGCTACTCGGGAGGCTGAGGCAGGAGAATGGCGTGAACCTGGGAAGCGGAGTTTCCAGTGAGCCAAGATTGTGCCACTGCACTCCAGCCTGGGTGACAGAGCAAGACTCCATCTCAAAAAACAAAAAAAAAAAAAAAAAAAAGAAGGAAGGAATTGTTGTAATCTAGAAGACACAAACTTTCTTAAGAGGTTCGATTAAGGCTGGGCGCAGTGGCTCATGCCTGTTATCCCAGCACTTTGGGAGGCTGAGGCAGGAGGATCACCTGAGGTCAGGAGTTTGAGACCAGCCTGACTAATGTGGTGAAACCCCATCTCTACTAAAAATACAAAAATTAGCCGGGCATAATGGCGGGCACCTGTAATTCCAGCTACTTGGGAGGCTGAGGCAGGAGAATCGCTTGAACCCGAGAGGCAGAGGTTGCAGTGAGCCAAGATCGCGCCATTGCACTCCAGCCCAGGTGACAGGGCGAGAGCAAGATTCCGTCTCAAACAAAAGAAAAAAAAAAAAAAAAAGAAAGAGGTTAAATTGGCAAAGGACAAAAATTAGTAATAACAGAAAGCTATTATTAGCTTTTACAGTAAAAGTCCTAGGAGAGGTAAGAACCAGGTAAGACTTGGGAGAACATTTTTGATAGTCAACCAAATACAGTTGGGGCCAGTACCCTCATTGTATTTGTGTTATCGGGTAGTTTGTTCATAGATTTTTTGAAGGTTAACCTCAACCTGTTTGAAGTTATTAATATTAATTAATTAATATATTAATATTAATATATGTATAGCATATTTTATTAATAACTGCATAGACTTGCCTTGTTTAGCTACTAAATAATCCAGCACTAGTTTGTTATCAAGTATTATATTTGCCCAAGAGTCTAGGAATTTTTGAATTCCCTTTAATGCCTAATCTGTGTTGGTGGCTAATGATTGTAGGGTTTGAGTCAAGCATTTTAGGGCTAACTCATGGTAGGCCAAGCCATCCCAGGGGTCTGCTAGTCTTATTACTGCCCCAATTCCTGCCAGAATCAACGTCATTGCTCATTTATTTCTGGTATTCCTGGGTCTTAAGGGGTTATAGACGGTGATCCCCACAGGGGTAAGGGTGGCCAATGTATGTTCACCCATTTCACCTTTTTGATAAATTAGGGAAAGCTATGCCTGAAAGAACACGTGGCTCCCCAGGAAGTCGGGAATGGTTATGAGATATGACTGTTTCCCACTCATGACCACAAACAGAAACGAGCCCAGTTGGGGCACAGAGGCCCCACAAGGTGTGATGTCTACCCTTTGCAGCCACATTGGGTCTGTAGAGATATTTCTCCCCTGCTCCAGTGGGGGTGGTCAAACTCTCCTTGTTCTTTAGAAGGGGGCTGTGCTTCCACCTTCCCCAGTTAGGCAGTTGCTTTTCCCCTGTGTGTTTTGATTCAGGAGAAGGCCTATAAACAGATTTTTCGAACACAAGTGGAATCCCATTTACCTTGCTGCGACCTTGGGAACTTGGCAACTAGAGTTAGATTAGAGCATTGAAGGGAAACTTTTGTTTTTGTGTCATTAACACAACAGTGGGTACTAAAGATAGAATTATTAGTGCACTGGAGGTAAAGATAGCCAACTTTCCAGGTCTAGGTCATAGTGGCAGGGGGTTTAGGTGGAATCCATTAAGTGAGGCAGAGTTTCACCTAACAAGTAGGGGTCTGGGTACTTTGAGATTGCAGTGATTAGTCAGGAGGTCTGGGGAGATGGCCATGAGATTTTTCTGGATAGGCCAGAAGGTGGAATTTGCTATTCTGGAAATGTTGATGACAAATTTAGTAATCACAAAGATGATTCCCTGACGCTATAATTTTTGAAATATTTATTATAAAGTTTTACTTCCACCCACATTGGATTAGGTTAATTGAGAGAGCAAACAGGATTAATAGTGCCAACATGGTGTCTAGTAGGTCCTTAGAAGAGTCTCTACACCCAACAAGGATACAAGAGGTGTTTTCTAGGAGAAGGTAGTTGGCCAAAGCAATAGAAAAGACTTATTATAATCAAGAAGAAAATAATTAATGCACCTATTGCTATCCACAGTATCACATTATTACTTTTGGCCATGTGTTATTTTAAATAGGTAGCAGAGGTCTTTCAAAGGTTTACAGAGGTAGGTCATGGCTTCTTCCGCAGATGTAGGTTATGGTGCCTGTGACTCATTAAAAAACAGGTTTTATTCTGGAGAGGTGTACCCAAGTAGTTATTTTTTAAAAGTTTAATATGGTGAGGGTGTTTAATAATACCTGATAGGGGCCCTTCCATTTTGGTTGTAATTTATCCTCAAGGTATCCTTTTTTTTTTTTCTCCCAGTAAGGCTAAGTCTCCCAATTGAAGAGAAAAAGTATTCTTTTTTGCATCGGAAAGGGCAATACTTTATTTTTATAATTTGGAATGGCCTCTGATCCTGGCTTAAACATTAGGGGTTTGGAGCATAGTGAGGTGTGTCTGACCCTTTATTTCTCATCAGGCTTGAATTAGATTTTTTAGCATTTGGAGGGGATTCCCTTTGGCCAAGTGGGGGATCTACTCAGTCTGTAGAGGGGCCATGGATTTTTTTTTCAGTTTACGTTTTCCCTTTTTGTCAAGGCACTACAGAAATAGTATTAATAGCCAAGCTTTCCTCTTGTCTCACCCCGATGCTGGGGTGGTGTGCTATCTGCCCCGGGTCCATTATGTCCTTTGGTGGGATCCTTATGGTCAAGGGAGTTAGAGTTAAAAGACTTATAGCTAATTAATTGTTTTAGGCCAGCCAGGAATGAAGGTGGGCAGACACTTATTAGCTCTTAAACCTCTTTTAAGCAATATAAGAGTCAAAACTAAAAGTCAAAAAATAAGGTTATAAAACTGACTTATGTGTGTTGAGTTGCTATAATCTTGGCTTGTAGTAATTAGTTATACAAAACACAAACATTTTGTTTAGGCATCTATGTGCCTGTCTTTGATTTGGAGGATCTCAGTTAATTTTATCTCTCAAAATCTGGTCCTTATAATCTCACACGCCCACCTCTTCCATGATTGTCTTTGGGCCTGGGGGGACTGAACAGTTTTACATTTGAGAGGCAAAATAAAACATAAAGAATTAGCAATGCTTTAAACAAAAAGGTCATAAGCCCAGCCTAGTTTTGAAAATGACAGGAAAGGAAGCTCACTGGTAGCTAAACATTTAAATTATTTGGTATCAAGGACTATAATAAGTTATATTAATTTAGGTAAAGGCAAAATTATTAAGTGAATACAAGCTTGCCCCTGTGTCTCATGAAAGCAGTTTACTTTGATTATCCCCTTTGCTCAGGTTTAAAGAAGAGGCTTTGGTTAACTTGAGTTTGATGTTAGATACTGGCAGGAGTTGGTGCCTTTTCTAGACTCCATCTCTATATAACATTTAAAAATTAGCTGGGTGTAGTGGCAAGCAACTCTTGTCCTAGCTACTTGGGAGGCTGAGATGGGAGGATCTCTTGAGCCCAGGAGTTCAAGGCTATAGTAAGCTATGATGGCACCACTGTATTCCAGCCTGGAAAACAGAGCGAGACCCTGCCTCTTAAAAAAAAAAAAAGAACTTGAATTCGTCTAAAGATGTGTTTAAGAGCAAGAAAAGTTAGCCATAGTGTTGGAAGATATGAAAGAGCATATTACTGAAAAAGAATTAATATGCATATAATTATGATGAAATAATACAAATTATGAAGAAAATGACAGACAACTCAATGGAAAATTGAACAAAAGACTTGATTATGCCCTTAAAAAATATGTACAAATAGCTGATACACATATGAAAGCCTCCCAATCTCATTAGTCATCATGCAAATACAAACTGAAACCACAGGGCAATACCTTTACATATACAACAAAACATTAAAATGGAGACTTAAAAGACCAAATGTTGATGAAAATGTGAAACATTTGAAACACTCAAAACATCTGGTGGGAGTATACATTAGTACAACCACTGTGGAAAATTATTTGGGATTATTTACCAAAGCTGGCCTACTTGCGATCTGGCAGTTCCAAATATACCCATCTGTTTATACACGTTCACCACAAAAATGTACAGAAATGCTTATAGCAGAATGACTTGTAATAGCATAATAGAGAAAAACCAGAAGTAATCCAAATATTCATCAATATTAGAATGGTTAAATATATGGTGGTGTATTCATACATTGCAATGCTTATACCACAATGAAAATGAACACTACTGCTAAGTGAAGCAGCATGAATGAATCCCACAAATATAATGCCAAATAAGAAAGAATCAGTTGCAAAGAGTACATACTGTAAAGTGTTTTCCTATAAATTTCAAAAACAGTCAAAACTAATCTATGATGATAGAAACAGAAATAGTATCCACCTCAGTGGTGTAATAACTAAGAGGGGACATGAGAGAGCCTTGGAGGGGGGGCAGTGATGTGAATGTCCTATTTCTTGATCTATGTTGTGATTAGAAAGGATGTTCACTTTGCAAAAATTCATTGAGCTATTATGCATTTCTGATTTTTGCACTTTTCCGTGTGTATGTTACACTTTGATAAACTGATTACTCATGTATTAACAGAAAGAAGTCCACAATACAGAGAGGTGAAAATAAACTCAAAATATTAACACTTTGAGATAACAAAAGAAAATTTTCTGACAAGTCATCCAAATGCACCATTTACACACACACACACACACACACACACACATATGCTTACACCTTTCACATGCACAAAAGAAACATTTGGGCCACTTACTTTGAGCCAAACCTCATCCTCTTTCTTCAGGCTACCTTCTGGCTGTTCACTCCTGTCATCCTGAGTTTCATTTTCACTGGCAACACAGGGAAACCAGCCAGTTAGGGGACGGTGGTTGGGTAAATCTGGATGGTATGATGTGCAAATCTGAAATACAATTTCAACCAACAATTTGAAGTGTGGAGTGTGAAGATATAAGTAAGGACAATGAAACTCTCCAGCTCAAAGCAAAGTTGTTCTCTCTTTCTGAATGCCTAATGATCACATTATTGGCAGAAAACTTTTCTCAACATTGAAGAATTTCTCAGTGCTCTCTTTAACATCAAGATATAACTTACAAGGGTAGAAAACACAACAACTCTCGTTTATCATCGGCCCAGGGGTCTTACACACTGGGTGGTTACAAATAGTCCTGGCATATTTCAGGTAACTGCCCCAGGAACAGCCAGGGAAGTCTGTCTGGGGTGATGATGAAGCCCTTACCAGGCAGCATCCACTGGCCCCAAAAGTGAGGCTACTGAGTTAGGGAACCACTGAGGATTCAGCTAAGCAAAGGAGCCAGAGAAATGAAACTCCAGGAAATTTCTCCCACTTCACTTAGGGAAGACAGACAGACTAGACTAAAAGCCACTTCAGAGAGCGGTCATTACCTCAGAATCTCCCAACTTCCCTGGCTTCCTGTCATCGGATGCCAGGACTTGAAAGAGCAAGATGCTAGAATTTAGGCTGAGAGAGTGTGGCAGAAATGGCTAGTTGCCGATCGGTATCTATTTCCCCTTACTTTTTTATTAATAAACTCCAATTTTGTTCAAGGCGACAGTGTATCTGGTTATAAATGTTCATCTCCTTAGGGTCCCTTACAACTAAAGGTGATGAAGTGGCCTGGATCTGACCAGTAAGAGGCGGGTGGAACTTCCAGAAAAGCTATTATTTTCCCAATAAAAAGGGAAAGACTCAGCTGGCATGCACCTATTTTCCTTTGGCCTGCCCCCTCCTTCCTTGAAATGCTGACTTCACGCCTAGGAGAACTGCAGCCATGTTTTGAGCAGGAGGAAGAAGGCTGCACCCGAGGATGAAAGAGCTGGAATCTAGGAGACCCTGGGTCCTTGATGAAATCCTTGAACTGGAGCATCAACCTTAGCTGGCTCCTCAATCTCTTCAAAGATGTCTTCTCAAGTATAAAATCCTATTATTTCATTCTGGCCTGAAATACCTAGAGGCCTAAATCTCACTTCTGTGAAAGGGCTGTATTGCCTATTCTAATAAATGGAAGAGTTTATTTCACAATAAAAGCATCTAGAATAGGTCCCAAGAGTTGTGAGCCTTTAATCCTCTTTTCAGTCTTCAACTATATCTCATAGATGTCATTGGTATAGCATTTTAGATCCGTCAGAGGATCTTCTATCTATTTAGGTGGATATTCAGAAAAAAAATATGTACGCAAGAATTTACTTATATCAAGGGTTTCTTCAATAATAAAACTTCTTTAAATCAATTTATACTTTGATCTTTAATACATATTTTAAAGCTTATTTGATCATTGTAGTAAACCACTGAAACAGTGCAAATGGTGTTACTATACCCATTTTTCCAGGTGAGAACCTTGGGGCCCAGAGAGGTTAAGTGACTTGTCCAACATCATGTAATTGTAATAGCAATGCTGGCAGATCCAGTAATGTTCCCTAGGGCTTCTAACTCCTTACTTCTTCTTTTAATTATCCAAACATAGACCCCAAGTGTAAGCATAGGGGGAGTCACTTTACAATTTTGCGCAGGCTCGACTCTATTCATCTGGCTTAACTTACTAGGGAATGAGGTTCTCCAGTTACCAAGGAAACAGGACACTTCTTCTTGTCTTCATGAGAGGAGTAAGCCCGGGTAGCCCATTGATCCAAGTATCCTTTGGGAGTGTAGATGCCACAGTCTACAATGCTGGTTTTTCTCTCAAAAGGTTCACATATGCCATCTCCCTCATACATGTAGCAAAGGCTTGGCTCTCCTGCCAAGAAATATTGTGTGACACAGAAAAAGTGTTTTCATAAATGTCATGAAAAAAATGAACATGGGAATGTCCACAACACTTCTTCTCCAGCCCACTGAAGAGAATTCTGCAATTGCCTGCCAGTCTAATGCCTACCTCAAACACACAGATACACATACATCCCACACATCCCTAAAGAATAAGGATTTTTTCTCATTGGGAGAAAGGTAGAAACCATCTACATTATAAAAGTACAGAAATGGTTGAGATCAGGGGAGAAAGAACAGGGAGAAAAAAAGCAGCTGTAGACTGGGTGTGGAAAGAAATTTTAAGTAATAGTTGAGTAAGATATTTGGGAGAAACTAGAGATATAAGATAGGTAGGTAAAAGAAGAAAGGAATCTAAATAAATCCTATCAGGTATTACATATTTGAATCTTTTTCATAGTTTTTGAAATATTAAAGTATCACGGGGGGTTTGTTCTCAATCACTATTTGTTGCTTAATTGTGTTTCTTCAACTGCGTGACTGCTATTACACTGGAGAATATAGGCTCCAGGCTTTTGAGGCTTACATATGTTATTAATTTTTTTTTAGTCTTAGGACAACCCTGTGAGGTGTGTATTTTGTTTCTTTTATGATAGGAAGCCTGAGTCTCAGTGATTTTATGTGACTTTGTAGAGGACCCTCGAAAGGTAAGCAATAGAGCATTAATTTGAGTCAGGCTTAAATCCAAGAGCCAGAATGCAGGTTCAGCAGCTCACTGAACACTGCCTCAAACTAAGACAGAGGGGCTGTCTTCAAAAGCAAACAGGTGATAAATGAATATCTAAGAAAATATACTGGCGTTGTAAAGCCAGCTAGTATGCACTGGACAAGTTCCATTCTTGCTCATACGATAACTCCTAGTAAGTGAATAGCACTGACTCTTTATAGATACATAGACACACTGCCTTCAAATGTAGATAGCTGAGAAACACCTACAAAGCCATTTAAGTTCTGTTGCATTTTTTACCAAAATATGAGACAATTAATATTAATGGCACAATTCAAATTTCCATTTTCTATTTAAAAATAGGACATGAAAATAAGATTAAGATTCAAAATAACAACACCTAGGTATATATTCAATAAGAGCATTACTAAAATTTACTGTTACTATTTCCTTTTCTTCATGTTCAATTCTTCACAGCAATACCACAGGGCTATTCCAGTAATTTGCCAGCTGTCCATCAATATATAGTTATTAATTATTCTCTTAACAATTTCCTCTAAGACCCTTCTGTGGTAAATCTATCTCTACTTGCCAGATATAAGCCACTGTCCACAGGACTTGGTTGAAAGTCTATTTTGGGCTTTCAACTCATGCATTTCACCAAACCTACTCAAAGCACTCTCCAAAGCCAATGTATGTGCTTTTGGAATGACTTTCCCATGATGATTCTCTCTCTCTCTCTCTCTCTCTCTCTCTACATGTACGTATAGTTTTGTTTTGTTTTTCTTCTTATAACCCAGTAACTACTCTTCTTACTTCTTGTCTCTATTTTTTTAAGCACGGACTTAAAATTTTTGTTTATGTTTCTTTCAAATTCATCGGAATACTTTAAAAATATATTTTACAATGGGGTTCCTTCAAACCTGATATTTTGAGAAATAATGGAATATGTGCTTAGCATATGATGAACTTATGATTCACTGAAAAAATGTCTACTGTTGGAATATATCATTTTAACCTTACCCTGTATAGTTAAAACAATTTAAATATAGTCTTACTGGGGTTGAAGGAAATAGCCAAATTTTATGAGATCAAATGTGATAGACACAAATTAAGGTCTGCTCTTAGGTTAAATAAGACTTGAGCTACACTGAGGAAAGTTCAGTGTTTGGAGAATATATATTGCATTTAATATGCGACCACTATGTGGCTACCAAAAAGAAATAATGCTAACAGAGGTTGTGTTAACAAATACTTGTGTACAGAAGAGGGAGGTAATCGGTTCGATGTATTCGGCATAGCCAGACCACATCTGGAGTATTGGATTCCCTTCTGGGCACTGACCACATGAAGCATGACAGTTTGGGGTAAATAAGAAAGGGTCTGGAAACCTAATCACATGAGGGGATGTTTGGATTGGAAAGGAGAATAATGGAGAGGTATTTCAAATATCTGAATGGTAGTCAAATAAAACAGAAAAAAATATATATCCTCTGTAGTTTCATAGCAGGGAAAACGCACTTGATTAAGCATGAGGAAAGCTGAGTTCTAGGGCTGGCTCTGCAAAGATTTCATTGTATGTCCTTGGATGAGTCATTAAAACGTTCTGAGCCTCAGTTTTCGAACTGGAAAAAAGGGGAAAAATTTTACAACAGATAAGGCCATTTGTAAACAGAATGGTCTGTTTCAAGGTTCATTCTTCATGGCTAGATTTAGGTAAGCAAAAGCTAGAAACTCATCTGTCATGCTTTGGTAGGAGGCATTTCTGTAAGACAGAGAAGCTGTACTCTAAGTCACTGCTAAACTTGTACTCATGAAAGGATCAGGGACTCTGTCAGACTCATGGTACACAACAAGCACAGAATACATGGTACCACTGAACATATAGCACACGATGGGCCTTTTTCAAATGGATGGATGGATGAATTTATGGAGAGAGGACCACCAACATTCTATGATTCAGGTCTGGCTCTGGAGAGCAGGGACATTTGTATATTCTGTATAATACTTAACACCTTAATAAATTATACATAATTGTAATCACATTCGACTTTATCTTAAGATTTCATGACATTAAAATATTTTTAAATGCACTGCTATTTTAAAAACTTCAATGTGTGGTTATCCTCTACCAAATCATTGCAATCTATGCAGATGACAATGGAAAATAATCTGCATCTAAGAAACCTGTTGATGGTAGCTTTAATCAGAATTGGAAAAGTGTTGTAGACTGCCTCCCTGGAGTGGCAAGAGTCTAGAGTTAAAAGCACCTTATACTCTAGAGTCAAAGTTAAAATTTTTACCAGTGATTCTCCAAGGCTAAAATATGTTAGGATCCTCTTTTATTCTTCATGATTGAATCTATTACACACAGTCACCAAAATATGTCTTGCATTCACTTTGGCTTAGAATGTTTCCTTACCCTAATTTGTATGTAGAGTCCATTTGATTGTGCTACTTACCTGACATATTGGCGTTACCCTGGAGGGTCCAAGATAAATCCCTGGTAACATTAAGCTAGGAAGCAGTATAACCTAATGGTTTACCACGCAGATTCTAGAGCTGTACTTCCTTAGTTCAAATGCTGACTTTACCACTTCTAGCTGCATAAATGAAATCAAGTTATTTAAGCTCTGTGCCTCACTTTGTCTTCCCCAGTTATTCTAAGGATTGACTGAGATAATACCTGTGAAACAATTCATGCCTGGCATACAAGGGACACATCAGAGGTTATTATTATAATCACTAAGCTAGATGTTACAGGATATCAAGAACTCACAAAATAATACACCTCTAAAAGTAGGACACAATCTTAGACTGAAACTCTTGAACTTACCTACACAGTTGAAACCTTCCTCCAGCTCACACACCTTGGAGCAGCCATCTCCGCTCACAAGGTCTCCATCATCACACTCTTCTCCCAGTCTCCTAGAGGGTAAAATATATATGCATATATAACACATACACACAAATTTTCTTGTTTAGCTACCATCATTTAAAATTCTTACAATTTCTCAGTATATATTAAAAAGTGCAAGTTGGAAAAAAGTAGGAGCTAGAAGAATGCTTTTACAGAAAATAGAAACAAACATATGGATATATAAAGTAGATACAATTTAAGCAATGATTGGTGGTTGGCATGTCCAGTGGGTTGTGGGAATTCCTGAAGTTAAGTAGCTCATGGCTCAGAAACATCTAGGAGATCCATGAGGGTCCTGATGATGTTTCTGGGAGAGGGTCTTAAGCTTAGAAAAACCCTGCCAGCCCTATAATGAATAAAGGCTTAAAATAGCTGATGATGGTAAGAAGAAAGCCTGCCTGTCTGTGTGGTTTCATCTATTCATTTTTATCTGGTATTTCTTTATGTTTTCATTGTTTTGTTACATAAAGGTGCAGTTGTTATAAAAATTAGGATTTTGTAGAATTCAATCTCCTGTTCATATACCCAGAGACTTAAGCAGCCTGTCTAGGGAATCCTTAGGGCTCAGGTCCCTGTCTTTACTCCCTACTACCACCTGGTTACAGCTAACATATATTGCAGGGAAGAAACAAATGCTGAGAGAAGAAAAATGTTTTTGTTTCCAACCTCAAATGCTAATGCAACAGACAACAAAATTTGAATTGAGGTGGGGGAGTTAGTTTATAGTGAAACGGACATAAAGTAATTCATGGAAACAAAATAAGTTTGGGTTGATGCTCCTATGAAAGAACCAATATTTGGCTATTGCAAAATGGATGAGGACTACCATTTTTTTCTCCTTGACTTTTTTCATGCTCAAAATGGACATATATTTTAACTCAGTAGATAAAGGATTTGGAATGTTAAAGTGTTTTCAGACCCAGAACATCATAAATAGCTCTAATCTATTGTTTAAAGTATGCCTCACTAGGATGAATGAAAGATTAAATAATTAGAAATGAGAATGGTTTAAAATGAATTAAATGTATGCTATGAATACAGTGATATAGTAATCATATTTTAAATGGCAAGCTGGAAGTGGAGAAGGCTAAAAGTGATATAAAAACAACATAATTGAAGAAATTAAGGAAACTACAAATCATTTTTCTATATAAATGCAATGTGGTTCAATGAAAAGAGACTGTACTGGGGACCTAATTAAATGTGTGCTATATCCAAGAAGTCTCCAAATACTTTATGCCTTAATGTGCTTATTTATGGAGAGAGGATTAACCTTCATCTATGTTTTGCTACAAGGGGTCCAGGAATAATCTTGGAGGTCGGCAACTTTATATTTTCATTTTGAAGATAATCTAAACAATCAATATAAGCATGCTATGTATCATCTTGTGCCATGCGGCCCAACAGAACTGTAATGAAAGCCACATTTTTAATTTTTCTAGTAGTCATTTAAAAAGTAAAAAGAAACTGGTAAAATTAGTTTTAATAATATATTTTACCTAACCCAAAATATTCAAAATATTATTTCAATCTGCAGTCAGTATAAAATGAGGCATGTTACATTATTTTTGTATACTAAGTCTTTGAAATCTAGTGTGTATTTTTCACTTACAGCACATCTGAATTCAACTATTTGATCTGTATTTAGACTTTATAAAATTTATAGTTGGAACATTAGATTTACCTGCCCAAGTTGTTCCAAATATACTTGAAGATTTTCCAATAACCAAACTGAGTTTTGGTTTTTAAACTAAATATAAATTACTTAAAATTAAATAAAATTAAGTATTCAGTTTTTTAGTTGCATTTGGTATATTTTAAAGGCAAAAAGAGCCACCTATGGTTGGTGGCTCCTATATTGAACAGCACAGATTGAAATGATTAACTTCTATATGAATACTGTTTATAATTTCAGGGCCCTGCATCGTGCTTGTTTTGGTAGTCCTATTGACAAGTGTTATCCAAGTGATCAAATGATTGGTATGGATTCTTCTTGTTTTACGTGTAATGTGGTGCATTTGGCTAAGCCAGATTTGGAGTTGCATACCTTCCCATTGGATGGAAGTGCTAGTTACACAGAGAAGAAAACATAGGCAGAAGTTTCAAGGAACATTTTGATAAGTAACCTTGCGAGACCCAGTAGCCAAGCAGTGCTGCCTTAGATGAAGCTGCTTTAAGGCTCGTGAGAGAATGTGCAAAATCAGGGTAGGGAAAGAGCCCTCCACCCCTTTCAAGCCCCACATCCTCCAGGCAGAAATGGCACCCTGGGGCTGCAGGGTGGCCACCATCAGACAGCTGCCTTGGAAGACACTAGGACAGAGGGCAGAGTGTTTTGTTCAAGGAGGGTCCTGCCAGTGTAGTAGTGGTCACCCACCCCCCCCAGCACATTAACTGGAGGGCTTCAGGTTTAAAATGAAGCAACCAAAACAGAGAAAACAACAACAGTGTCAAGTGGACTTGTCCTCTGCAATGTGAAGCATCCAAGGGAGAAATCTGATTTGAAGTGAAGGAGGGAAGGTGGCAGGCTGAGTTAGGTAGCAAGGGACAGCACGTGAGCAAGGTTGAGGTGACCTCAATGGCTTCCACATATTATCGAGGGCTGGGAACATTTTAGTGTTTATACTTCTATGACAAGGAATAGACTTACTATAGTTTCAGGATCTTAGAAGATTGAGGAGATAAACAATGTTGAGTGACTGCTAAATGATGGGATGGAATCCCAAGCAAGCCTACAGAATTGATTCCCATTAGGGCTTCAATATACGATATATTTTCACCTGGTCTGGGAAAATAAAAATAACCCATCTTATTAGGATGCAAAATCTAAGACAAATCACAGTGTCTGGCTTCCAGCCTCCTCATCCCAGCAGCTTTATATAAGTAACAAATAGATGAGCATTAAAGTTAGGTTGATGTAGGGTGATCAACTGTCCAGGATTTCCTGGGACTTGGTATTTTTAGTGCTAAAACCGGGGAAGTCCCAGGCAAACCAGAATGAATTAATTAGTCCTCTATGCTAATATCACAAAAGGGCAACAAGAAAAGTAACATAGTATGTTAAGAAACAGAAAGGGTGATTCCATTTCTACCTTGGTGATGCCTACAGAATAGCTGGAAATTATATTGTTATCAGTTCTACTAAGGGTTGCATGAGAAACTGAAGATCCGAAAGCTATACTGAATTTCCTCAGATCACACACCTCGTTAGCAGAATAGGCCATTTGTTCAAAAGAGATCCTCTTTCAGCATCATTTGATGAGTAACCTTCTTCTGCATAAATTCCTTCCCTGAATCACTGTCCAGCAGTTGCTTGCTGAGGCCATAAAAGGGGCCCCCAGATAATCGGCCTCAATACCTCAATACTCTGGGGTTAGCTATAAGTAAAAGTGGGTTCCTCCATAACTATGTAGAGATGCCAGATCTCAAGACCTGACACAACCAAGTCCCAGATTTTAGAATTTCAACACTAGAATCAAATGGTGCCTTGCTCCCTACATTTCCAAAACAAGTCAAACTCCTGAAACTTCTGTTTAGAGAACAGTGTCCCTGCTCTCTCTCCCTCCCTCTCTCTCTCTCTCTCTCTCTCTCTCACACACACACACACACACACACACACACACAAAATACTCACTCTGACACCTTCCCATCTCCACAATAAGGAGCTCCATGAATGTGGTTCAGAGGAGGCGAAGCTTCTCCCAGTTCTCCTCCAGCTTCAGCTAGAACTTGGTACTGATACATCTGTCCAGGTGTGACCTCCCTGTGGAAACCAAAGGGTTTGTGACCACTACAGCCACAAAGTGAGGCATGCCCTGGGTCCTTTGTTGATGGTTCACAGAAGTTGAAGGGAAATATTATGGGAAACATAAAGGTTAAACATACGCTGCATTGTCTAAAACAAAGATCAGGGCACAGTCTTCCCGAGCACCAGAAGGTTTGAAACCATATTTATTTCTGTATCCCCTGTGCGTTGCACAGAGTAAATGCGCAGTAAATGCTTGCTGCGTTAACACTGAACCTAACAGTCCCAGTTAATCTAGGAAGATGGTATTTCAAGTGCATTTTTACCATGTTAAAACAAAACAAAACTATTTAAAAGCCAGTCTTCTGTATCATCAAAGTAATCAAAGAAACTGGAGATGAAAGCTTCAGAGTTTGGGCTCAGGAAGTCCCCCTTCTTGGGTCTGCGATCATAGTTTTCTCTCAAGAGAATTCCTGTCTTGAGAAGACTGAATCCTTAGGAGTAAGATCAACTGTCTCATAACAGCAGGTAGGAACAACTTTTGTCACAATTTGGGGGAAGCAAGAAGTTCCACAATTAGAAATGCATTAAACAACTCCCCACCTCCAAATCTATTAAAGTGTGTAGGTATCAGGAATGGAGTTGTATCAGTTGACCCTAGAGATGAAAGGAGCTTGTCAGACTCTCTCTAGATCCTGGGTGCACTGATTGTGTGGTGAGGGTGAAAGGCAAGACACTGAGAAGAGGAAAAGGGCTCAAGAAGGAGAGCTTCTGGTCCCAAAGACAAAATCTGCCTTCATCTTAATTTTGCCCAGTGCCTGCCCTAATTGGAAAACTACCACCAAAGTCAAGCTAGGATGGGAGTTACTTAGTGAAACAGGATCTCAAAGGGTTGCTGGGACTACTGTGAGTGGCTGCCATCAGTATTCTGCCATGGTTCTCTCTTCTTTAACAGACTTTTCAACTCACCCACAAAGCCTCCACTCCCTCAGCTGATGCAGCAACCAGCAACCAGGAAATGTCTCAGGGTTTCAAAAACATCTTTAAAAACCTCTGTGCTGGCTTTTAAGTATTTTAATAGAAAAGAAACCTAGATATTAAAGTCTTTTAAATTTCCAAATTAGTTACCCCCACATCCCCCAGAGAAGCAAACCTCTCATGAGAATGCCAGATATTTCTAAAGTAAAACCAATTTTATATCCTAATCAATGCTGACAGTTTCCCTTTACAAGGCGGTTTCTGTCAGACTGCTTGTCCAGCCATGCATAAAAGCTTCACACTTTTCTGTGGCTGGGGAAAGGACTGGATGGAAACATCAGCATGTGTTTACTTTTCTTGAGGAAAAACTCAGCGGCAGGTAGCCCAAGCCCTCCAGGATCTGAGTTTGTAAAAGGCAGAGTGTTAACTGAAGCAAGAGGACCAAAATGAGATCCAGTTGAAAAATTGGATTTTAATTCCGATTTTGCTATTTACTAGCTATTGAACCAAATCAAAGTTAAGCCTCAGATTTTTCATCTACAAAATGAGATATTATTGGCCTTAAACATGTGTGTGTGTGTGTGTGTGTGTGTGTATGTGTGTGTGTGTAGCAAATTAGATAACAAATGTCATCTTAACTGCCTTATTTAAGAAGTTCAAAATGACATCTTTTTTCTTTTTAAAGCTACCTTTGCATTTGCATTAGCTTTTTGGTCATTTCACTATCTTCTAGTTCTAATTGACAGAGCAAATATGGGAAGAAAAATGTAATGAAGCTCAAGGTGGACATTTTTCTCTACTTTTTCTGTAGCTATGGTAGACTGCCAAATGACTACCCTGTCCCCAATGTTCCCCTCTATCATGTGACTTTGCTGCCTCTTTCATCAAAAGGGAGGGTTTATTTCGCCACCCATTGAGTCTAAAATTGCTGTGTGACTTGCTTTGGCTAGTGGAACATTATCATGAATAACATAAAGCAAAGATTTGAAAAGTGTAAGCATTTGGGGCTTGCCCTCTCTGCTGCTGGAAACCCTTCCACTACCATGAAAAGCCCAGGCCAGGCCTTGAGAGACCATGAGGAAAGAGGCCCTCATCTCCCCAGCCATGCCAGCTGTCTCAGCTGTGTGGGAAGTCATCCCGGGCCATCTGGTGCTAGCCAAGTAAGTCTAGATGAGAGCA
The DNA here is from genome assembly GCF_000001405.40 of Homo sapiens. Lineage (NCBI taxonomy): Eukaryota > Metazoa > Chordata > Mammalia > Primates > Hominidae > Homo > Homo sapiens. The sequence goes on along the minus strand of NC_000001.11, from coordinate 176,700,467 downwards.
CCCAACCTACCTATAGAATCATGAGAAATAATGTTTGTTGTTTTAACCCACTACCTTTTGTGATGATTTCTAATGCAGCAAAAACTAACTGACAGTATCTCTGATAAAACTTTGTTTTGCCCTAGTTCTGCCCTCAGGGCAGTCTCCAAAGAAGGTTATGAGGTCAAGAGAATTTGCCTTTGGAGTACCAGCCTCCTGCTCCAGATATTGAATTCTTTGTAAGTAAGGACCTCATCTTAGTCTGTGCCCCCAGCACTGAACATGCAGTGCCAGGAACATAGTAGAACTCACTAAATGTAGGAAGAAAAGACAGAACTAACAGGAAGAGGAGAGCTGGAAGAGAAAGATAAAAGAGAGTTGGTTATTGGGGTGTGAGGGGGGAAAATGAGAGAAGGGGAAAGAATGAAACTCATATCATGAATGAGTCATGGAACTGAGTGTATCGTCTGGTCTGCCAGGCCCTCGGCCTCCTTGCATAGCAATAGAAGAATTGACTATACCTTATAAATGTTATGGGGTCTGTGGCAGATGATCAGACAGCTAAAGCAAAGAATCAGAAATTAAATTGTCACCAGACAGGAGTATCTGATTCTGATCAACTTATTTGTAGCAATTATGTTCAGTTCAACTGAAACATCTCATACACTAACCTTTTGTCCATAATCATGATGATGGCATCAGCAATCAGACACCTGCTTGCCCCTTTCTGGGAAGTGCTTTTCTTTACCTCAGATATGCCACTTTACGGTAAAATCCCCTCTGAAAGTCTAAACATTCCTCCGACTAAGGGCATGGCTGAATATTAAAAAGTGGGGGAAAAGTAACAAAACCCACCCCCAGAGCCTCAGGAAGCCCCATAGTCATGCTACCAAACTCACACGTCCGTGAACTTCCTGTGAGAATGTGTCACCACCACGGGCAAACCACTGGCAAATGGGGGATCGCGGAGAACCTGGTACCTCACAGGCCTGCAGCCAGAGCACAAGGGACTGTGGGGCTGAGAAGTCAGGAGTGCTGCATCAATCTCTATCCTCTCATCAAAGGTGTAGACTTTCACCCCCGACACCTTCCCATCCACGTGCAGTTTGATGGTGAGTGGGATGTCACAGAAAGTGTCTAAGGGGCCCAGGTGCACTGACTCCTTGTTTTCCAGCAAGATCTCTGTGTCAAAGAGGACCTGCGAGGACTCCATGAAGAAGGAAGTGACCCACAGGGTGAGGGTGTCGGCTTGGACCGGGTGTTGGAAGAGCAGCTCCAAGCTACAGCCTTCTGTGGGGCAGGGGACCGTCATGTTCATGTGGTACAGGTGGACCTCAGGGCTCCAGGCCTGTAAGCTTGGCTCGCAGGGCTGATCCACATCAGGAGGCCCTGGGGGGAGATTAGCAGAAAGATACATCAGTAGCAGCCATTAAAAGTCAGAAAATGAGTAGCCCTTAGCAGCCAGAAAGAGGAACTATGGAGAGAACTTTTAGAATTCCTGTAGAAGTTGGTCATCTTAGCAGGTTAGATCTTAAGTACTAGTAAGAACAAAGGTGTAAAAGTAAAAAGCATTACACTCTTGTTACCCCATCCCTGTACATGGTGCCCTTAGCAAGAGGAAACCCACCAGGAATTGGGAAGGGAGCAACCCAGATCCTAGGTGGAAACATGAGGCTGATGCAGAGAAGTCATGTCCTTAAACAATCCTTGAGCAGAGAATTACATGTGATTAGTCCATTCATAACTTATGATAAATTAATGCTTCTGAAGACCAGTGATTTCACTCTGTCACTGCAATCTTTGTAGGGCTTTTCCCAAAACTTCTTTCATTCCCTAAGATCCCACCCTGGCAATCCTTTCAACTGATGGTTAGACGAACTTTAAAACCATACATTGAAATTTCCCTTTCAGTTCAGGTATGTGTAAGCAGGTAGGTAACTGCAGGCAGGAAATATAAACACATATTATGGAGTGGGAAAAAAAATGAAGATTCAGTAGCCAAATAAAAATGTAATGATAAAAAATCAAATATCACGAATCTATGAAAGTCAGCTCCATGGAAGTAATCTACCCAAATGGTTTTCTTTTCTGTCGTGTGATGGGAGTTGAAGAGAGAGTGTTGAATCGAGAACTAGCAGAGTCAGCCCTCCTGTGTCCTTAGCTGAGTGGCTGTGGCACATCTTTCTATGCCTCAGTTTCCTCTTTTACAAAATAAGTGATAATGTTTAGCCCCGCCTTACTAGGGCAGTGTAGATCTATACAATGTTCTAGAGAAATTAAATACCTACATTTACCAAAGTAGAAGTATTTAGCCCTTCAAAATTTGGAAAATAAATTATGTCCCAAAGCCCAGAGAAAACCAGTTCAAACATTGCAATTTCCCTTTCAGTGCAGGTATGTGTGAGTAGGGAGGTAGCTGCAGGGAAAAACTGCAGGCAGGAAATAGAAACACATATTATTAATTTCAAAAATATGTGTGTGCAACTGTGTGTGTGTGGTGTGTTACATCTTATGGTTTTTATTGTTTTTTGCCTATATTGTGTGTTGATTCATTTATTATGAGTTGATTCATTAATTCAACAAAAATTGGTAGTGTAGTTCTTTTACACCAAGAACTAATCTAGGTATTAGAGATAGAGGAGTGAACAAGAGAGACAAAGTCTTGCCTTTCTATATGTTACAGTAAAGTGATAGATGTAACAATAAATACATAAAAGAATATAAAGTATAATATTAAGTAGTAATGATATCTGTGAAGACAAGTGGAGGAACATAAGGGAATACAGGATTATGAGGTGAGGCTGGGAGCTATTTTAGGTTATGAAGCCAGAAAATTCTCACCATGAAGATGATGTTTAAGCAGGGAATATGTCTGTTTTAGTTTTCTAATCCCCATAGCATTTAGAAAATAGTTGGTGGTTAAGCAGTGTTCATTAGACCTATTTATAAATACATGTGTTTGTGCCTGCTCTGTTAGAGATTACTCTTATAGTGTATATTTTAAATATGACCTGGTTCTTCACCTTTTCAAAGCAAAGACTAGTATTTCTTATTAATCATATATACTTAGTTCATTAATGATTTATAAATTAATGCTTGTGAAGTCCAATGTTAACAGTCCCAAAAACTTCTCATTTTGTCTGATAATTATTATTAAGCCCCCAATACTAGCAGCATAAAGGTCCTTGGAAATCAACCTAACATCAGCACTGCCAGTCAAAAAGTTTTTATTATGACTTCATGTTAAAGCATGAAATGGAAGCCCTAAAAGTTGATTTGGTTTGCCTTAAGACACAATACAAGAATTAGAACGTAGAACTTCTAATTCCTTTTACCTCTCTCAGATAACTGATTTTTCCCCCTAGAAATAAAAAGGAAAAAAATACCAGGTCAGGGAATCAAACAGGCATTAAAACACCAGCACAGGACAGACTGCCACACACACACAAAATGGCCCTTTATGAAATGCAAATCTCTGTTTAGAGTCCAATGCAGTAAATTTTATACTCACTTTCCATTCTTCCCTGAAAATTCTCACTTGAAAAAAGTCATATACAATCAATCAAGTAAATTGTCTCCTTCCAGATTTATCCCTGAAGCCCTGTCACTTGAGTGACTGGGAGCCCAGGATGATATCTTGCAGATACTGCAGACTCTCAGACCAATATTCTCCTTTTTTTTCGTGTCACAATCAAGACTGCAGATTAATTCAAATAGGGCTTTGGCCAACACATCTTATTTAATTGTTTCTAGTGTCTTAATAAATATTTTAAAGGCAAAGAAAAAAGATGATAATTAGGTAAACATTAAAGATGATGATGATGGAAGAAGTCAAGCCATTCATCAGGAGGTGCTAAAATCCTGTCAACAGTATTTTCTGACTTGAACTGGAAAAAGATTCATGCTTTAATTTGTCTTAGGCGCATTAATATACATATGTGAGTGAATGTGTGACTGTTTGAAAAGTTAGGGGAGGTACAGAAAAAAAGATAACAAAAAATATTTTCCCCTTCCTGGAGCCTAGCTCAGATCATATCCAAAGCACAACCAGTACCAGTGATTAATAGACTCATAAAATAGCATAGACGAGAACAGTCAGTGTGGAACACCTGGTCTCCCCACCCCCACCCAGACTTGCTCAGCCAGTACATGAGTTTTCTCTGCGGTCCCCCCACCCCCACCCAGACTTGCTCAGCCATTGCATGAGTGTTCTCTGCGGTGTGTTTCCTGATGCAGAGGAGTAAGAGGTCAGCTTACACTGTCACATGGCACGGCTACTCCAAGGACCAGTAGGCACACGTAACACTACACCTCCCAGCTATCTCACCCTGAAGTCACACCCTGAGTTCAGCTGACTTCTCCATCCTTCTGTCCTATATGCTGGTCTCTGCTTTACCACAGCCATGGGGCCTCCATGTTAGGCACATATGGAACATTCTGCACACAGCGGCACCAGGCAGCTCCAAAAGATATCCAGCAAAACACACACACACACACACACACACACACACACACACACACATACACATACATTGCCTTTTTGTCACCATGTCACTACTCCACTCTTTACCTCCACCCCCATCCTCAGTGGTCACCAGGGTATAAAGAAAAAATGTCATGGTACTTTACCCACAGCCTCCTCTGGGGTCCAATAACCTGAGGAGTCACACACCCGCCGGGAGGAAGCTGTGTGCACATACTGACGAAAGGTCCCATCTTCAGTGCAAGCGCCACACAAGCTGCCTGAGGCCCTGGGGAGATAAAGGGATGGAGATGGGAGATGAGGAGAGTCCATCAGATGAGTTGGGATAAGAAAATTAGAAAGACCTTTGTGTGGGGAGGGCAGGGGTTGATGGTTAGTAAGGACCTAGAGAGTAACTAAGAACAACTGTATCTCAATCGTTTTTTCTTGTGTGGACCTCATCTTTGCAAAATTCAGTGACATGAAAATTTCAAGATCATGAAGCAGAAAAAATTAACTAAGTCATAAAAGAGGCCTGTGGAGATGAAAGTGGGCATTTTCTGTCCTAGGAACAGTAAACAACAAACAATTAAAATCTGAATCTTTCAACATAAAACTCCCTTCTACATTGACTCTCAAGTCATTCAAAGGCTCCTTGAATTTCCCCACTAAAACAGGCAATAATTTCCCACATAAACTTATTAGCCATATGTGTCCTTATGTTTTAAGCTCCCTACTTTAAATCACTTACATAAAATAAAAGTCAGGTGAAATGTAATGTCTCTTGGCTCACCATTGCCCTTGGAGATATATCCAAATTATTTATCACGTCTCAAGGCCCTTCACAAGCTAGCTCCAGCCTCACCTACTGCAGTTCCTTTCTGAGATTTATATTTCCAGCGCAATGAACAGATCACCATTCCACAAATACATCATGCCTTTGAGCTGTTCTCTCTGCTGCCAAACAGCCTTTCCAAGCTTCTCTGTTTAGCAAACTCCTACTTACCCATCAAGAACCATTCAAATGTAAACTCTGCAGTAGCACTTAGCCTCTCTCCTCTGAGTGACCAGTACTCCCTTCTCTGTGCACCCACTGCACCTGCTGGATCCTCTCTTAGGGCTCTGCTATGCGGTGTTGAGAATTTCCATTCACATTCTTTCCTCTCTTTTGCCTGTGAGCCAGTCCAGACCAAGCTCTATTCTGATTTATATTTCCAACAGGATTGGACCCAGCAGTCCCTCTGTGAATGCTTGTTTTATGGATATCCATGACGTGATTAATACAGTTTATGAAAGTTCTACAAGTACTATAACTGAGGTAACTGGAAGAGGTAGACACAATAATAGCTACATAATAATGGTAAGTCACTTCAAGGGGCTTGCCTCTGATGCTTAGAATCTTTTTAGAAGCCCACTTGTGAATGACGCATCTGAAAACGGAGGCATCAAGTCAGGGTCTCAATAACATCTTGTAATATGCCAGAAAAATAGTATTATAAAATAAAGGTAGTGATTATGACAGCTGCTCCCATTTCTGAAGTACCTCACATAACTGGCATTGTGCCGCTGTGTCGTGCTTTTCATAAATGATTTCTAATTCCTGTAATAACCTTATGTTTACAAATGAGAAAACTCAGGCTCAGAGAGGTTAAGTAAATTGCCTAAGGTCACAACAAGTTCCTTAATTCCTTTGAGCAAGTTCCCAAACACCATTGAGCGTCCAGTACTTTGGAAACTAAAAGGTGTAGTTAAGATCCAACCTCTGACTCCAATCAGCACTCACTTCTAACATGAACAAAACTCCAAAGCTCATTCCTCTGATGCACTTGGCCCTTCCGTGGCTGCTGCTAAGTGCGTAGCTGGGGCTCTTCTCTGACATAAGGGTTCCAAATACCTGCTGGGGTGGAGTAAACACAACTCCAAGCATGACACAAATTGCTGGCCATGTGACGTGAGTCCCCCTGACACACATGTTGGGAGGTCTCAAAACTGCAGTCCACCTAGCTGAGAAAAGGAAGCAAACTGCAGGTTTTTCTGCCAACAGACTCTCAGCACGCCCGTACTGATGTCTGCTTTATCGTAACGTTTGTACCAGAGAGAGAATTCAAAGATTAAATTGTTTACATGTGTTACATAAACGGATGTAAAACTCTGGTTTGCACACACCCACAGAGGACTTGCTGTTCAGGCAGTTCGACCAAAGCTGCACAAGGTCACACTTGCAGGAAGATGATTCTCACACACATCACACAGATGTGTGCTGACTCACAAACAGAGCCCAAAAGGGTTTGGGCGCTGATGACCATGAAACTACTTTGTAGGGTTGTGAGGTCTAAGTGGTGTCACACACTAAGTATGTATCAAGGTATCAGGGACAGGTATCAAAATCCCAAGAGGCTGAAATACCACTGTGAAAGAGGATTCACCAGCTTCCTCCTATCCCTGTCTCTCTCTTGCCTCTCTCCCTAGGCTTTCAGCAAAGCTGAAGGGCACGGAAACTTGCTCCAGCGACACCCTTCTCTTTAGCTGAGGCCTGACACCCAGAGGGAAAGTGTGGTGCAAAGAAGAGATGTGCTAAATAAGAATGCTCTAAATTAAAAGAAAGCATCCATTCTATGTTCCTTATTCCCGAATTTCCACTGGACTCCCGAGTTCACCTCCAATCAGTTGTGGGGTCTTGGGTTTGCCATTGTATGTTTCTCTATGCCTCAGAATTCTCACTTATTTAGCAGGAACTGCGTTTACTGCAAAGACTAAATAAGACAAGTGCAAGTAAAATACCTAGCACAACACTTCACATATAGTGCCACAAATAGATCAGGGACTGTCGTCATTCAGAATACAGCAGTAGGTTTTGAAAGAGGTCAGTCTGCACAGGTCACAGAAGGGGTTCTGGTCCTTCTCAGTGAAACCACATTCTCCCATCCCTCACCAATTATCAGATGTCATTCATTTTCCTACCTTTCTCTCCTTTCTACAAAAATTTATCTGTTATTCTTTCAAACCAATATGCAAAGGACAAATGAAAGTTAGTTTTAGGTGTAATGCTTTTCTTCAGCAAACACACATTAGGTGTCTGTTGTGGCAGGGCAAGAGACAAAGAGACAAAAAATCATCCTGCCTCCCCCAGTAGTTGCCAGTCAAGTGGGGCAGGTAGGAAAATAAGCAGAGGATGACAATTCCATAAGATAGTGGCCTTAAGAGGGGGAGGCACAGGAGGCTGAGAAGGTGTCAGAAGCACCTACGTAAGTCAGGGAAGCCCTCTGATGCACAGCTTGTGGCAGTGGGCACACTACCATCCACCCACACCCAGAAGTGCCTGGAGAAGCATGCTGTAATCCCTCCCCCAACACCACTCTGCAAGTGGCAAGCTGCCACTCCACCCTCATGCCACAGAGGAACAGCTGACAGAGACAAATGGCAGATGCCCTCTCCGTTCTGCCAATTTATCCCTGTCACATCGGTCAGGCTCTCCAGGCCTCCCTGAGGGGGGAGTGAGCACTTAAGATGAGCCACTGGCTCACAAGAGAGCCCATGAGTTCTGCTAAAGCAACGAGAACAGAGCAGGCTGGAGCAGCAGCTCTGAGCAGTGGTGCACACATTTATACTTCCAAATTGGAGTTCCCCTGGATTCATATTCTTCCCCTCATTCATATGAAATGCCACAGAGAAATAAGCCAGCTCACCCACAGCCAGTGCCTCTCTCACCTGTCATATACAACTCCACTAATAGGAGGCAGCCAGTGGATAGTGAGGGACTTGTTGGTCTGTCCGATGACCATAGGTGGAATGGGGATGGGGGTGGGCTTTCTGCTTTCAGTCCACTGCTGATAGACTAGGTCCAAATAGCAATGCATTCGGGCCACTTGGTTAGGAGTGAAGTTGTCAGTGCAGTTATCATCTGTGGAGACAAAAAAGGTGGCACAAGAGATGGAGATTTTAACCCATCAAGTCCACCAAGGCAGGGATAAATTTGTGTCTTGTTCATGGCTGAGTTAACTTATTAGGCTCAATGAGCACTTACTTGTTGAATGAATGAACAAATGCAATCTGTTCCAGAAAGGGTCTAAGCTGGAAAGGGTAAGAGAAGACAGAGACCAGAGATGCAGCACTTTCATATCTAAAGCAAGGTCATGACCTTAAAGTTGGGCAGCTCAGGTTGCTCTGAGCTGATGGTTGCTTATTCAGCAAACCACAAGATGGCAGTGTTTCAACAGATGGCCTTTTCACTTGTGAACGTTTGTGGAGTTTCAGACACCTGCTTTATTGCCCAGTGACGTTGGCAGAGGTTAGTGAGTATTCAGTGGAGCTGCTCAAGGGGAAAGAGAGCCAAATGCCAATGAGACAGCAGGGCTGGGAATGGTGGTCTCAGCCTCACTTTTGAATCTGGCAAGGTCTCTTTAGCAGGTACATTTTGCATAGGGTTGGAAAGGGAGTTTTCTTAGTGCCAGGAACTTTTCTAGTGAAAGCACACCAGTCAAATACTGCCTCACTCAGCTTCCTAAATGTTTCCTCTTCCCGCTTCAAAGGTGCTGCCTCCAGAGCTCTGCCCTCTGCATGGCATCGTCTGGTGTTTCTGCCCCTTGATGGGGGAGAGGTGCTGGTGCTTACACATCTGATGCACCTGAATTATTCACCGCAATGAAACTCAGATAGACACATCTTGAAAGATGACAGACAGAATCGGCTCATCACGCTTTCCTCCCTTCAAAGTCATGACCAGGGTGTGGTGGTTTATTCTTTTTTGGATAGTTCTAGAAGAACCTGTCACCAAACAAGCCCCCAAAACTTATAGAAAAAATATCTTCTTTCACCATTGTACTAGGTCATCAAATAAGTCTTTAATTTTAGGGATAACTTTGAGTCCATTATAGGAAACCAGTCACTATTACTTTTCACAAGAAACAAGGAAGGCGTGAGAGACAGCGAAGAATAATACAGAAGCTGAATTAAGGCAAGAAAGACCAGATGACAAGTTTTTCCGAGGGCCAGGAAGATGCCATTTTTTTAAAATTAGATGTCACCTTTTGGTGGGGAAAGGGTGGTAGGCAGCTAAGAATTTGTGCTTGACTAGTGCTGGAAAAAGAGAATCTGATTTTTTTTTTTTTTTTTTTTAGTAACATACAGTAAAACATGCTGAGCCTAAATTAACCAAGCCACCTTGTTGACCAACTTCAAAAACAGTACAATGGGCCACCTTGACCCATAAACTCTTTTCCTTTATTTCCATTGGACTCTTCTTCAGAGTAAATGTCTAAGAATGCGGGCAAAAATAAGAATAACCACATTCTAGAAGTCAAGGGGATCACAAGAGGGCTTTTGGCTCTGTGCCTTTTTTACTATCGAGGATAGAAGTATATTTTAAAATATCTAGTAGAGGAGAATTCAGTGAACAAAGTACCTTAATATGTCAGTATTTCTTCAAGTTCTTCAAAGACATGAAAAAATAATAATACCTTATAATAAATACACTTCAACTCTCCGACACAAATGACCACTTAATCATTCTCCCATCAGCTCCCACACCTCCACCCTCCCAGCTCTCAAAGGCCCCCATGTATTCTTAACAGAAAACAAAACAAGACAGTGGTGATACCCGTGTAGCTCATGTAGTTGGTGAACGGAGCCCCTGGGAAGCGAGTGAAGCCACAGGTGTCACTAGTGGGCTCTGGTTCCCGGCACAGCTCACTCTTGGGAGTGGGGGCGGTGTCGGCACAGAGGTCTCCCGTTTCCATGGATGGCACTGTCTCCTTGCAGGGGTCATTGCAGGATTCTCTTTCACTGACTCCTTTAAAGACATGGTAGAGTCCCAGAACATGTCCCACTTCATGGATCATGGTGTCGGTGTGGCCAGGCATCCCATAATATGCTGGGCTGAGGACAATGCCACCTGCAATGAAAGTTTTGAAAAGCCTTTCAGAGCACAGAATGAATAGCTCTCCAATCCTTAATTATGTTTTCTGATAAACATCAAATATTCCATTTCAGCCTCTAAGGAGTCACTTTATAACTTCTGGTAACATACAGTCATTGCTTTTCTTTCTTGCCACAGAAACCCTCTAAACAAATTAATACACATTTCTTTATCCTCTACATGGGTGAGTGTTATACTAGAGGCCCAGGATAGCAATGTTGACATAATAGAGAGCCAGAATTCTCAGCCCTGTATGCATATTAAAATCACCTGGGAGAGTTAAAAGAAGACATACAGGGGTTCAAATACTACCCCAGATGAATTGAATCCAAACCTTTGAGGATGAGGTTCACAAAACGACATTTTTAAAAACTTCCTAGGTTGAGAATCACTGGTCTAGGCAAAAGCCCATGGGATTTGGAGTCAAGGAAATCTGATCTAACTCCTGCCCCTCCACATCCCAGCTTTGAGGACTTGAACAGCCGTCTTACCTCCTGGAACTCAGTTTTGTTGTCTGTAAAGTGGGGATGATAACACTAAAATTTGTTTGTTTGTTTTTCAGTGTTTGGCACATTAAAGGAAATGACAGCTGTGTAGACTGCTTCTGATTTAATAATCCCTACTCTCAACAACTAGTCAGACAAAAGATAGGTTCAACTGAACTACCACAAAATTGAGAATGTCACAATCACCATGAGAATATGCCCCACCCTCACTGCCCCTAAATCTCCATGAGAACACAAAGGGAGGTGTTTCAGAGAAGAGTTCATTGCATCCAATCAGGCTTAGATGAGAGACTTAGTGGTATCATTGGAACCTTACAAAAGGAAGGCTAAGGATCTCTAAGTGACCCAACTTCTATCTGTGTAGCTTGTTGGAATCCTAATTCCTGCTTTCCTCCTCTCCCATGGTTGAACCACCTAGCTTTCCTTGTTTACACCCCAAAATTGTCAGGGCCAGGCCCAGTCTTATCTCTGAAAGACAAGACAGAGAATGTCAACATCCCTGGATCAACCCTCTGGGGTCCAAGGTCACCCCTGGCTGTGCTGCCCAGCTGGCCCTGCCCTTCTTTCACAGGTCTGATCCCAGTTCCCAGGACTTGCTTCACTTCTTGCACCTGAGCCCTCCCTATATCAATAGTCTTCTGAGTATAGCAGGTCCTCCAGGAGAATAGCTCTGCCTTTCTCTTGCCAGATTATATTCCAAGGACTATATCCTATTCCTGCCTCCATTCAACATCCCTTAGACAACCACATACACAGCCTTATGGGCAGGAGACAATCACAGGGTATCTGGCGCTACACCCACTGGCCTATCTAATAGGCAGCTCAGTTGACTTTCTTGTGACTACTGTACTACACAGGACAGTTTCTAAGTCCAAGTTCCAGTCTCCCAGTTTACTCGAACATACTGACATTACCCAAGCCATGCCCAGACTCATCTAAGATGCAGTGTCTCCTTTCACATCCCAGGTGAAACTAGACCTCACCTCCCGTGTTTATTATTTCTACTACTTATGGTAAAATTGTTATTCTCTAAACTTATCCTTTTTTATTTCTCTTTTGTTATAAGGTTATTTTCTGAATATTTATTTCATTTGTGCATCATGATGTCAACATAACGTTAAGCTAACTTGAAAACAGGTGTTTCAAGAGTGCCTGTTATTTGAATAAACCTGGAGAAACACAGTATTTCCACTTTCCAAGAGGCCCACACTTCATGTTTACATATCCAATGGCAGCAATAATCATCACCAACATTCATGTACAATTATGCCTCCAGTCCTCTAACGGCAGTATCAACCTTCACATCAGTGGATATAATTCTAAGAGAACAGCTTTCTGTTCTTTCCAGGTGCCTTCACCTTTTTCATCCTTTTTCCTCCACCACACTTCTACTCTGTACATATGTTTAATCCCTTTTCTGTCTACTCTTTCCTTTCTTTCCCACCACTTCTAAGTAAGTTTTGGCTTAAATAAAACTAATCTTCAGAAATAGGATTTGGAAAGGCTACACAATTCACCTATAAAGTTTAAGTATCTAAATTGATTAGTTTTTTTCCCAAATTGTGTTCATAAAATCTGAACCTGGGTAATACTTTTAAAAAACAAGTGGCATCTGTGGTTAAATATGCTTGAGGAAAATGCAGCACACCATACTACCCTCCTGAAAATCCATAATGTATATGAGAGTGAGTTGTTGTATTAAAGGCCCCGAAAAGTCCTTCATCAATTGAGTTTTACCCTTTGCTTTACAAACTTATTTGAACACAGAACCTGTCCGGGGTAGAATATCTTTTGATATCTCTGGAGTACCAGATGTCTCAGAGCACAATCCAACAAACACTACCAAAGATGAAAAAAAAAAAGTTCCAATCAATAGTTACCTTCTACTCATACATTTCAGCTCTGAGCAAACATCAAATATCCCCACATCCTATGGCCAGACAGGCCCAGGTCCTTTTGTGATCTCCTTCAATTATAGATAAAGAAAATATAGATGAAAAGAAAGATGGTTCTTGGAAGAAAGGATGGCAAAATCAACATATGCCAAGAAAGGAGGGATGACCAGGAGTGTGGACTGAAAACACTTGAGAATATGGGGGTGGTCATCATAATATTGGGCTTCTCATCAACCAGCAGAAGTCTCTACCTCAACCCCAAATGAGATGTTTCCAAATCTAAAAATATTTTGCAACAGCCATCTTTCAATAAACCAGCTTATTTATAACTAGAAGAAGAAGCACAAAAATGCAAGCCCTCAACACTCCCAGCAAATCCCCTCCATACCCAGGACAATTGGCCAGGGTTCTCCAGTGTAACACTCTTGGTGCACATTCCCAACACAGAAGAATAAAGTTTTAACCAAACAACACTTACATTTTCACTAAAAACATAATTTTAACACACATTTGCAAGCTATATTTTCAATTGCGAAGAGATGTACTTATGCTAAAAACTCATTTATATGAGAAGGCACTGCAATGGGTTCAGTAACTACATGTGTGTTAACTAGGAGATTGCACAAAATATAGAAATATAGAAAATATAGAACAAAATATTGCTCTAATTTCAGGATGAGTGTTGTGCACACCAACACATGTTGAGAACAAAAATCCCAAGGTCCTAGACCTCTTATGGTAATTCTATGTCTGCTAGAACACAAAATTATAAAATTATCCCTCTGGACTAGAACTAGAAGAACTTGGAGTGTGGAGCATTAGCTGATCCTCACTTGCTCCATGGCCTTGGCTGTTCAACCTTTCCCCTAATCTCTTCATCTGTAAAATGAGGGGGTAGATTGGCTTATCACTAAGATTTCTTCCCATCTGTATTCCCAGACCCTCAGAGCTAACATGCAGGCAGGCTTTGAGGGATAGTCATGAACACATGTGAAGGAATCTGTATTGTCCTGGACTGTCACTGCCTCTGCCTTGCAGTTTGTGTTTCAAGACTCCCATCTCTCAGCAGCATGAGGGAAAGGGGAAAGCTGGCAGTAAGAAGCCAGCCATCCTACTCTCAGACCTGCTGCAGATTTCCAAGTGACCCAGATTCGCCAACCTTTAATCCACACTCCCTCTCCAATGGTGATATAGTTTGGCTGTGTCCCCACCCCAAATCTCATTTTGAATTGTAAACCCCATAATCCCATAATCCCCACATGTCAAGAGTGGGACCAGGTGGAGGTAATTGAATCATGGGGGCAGTTTCCCTTATGCTGTTCTCGTGACAATGAGTTAAGTCTCAAGAGATCTCATAGTTTTATAAGTGTCTGGCATTTCCCATACTGGCACTCATTTTCTTTCCTGCCCCACTGTGAAGAGGTATCTTCCACCATAATTGTAAGTTTCCTGAGGACCCCCAAACCGTACTGAACTGTTAGTCAATTAAACACCCTCCCTTAATAAATTACCCAGCCTCAGGTATTTCTTCAAAGCAGCGTGAGAACGGACTAATACAACCAGTTTGCACCCTTCATCCACTCTCACAGACACACAGAGGGGTCTCACACTGTTCTTCCCACTCACCCTTTATTCCAACCAAAACAAACTTGTGATGTTATTAGGGAAATGAGTTTTAATCACTCACAGACACACATACTCACATTATTAAGGAGTGGGTTTTCATTACTCACTGAGACACACACACACTCACATCGATGTAGGGGTGAGGAAAGACATTAAATTTATTTGGTGATTTAGTTTAGAAAAGTTCTTTCATGTTTTAATAAAAGTTACAAATACACATGTACTCATGCCAAAGCTGGAGTGAGGCATAAAGATGTGTTGCCCAAAATTTAATAAGAGGAATGCAAGCATTTCTTTTCATTAAAAGGAACAAGATGTGATAATAAATAATAAATAAAAACTGAGTGGTTAGAGTGGCAATCCCTTCCTGCCATCATCAGCATTTAAGTCTTCCCCTGGTGGGGAGGAGGGGGCCGGAGGGACTGTGCATTCCCCTGCTTTCAGAGAAAGCTGCAATCTTTCTCAGGGACAACATCGTAGGAATAATGAAACAATAATAAGAAATGCTACTTGTCATTACCATTTTATATTAATATTCAAATGAACCAGCATTATCTTCTGAAGCTAGAATCTGCACACACACTTTCTTCCAGTTACATAGGTCAGACTCCGCATGGTTACACATGGGTACCTGCACCAATGGGCAGAAGCTTCTCTCTCACAAGGTAGCCTTTGGAGAGGCCAGGGCTCCTTCTTTGGCTGGCACTGTAAAAGTATTGATCCTGATATGGGGAAACACTCCTTAGAAGCTCTCAAGGCTGTTTACTGATCTGTTTAATGGTAATAACAAGAGTTCCTACCTCAAAGGATTGTCATGAAGATTAAAGTAGTAAGGCAAATAAATAAGCATTTAGCTTATTTCCCAGAACAAAGAAACTCAAAATATATATTAGACCACTTGTCAATATTATTATTCTATGTGCAGTCTGGCAGTACACGTTCATTTGCCTGTAACCTTCATTGGCTCCCACCTAACCTTCATTCATTACAAAAAAAAAAAAGGAAGGTGGGGCCTGACCATAAATTGGACAGACCTCCCAGAGTGAAACCAGGCATTGCCAGGCACAGTAGGAGAACAACCTCATCAAGGAGCTCTGATTTTCCTCTAAGTCGCTCATGCTTTGTCTTCATGTTTTTCTGATCCTGACAACCGCAGGCATCCAGAAGACAAGCAAGACTTGGACAGGGCTGCAAACAGACAAGTGCCCATTCTCTTCATAGACAACACATTAGGGTTCAAAACTTATTCCTAGCAGTCTGAAATTAGGCTGCTAATTGCAAGAGGAAAGGAAAACTTACTGAATTGGGGCTGTTGGCATAATTCTTCATAGACCTCAAATTATTGTTAGATCAGATTTACACAAGATGTCTTTGTTCTATAGTGCCAATAATCGTTCCCTTCCAACTCTCTAGTTATGGGGAATATGATTATCATTTTTTATACTCAAAACCATTAATTTTTATCATTCCTTATATTGGAGGACAAAACTGAAACACAGATGACAGATAAAATATGATAGTAGAATGGGGAGTGGGGGGGTAGGGACGAGATTCCATCCCTTACAGTTGAATCCCTTCTTTGGTGTTCCTGCTCTTGCCTGACACATTGAAACAGGAAGAAAAAAGAAATGCACACATATATTTTCAACTATACCAGGACACTTCAGTCTCCACTCTGAGGCACTTTCAGGCTCCCCCACCTTCTCTCACTTCCCCAACGCCCATCCTGCAAGGCTGTCGACGGACTGATAACAAGACCAGGAATACTTACTCAGGGGAAGCTTTAAAGTACTAGTGTAAAAGGATGGAAAAAATTTGGAAATACTAACATTTTACCCCACTGGTTCCATGCTTCTCTTCTTCTTACTCCACTCAATTCACAATGCCAGACTTTTCTACATGTATTAACCTCATTAGGAAGTAATACAACAGAATGAAAAGCAAGGAAACAAGAAATCCTTTTTTGGCTGTGGGGTTTTCTAAGCCTCTGCCACCTGGGTCCTGAGACGATTCCATCCATGGTTTAGCCCGCATGGTGAATGGATTGAAGATAGGGACCCTTGCTCTCATACTACCAACACGACCACTACCACATTAGCTTAGAAAAGATTCTCCCAAGCTGAAAGAAGAGGAAAGAGACCAAAGGGAAATAATGGGAATGAATAGATGGTAGTGGGTCCAATAAAGTTGATTGTACCTTGACTTTCGAGCTGGGAAAGGGATAAAAACCCAAAATAGGTTTGTATGATCTGAGAGCAGAGGGATCTTGCCTCATTATGGTAATAGATTCCTAAGTGGCTTAGCCCTAGAGAGGAACCACTGACCACCAGAGCTAAATAGGAAGGGCAACAGAGCCTGCCAGAAATTCCCTGAGGGTGTCCCTGTGATGAGAACCAGGGTCATCTCAGGTAACCAGCATCAACTGGTGACCAAGGACAAAAATGGATCATTTTCCCTGTGATCTTGGCACATATAAGCCATCTCCACAGTTAGGTACAGCCCCAAGCATAACAGGCATAATTGACTGAGAGTAAATTACTACTGCTCATCAGCATGGGGGCTCAAAATAGAAAGAAAGTTTAATGACAGAAGAATAAAGTAAGTTACATTTCTTGCATACCTGAATGTGTATGCCAAGACTTGAACCCAATGCGTCCCAATACCATCAACTTGTACATGGAAAACGATATGAATGGGCTCCCAGGATTTAGCAACTGGGGGCCATGTGTGGTACAGCTGTTCCTTAATGGACTGGCAGCAGGAGAACACATGCCTTCTTAGAAGATCTTTCAGCCTTGATTACAAAAGACAAGCCAAAACAATAAGAGAATTGTTGTGTGGTCTAGGGGATGGTGTGGGGGAAGAAAAGAAAGAATCTGCTAATTAGAAGATGAAATCTTAGTAGTAAACAGCCAAGCTTCCAAAGTGATTCTATATTTCTAAGTTCCTACTGGCTTTTCCAGGCTTTAACACATGAATGCCCAAGTGGCTCATGGTAAAGAGAATGATTCCCAAAGCCACTTCCAGCAAATAAATAAATAAATAAATAAATAAATAAATAAATAAATAAATAAATAGCTTTGGGCAACTTGAGAAAAGGATATTGGTTGAAAAACTCTAAAACAGTTCTGTAAAATTTTTAGGGCTGAATATTATATGCCCATAAAACGGGGAGGTTGAGGGCTGGTCTGCATGTGCCTATGTAATTACTTCCAGTGACTGGTGAAACTCTGCTCCTCAAAACATGCTGTCCACAATGAGCAGACAAAGTTATAAAACTGTGACTTGGGGTCCAAGGAAGGAGCACTTCAAGTCAGGGCAAGGAAAGAAAAAGTGGTGTAGGTGGACTGGTAGGCAAAGGGAGAGAAAGAAATGGAGACGATTAAAAAATAATAATAATAACTGGAGCTAGAAAGAGAAGTGAATCTTTATTTTTTATAGCTAATAATTTATTGGATATTTTTAAATAACTAAAAGAATACAATGTTCTTAACACAAAGAAATAACTGATCACCACACATTGTATGCCTGCATCAAGACATTACATGTACCCCATAAATATGTACAACTATTATGTACCCATAATTAAAATTTTTAAAAATTAAATATTAAGATCCATAACAATAAAAACAAACAAAAATAACAAAAGCTACTACCTTGTCAATGACAAGGTACAGTCCATCAGGTTGTAGACTGTAACCATGCTCAAGTCTCTTTCAATCCAAAACTTTCTTCATCACCCTCTAAGCATCACCTTCTCCACACTAGTGCTTTATGCCTTCACAGCCAAACTTCTTGAAAGATCCACATCCCCCTCTTCACCTTCTGTGGGTTCCTCTACCTGTCCCACTCTGGTTTCTGCACCCAGACTCCACAGAAACAATCTGGTTGACGTTACCAAAGACTTCCCACTTACTATATCAGTGGATAGTTCTTAGCACCTGAGGCTTCATTCACATGAATGTATCACAACTGACGTAAACTTTAATCTCAATATCTAACTGTTTGGTTGAAAGAAAGCTGAAGGCTGTCCTGGAAGACCCCCTGTGAAAGTTCTGCATAAGTAAGGGATATCTCACCTCCAAGCTAGTTTCTGCCACCTATACTGCTGCTGCTTTGCCTTCTCCCAGGGAGTGGTCCTACCCGTACCAACCCTGTGAGAGCTACTCTGCCGCAGTCCACTGGGCTCCAGAACATTCACAGACCGCTCACCTCCCCAGACCACCCACCATTGCTTACCCTTTCCTTCTCTAATTTATAAGGAAGCTCCCTCTGCTTCTTACAAGCAGTTCTACCATTGCAAGCAGATGCATTCCTAAAAACACATTTCTTTCCCTTTTAAAAGAGCCAAGATCTTTCCAGGGCACTGAAAAATTTTATATATTGGAGATGTGGTGTGAGGCTGAAGGCACAACCAGGAAGGGCAACCACAGATACACCATATTTGGAGCTTCTACTACTGGTACAAAAGCTCATATTTATTGAACTCTTGCTGTATGCCGGACATTCTTCCTCATGCTTATTATCCCCATTTTACATATGAGGAAACAAAAGCCCAGGTCCCATTTGTTCCTATCCATGTGAAGCCATAACCCACTCCATCATTCAAATATTTTCTTTTCCCCCAGTCAAGAATCACTTCATCTGGACTCATCTGAAGATCCCTTATGTTTAAACCCCCATGATCCAGGTTCAAGTTTCCTCCCACAGGGTCCTCAAGTCGCATGCACCTGAGGGCATGCTGCCCTCAGTGAGAGACTTGGTGCTTTCACTGCTCTGTGGTGGTACAGACATTCTCTAGAACAATTAGGAAATGTGGCAGGCAAGCCAGAACACTCGGAAATATGTAGCTTCTGTGCCACAGTGATTCTTCTCTCTAACTTGGCCAAAATGCCCGTGTGCTGATTTCATCTCTCTGCAGTAGCTGTGGACCCCAGGGGACTTTCTCAAAACTCTCTGTCTTTTGGTTTCCAATACACCCCCTGATACCTATTCCCCCTCCCTCTTCCATGGAAGCCCCTTCTTAGTTGATTTTAGAGACCCCTAGCTCAACATATCCAAAAACAAACTGGCTCCCCATTTGCTTTTCCTTTTCCTACATTTTCCACCTTGGCACCACCATCCACTCAGTCAATCAAACAGAACTCCTCTTTTCCCCATCTCCTTATTTATTCGAACAAAGTTTCTTAGCACTTACAGCTATAAATGAGAAACAAAGCAATATAATTTATGTTAAATCTTTTCTCATTACAGCAATAATTACTATTCATCCACAGACACAAGAACTACTTTGGGGTTGGGGGAGCCACATTTATCTCCTTAAAATACACATTTCCCAAGTATTTGTTTTTACTAGTGATTAACCAACATCTAAAAATATTGTTTTGATCAATTGTAGAAGAGTAATCATTGCAAATGATAACTCAACTGAGAAGCGATTTTTAACGCTTTATAACTTAGGTTAGTTTCAATGCTGATATCCTGTTTGTGAGATTGTACTATTGTTTTACAAGATGCTACCGTTAGGGGAAATGGGTAAAGGTTATACAGAATGTTTTTGTATTGTTTCTTACAATTACATGTGAATGTATAATATCTCAAAATAAAAAGTCTAGTTTAACAAAACGTGATCACAAAAGAGTTGTTGTATTCAAGTTTTTAGCTGAGAAATAGGTAACCAACTAGACTGAAAAAATATATGTATATGTTACAATAGTATAAAATTCTATAGAAGTGAAATAGAAACACAAATTTACAGAGACAAAAAAAAATGAACACTCGCTATTTATAAAACCAAACTCATCCACATCATCTCCAACCAACTCCTCCTCCAAACTTCCATAATGTTACTGAAGATTTAGCTTTATCTCAGACTATTCAAGTGCAGTCACTTGGAGGCATCTTTTATTTTGCCTTTATCTGTATTGCATAAGTATTGAAGAGTCTATCTCCAAATTTTTCTGTTATGTTTATCCTTTTGATTTTTACACTAATTTAGACCCGATTACTTTTAATGTCTTACCCAGTATCCATTCCTTCTATACTTCCTTCTTTTCTCAGAGTCATATGCTTGAAAAGTCAGAAAGCTCTAGGGGCCACATAATCTCTTTCCAAGTGAGAAAATCCACACAAATCTATGGAGTCCCTATTGAACATCAGGCATTTGCTAGGTTTAGAGATCTATAGTGGGCCATAGGAATTGCTTTACTCAACTCCAGTACATCTCTATTTATGCAACTCAACCACTCTCCTTTCACTCTTTGTCTCTTTCTACTTTTGCTAATGACTTCTGCTAATGTACTTCTCTCTGACTTCTGAGTCATTTGCTCAATACCTTTCCCACATTTCAAGTTTCATTTCCTGATATTATCTCGCTGGCCTGGTCATTATTTTTCCCCCTTGCTCAGAGTTTTGCACCAGCCTTCCTTGCAGACAACTGCTTAGCACATAGACCAGCTGCCCTTGGGTCAAGTGGCTGCTGGTTTCATGCCCTGTGAAAAGAGAAGGGGGTTGCAAAGCTTAGAAGATGGTCTCCTATGCTTATTGAATTGCTTTAATAAACATTATATTAGATCAATTTCCTTCATTGTACAAAGAGTATGTTTAATAAGGTACCCACTTTCATAACAGAAAAATGATAGTATCACTAAATCTAGAGAAGAAGCAAGTTGCAACATGTTAATTTTGGGGTATTTGGGGGTATTTGAGATGAGACACCTGTTAAGTAGTTGGAAACATGGATGTAGATCTTAGGAGACGGGTTTAGTCATTCAAACTAGAGAAACACATTTGAGAGTTATCAGGATGTAGGTTGATGGCATCACACATAAAGGAGATTAGTCTACGTGACCATAGAGAACGTCTTGAATGTTGGGTCAAGGATAAAACTCAGGGAACGTCAGAAGAACAACTCAGTAAGAAGATTGAAAGAGTCAGTCAGAGGAGTATGAGAAAATCAAAATTTATGTTTACCATGAGAGTGCAGGAGTTTCCAACCTATCTTTCTATCTTCTTTTTCCTGTTCCATATATATAAATATATGTATATATTCCAATGTTTTAGTCAGTTAGACCTCCAACTCTTACCTAATAATTTCTCATGCTTCATACAACCTATTCTTTCCTTGTGCTCACAATTCTCTTCTTCAAATCTCTACCGATCAAAATCAATTTTATCTTTCAAGATACATTCTGTATATATTTTTTTAGTTTATTTTACATTTTTAACATACACACATTTATATACTTTTCTCCTCCTTTTACTGGATTTTAGGCTTTTGAGAACCTAGACAGTGTTTTTATTATTGCATCTCTTCTGATAGTACTTAGTAGGCATATGAGAAATAAAGTTTTTATTCCTAGCAGTGTCATTGATTCTGCCTACATCACTATTTGCTTCTCCTGCCATTTTGCTTTCCTCTTACTGGCCTGACTCCCAGCAGGAAAAAAAAAAAAATATTTGAAATGTAAACATATTAGCACTTTTTCCAGAAACAGATAGTAAAGGAAAAACATTACAAAAAGAAAAACAGGCTTCTTAGGCTGATGTTTAACAGTAATAGAAGAGGTGGTATTTTGTTTTCTCATATACATTAAATTGCTGTAAGATTTGGCAAGAACAATAAAAACTTTCCATGCTCCTTTAAAAAAAAAAAAGTAAATGACCATGATTTTTTTTAAATAAATGATGGTGATTTTCAAATTGGTATGGTACAGAGAAGACACTTACGAAAGTAAATTTAAGATTTATTTTTAAATGATAGTAGTTTAAAATAAAATTATATGCCCCAATTACTCTCTTTGCTACTATTAAACCTATTATTGGATGTTTAGGTGTTACTCTAAGAATGTGTGGTTTGCTGAGTATTTTGAGTCTCTTCACAGGTACGAGAGAAAAAGTAATTTTGAAGAGCACTGCTGTGGTCATGCAAAGCACACCCACTTCTAAGTGTGTGCTGAACCCTGCCATCTGCCAGTTCTTCCACTCTGGAATGCTCTCCTGTGTCTGCCAAGCAAACTCCTGCTTATCCTTCAATTCCCATCTCAAGCTTCAGCCCCTCTGGAAACTCTTCGTTAATGCTTTCAGCACAATTAGGCACTTTCCTTTCCATGTTACTGCCTAACTTCATGTATGTTGCCATCACATAGTATTACAAATCTGTATGACATATCTGTCTCCCAATCATGCTGTGCACCCCTTAAGGGCAGACTGTTTTCATTATTCTATCTATGGCATTGCCACAAAACACAGTCAAGTTTTTCTTTGAATGAATCAATGACAATGAGTATGGTATCCAATGAATCAATGACAATGAGTATGGTACCAAGACAATGAGTATGGTATCCAAGTTTTTCTTTGAATGAATCGATGACAATGAGTATGGTATCCAATGAGTAAGGTATCCAATGACAATGAGTATGGTATCAATGACAATGAGTATGGTATCCAAGGTATAAAAGGGCTGGTTTACGACTAACTTAAGTGTTCTGCTTTTAAAGATATGTTTTCAATTCAGGCATTGTTTACCATGGCTAAAAATGTTCAAACTACTGAATATTAGAGCTCAAGAGGATCCCACTCATTGATCCACCTGTAAAAAGATTTTTCTTTGTG
The DNA here is from genome assembly GCF_000001405.40 of Homo sapiens. Lineage (NCBI taxonomy): Eukaryota > Metazoa > Chordata > Mammalia > Primates > Hominidae > Homo > Homo sapiens. The sequence goes on along the minus strand of NC_000001.11, from coordinate 176,677,472 downwards.
TTAACACAGCATTGAAAGCACAAAATCATACGAAAGGGCAGAAATGGTGTTGATGGCAAATCAAGATGACAAATTACCTTGGTCTTTCCACATAGTGACTTAAGCCATTGATAGTCAGAAATTGGATTCAGTCTTCAAACTTCCAGGCTAGTGTGCTTATCTGCTAGTCCACTCAGCAGACCCTGAAAATGTAGGGCCTTTACATGCTGACACAAACAGATAATTTCATCTTGAGTCTCAAAAAGGCTCTATTTAGAAAATTCTGAATGTCTTCCTCTATCACGTTATGCCAGCTATCTGTACTACTCTACACCTGATTTTAGTCAATACAGTTCCTTTGTTTAATCAGTTATGATTGAACAAGAAGAAATAAATAAGAACACAAACAATTTCCTATTGAATCATATCTGTGAGCTGTTCAGTCTAGTTTTTTACTTCTGAAAAGCACATTAATAATCATGTTGTAGGGTAGTACAGTTATTTCTCAAAGGATTAAGAATAAAATATAAATATCCCTTGTTTCTTTTGCAATTCCATTATAAGTCAGTGATTCATGAGACAATTTAAGCATTTCTTGAAACCATTTAAATTTGATACATTTACTCAACTATACCTTCATTCAATGATCACTCACAGAGCACCTGCTATATGCAAAATACCTTGCTTATTTATAGAGATCATAGATGTCTATCAGATTTCACCAGTTTTTACATGCAGTTGTGTGTGTGTGTGTGTGTGTGTAGTTGTATGCAATTTATCACATATATACATTTGTGTAATCACCACCACAGTCAAGATACTGAACTGTTCTATCACTATTAACATGTCCCACCTGCTATCCTTTATGTCACACATACATCTATACTTTTCTCAACCTCCAACCATGTAGTGCTTCCTCATTCTTAAACCCTGGAAATCACTAGTTTGTTCTTTATCTCTAGAATTTTACCATTTTGAGAATACTGCAAATGTGAAATGTTACACCATGTAAGTTTTGAGATTGGCTTTTTTTTTTTCACTTAGCATAATGCCCTTGAGATCCATCCAAGTTGGTGCATGCATTAATACTTCGTTGAGTAGTATTTCATTGTGTCGATGTACACAGTTTAAGCAATCGGCACTGAAGGACACTTTTGCCATTTCCAGTTTGGGGCTACTATATAGAAAATAGAAAGCTGCTATGAAGATTCATTCATGTACAGGTTTTTTAAGTGGACATATATTTTAATTTCTCTAGGATTAATGACCAGGAGTCCAATTACTGGATCATATGGCAAGTGTATGTTTAGTTTTATTGAAAATTGCTGAAGTATTCTCGAGTGGCTGTGCCATTTCACTTTCCCACCATCAATGTATGAGAGATCCCATTTTTCTGTATCCTTACCAGGATTTAGTATTGTCATTATTTTTTATTTTAGCTCTTCTGATGGGTTTGTAGTGTTACCTTGCTGTGGTTTCATTTGCACTTCTCTAATGATTAATTTTATTGAACATTGTTTCATAGATTTATTTTCCATCTGTATATCATCTGTAGTAAAATGTCTGTTCACGCCTTTGCCTATTTCTAACTGAAATATTTTTGTTTGTTTTACTGTTGAGTTTTGAGAGTTCCGTATATCTTCTAAATACAAGTCAGTTGCCAGATTCGTGTTTTGTAAATATTTCCTATTCACCTTGTTTGCAGTTTATAAAATATCTAGAATCTGTGGTTTGATATCTTTTGTCAGTTTGCAAGATTCTCGGCCATTATCTCTTTGAATATTGTTTCTGCCAACAATTTGTTTGTCTTCTTCTAGAACTCTAATTTACAATAGAAATTTTTCATGGAGTCTTAAATGTTTCCTAAGATCTCTTCTATATTTTCACAGCACTTTATTTTTCAGAGCTTCAGTTTGTAAATTTTCTACAATGGTCTAGTTCTTAAATTCTTTCTTCTGTTCATAAACCCATCTATTCATTTCTTAATTTTTCTTACTGGTATCTATTTTTAGTTCTAAAATTTCCATTTGATCCCCTATTAGAGATTCCAGTTCTCTGAAGAAACTATGCATTTTCATCTATTTTTACATATTAATCATAATTAAAGCCAGTGCCCAATAATGCCAATACCTGGATAATTTTTATTGTGTATGATTTGTTTGTTTGGTTTATCATCATTTGACCCTGTCTCCTGAAATAGTTGATATTTCTTTATTGATTGCTAGACACTGTGCATGAACAATCATAGAGGCTTTTGATTATGTCTTTCTCCAAAGAATATTTAACTTTCTTTTGCTAGGCAGTTAGAATAGAGGCAGATAAACTTCCTCCAAACAAGGATTAAGAGTGTTTCAGGAGGAAACATAAAAATTCTAGAAGATAACACTGGAAAAACTCTAGACATTGGCTTAGGCAAAGAGTTCATGACCAAGAACCCAAAAGCAAATGCAACAAAAACAAAGAAAAATAGATGGAATGCATATCAAAACCACAATGAGATACCACATTACTCCTGCAAGAAAGGCCATAATTTTTTTAAAAAATCAAAAAATAATAGATGTTGATGTGGCTGTGGTGAAAAGGGAACACTTTCACACTGCTGGTGTGAATGTAAACTAGCACAACTACTATGAAAAAACAGTATGGAGATCCCTTAAGAACTAAAAGTAGATTTACCTTTTGATCCAGCAATCCCACTACTGGGTATCTACCCAAAGGAAAAGAAGTCACTATATGGAGAAAAGAAAAAAAAAAAAAAACACTTGCACACATGTTTATAGCAGCACAATTCACAATTGCAGCAATATGGAACCAGTCCAAACGTCCATTAATCAATGAGTGGAAAAAGAAAATACAGTATATGTGTATACCATAGAATACTACTCAGCCATAAAAAGGAATAAAATAATGGCATTTGCAGCAACCTAGATGGAGCTGGAGAACATTATTCTAAGTGAAGTAACTCAGGAATGGGAAACCAAACATCACATATTATCACTTATAAGTGGGAGCTAAACTATTAGGATGTAAAGACATAAGAATGATACAATAGAACTTTGGGGACTCAGGAGGAAGTGTGGGAGCAGGGCAAGGGATAAAAGACTATACACTGGTACAGTGTACACTGCTTGGGTGATGGGTACACCAAAATCTCAGAAGTCATCACTAAAAAATTTGTCCATGTAACCAAACACCACCTGTTCCCCAAAAAACTATTGAAATGTTTTTAAAAGAGTGTTTCAGGCTGGATTTTAGGCTTTGTATAAGCTGTACTACTTCTGTTTACCCTTGCACAGAGGGTGTCTCAGAGCCCCTCCTCCTTGACAAGGCCTCAACTCCCAATTTTGTCTCTTCTGTTATGAGACTCCTAAAATCACTGTTCAGCTTTTTAATCTCTTAGAAGTTATTTTCTATGTGTTTTCTTGCCCAGTGTCCCTGAGAATGTGAGTTTAGTAAATAACAAATATCTTAAAAGAAAATCACAAGCAGAAAATCAGTCTTACTTTTTGTGATTTCCATTTCTCTAGGATCCTGGTCTCTCAAGTTTTAGTTGCCCTGAAAACCTGAACTCTAATTTTTGTCTTGAGACCAAAGCAAGCTCTAGGCTGCTGCTCTCTGCTCTGCCTCTATGTCTTCCACTGAGAATGTGGCAATTTCCCTGAAAGGAAAAAGACTAAGTTATATACAGGACTCACTTCAATGCATTTTTCTTCTTTCAGGGATTGGACTCCTCATGTCCTTGTTGCCTTAGCCAGTCTGATGTCTTCAAATAAATAATTTTTAAAGTATTTTATCCATTTTTATAGTTGAATGAGTCTTGCTAATGCCCAATTCTAATAAAGTTAGAAAACATTCAATAGTATGCCCCAGCCCAACAATTCTTATCAAGAAGTCATGATTTGTCTCCATAATGGCCAGGAAGATAATTTTTAAGGTCTTTTAACCAAATAGATTCAGTTCCTATTGATAGACCTGGGCCTCATGGAAGCCACTGCTGGGTAAACCTTGCTATCAGGACCTCCACAGACATACACCAGAAAGGTTATTCTTGGTGATGGGAGTGTGCATCAAGTTGGAGATATTTTCTTACAGTGTTATATATCCCCTCTGCTACTGTTGCTTTTGATTAGCATAACTCAAAACACCCATACTCACTATTAAATGGACTACAGGAACAGGAATATGACTTTCTAGTCCACCCATTGCTACCAGGAAGGCTAGAATGAAACACACTAGCTTTCATCTGGAAAGCACAGAGGTGTCTCCAGTTTACCCGACCATCTTGGAAATGTATGACTGAAATCTACAGCCCCTTTCTGTCAGCTGTATCAAAAATCCTTTGGAACTGTTCCTGAAACCAATAGCCATGAAGTGCAGGCTATGACTTACAAATTTGTTTTCTGACAGGCCCAACAAAATGTCTCATCCCACCCAGAAACCTCTCTTTCCCTAGTTTTTCACTCGTAGTAATTGTAGATAAATCTGAATGCCTTCTTTGGTTTATACTGGATCCCTGAAAATATCAGGTCCTTACTTGAGGAACCTGATAATATGTTATCAACACATGCAATGCTCTTGCCTTGGTAGCCTCAGGCCACCACTAACATCACAAATTTCTGATTTCTCATGTACTGAGAACTAAAAATACAGTTTAGTGATAAAAGGACTGCAGGGCTTTAAAACTGAATCAGGTACTATAGAGCCAATGAAACCCAGCTATGCACGCTGGCAAAGCATTTAATTTGGATCCTTACATGTTTAATTTGTTATGCATATATGTGTATATATACATTTGCATATAGCCTCCATTTTCTGGTATATATAACCCTTTTGGATCTCAATCTGATTCACTCTGTGGATTTTCATCACTGTTTCACACTTGAACAGCATTGAACAGCAATCTTTTCTTTTTTTTTTTGGTCTATCGCTAACACATTGCTCATCTTCCTCCTTCCCCAATCTACAACACTGGTTATCTTTTGAATACTTGCTCATATTGTCTATGATTGTCAATTCGATATGTTCTAGACTTCACTATGACCAGGTGCTTGACATATACAGCATTATGTTCTATTTCTTTAATTTATTCCTCTCTGCTTCTTATTTGATTACTAGGAAGACCAACTTTGCAGTACCTTTTAAAAATCATTTATAAAATTCTTTCCAGTCAGTCTAACTATTCTTTTTCCAACATAAAATATTACTCTCAATTTTGGTAACTTATTTTAAAATAAATTTTTATAGAATGCTATCTAGAACATTTTGGAAATGTATACTAATTATGTTCATTAATTACTCTTTATCCATATGTTTATAAAACGGATGTAATCCCTCTTCTTGCTTGGTCAGTAAGATTTCCCTTTATAATAATAAGACGTTGTAAAAAGGATTGTCTTTCTTTTTTTTATTTTTTATTTTTTTATTTTATTATTATTATACTTTAAGTTTTAGGGTACATGTGCACAATGTGCAGGTTAGTTACATATGTATACATGTGCCATGCTGGTGTGCTGCACCCATTAACTCGTCATTTAGCGTTAGGTATATCTCCTAAAGCTATCCCTCCCCCCTCCCCCCACCCCACAACAGTCCCCAGAGTGTGATGTTCCCCTTCCTGTGTCCATGTGTTCTCATTGTTCAATTCCCACCTATGAGTGAGAAGATGTGGTGTTTGATTTTTTGTTCTTGCGATAGTTTACTGAGAATGATGATTTCCAATTTCATCCATGTCCCTACAAAGGACATGAACTCATCATTTTTTATGGCTGCATAGTATTCCATGGTGTATATGTGCCACACTTTCTTAATCCAGTCTATCATTGTTGGACATTTGGGTTGATTCCAAGTCTTTGCTATTGTGAATAGGATTGTCTTTCTTAAGTGTTCAGTAGTTGCACTTTGTGTTAAGGTATCCACTCTTTTCCCCGGTGAGCAGGCAAGCCCCACCTTTTGAATTTCCTGGGATTTTTCTCAGGAGTCCACACCATACAAGAAGCCCATCAGTCTTCTAGAACAGTGATCATGTAAAGCAGGTTTCACAGTCCAGCCACCTTCTGGATATTTTGATAGTTCCCCACTTGGGGCTCTGCAAGACTTAAAATGATCTTATTCTATGCCAGCAATTTATTTGCATCTAAATTATAGATTCAGTCTAGAACATCCTGAGCATTTGCCACTGTTTGTTCTAATACCTCTTACTTGTCTATATTGAAACATTTTGACAGGCTCTACTAAGTGCCATTCTCAGCACAAAGCAGTTAATTCACTGTGTAAATTCACTTTTTCTCTGTCTTTCTTTTTTCCCCAAACTTACTTTCGCAAGCTTCCTTCAGCCTTCTTTGTTTTTTTCCTACTATGTTTGGTCTTCATTTCACTTACCCAGGTGAGTGACAGCGTCCTTGTCCCAAGGCCAGGTGGCAGCACCTGCAAGGTCTTCCCGCACTGAGCTGGCAAAGTAGATGTTGAGGAAGTGAGTACTGTTCAGCTGCAGGGCCTCCTTCAGCTCCTTCACACTCATGTATGCCCTAGAGAGCATGCAAGATGAAAAAATGTCACAGCAAAGAATTGGTACTTAGAGAATAGCAGAGCCAGACCTAATCAGATTCTAATGGCACTCCCAGCCAGCATTACCTTTTGGAGGGGCATGGGGCAGAGACCAGCCTGTCATGAAGACCAGAAGAAAAGGCACTAATACACATTTGGGATGCTTATTCCAATAAATAGTATAATGACTTTTTAAAACACTAAAATGTTTGTATGGATACTCCATATTTGACATCATACTCAATTCCCCACCCTATGCCCAGGTTATTTCTTCAAGATAAATCTAATGATACCATGAATTCTTTGCCTTGAGAATTATTCTCAGGCCATAGTGAAGAAGGCCTTCCAACTCTTAGTTTCTTTTCCTTCCATCACACTGCATGATCCTTGAATTCCAGTTCAATCTCTTTTCCAGTATATGCCTACTTCAAGCATTATTTTTAAAAGAAAAAAGGAAATAGAGGATAGAAAACATAAAGTAAAAGAGGAAAATATGAGATGAGTTATAAGCAGGGAAGGACATAATAAAGCTACTGCAAGGCATAACAATTGTATAGACATCTCTCTTTATACTCCCTTAATCCATGGAAACTCTACCCTACTCCAATTACTTTATGATACCTAGTATGTTTATTGGTGACTTTGAAAGCACTAGGAAATATTATGTTTGCATTGATGCACAGAATTAAAGGTCTATTAAAAACACATGACTTGTGGCTTATAAAAAAGGAAACAAACATTTGGTCTGTTTCTAAACTCATATATAGTCAAAGATCTTTAGCTTCTCAGCATCAGTGAAACTTAAAACTTTACCATAAGCAAACAGGGCCTTGCTGTTCTCACTGAAGTGTTTTTTAAGAAGGAACAACCAAACCAGAGCTCAATGGTCCCTTAGACTTACTAGATGCTCCCCACAGTGGCCGTGGTCTGCCATTCCAGAGATAGGAATGTTCCTATCACAGCGTCAGCTGGGCAGACAGCCTGGCAACATAGGTTGGAAATTTCCTTTACTGATTATGCTTTGTTGATGCTATTCTAGTAGACAAGCTGCAGACATTGAAATCTACCACCCTAGAAGCTCATGTTAGGACAGCATGACCCTTCCCCTCTAGCTTGCTCTGCCTCCTGATTGTTGATGCCATCTATTTCATCCAAGTGTAGGATGTGCTGGCAAAAAGCACCTGAGAAAGGGCGATCCCAAAGATTGTTTATTTATTTTTTGGAACAGAACCAAAAACAGGAATAAAAGGAAAGACAAAAAAAGATCTTGCTTTAGAAACAAAGATGTTTAGGAGAAAAGGGCTTTTAAAATACTATCTTTTACTGACTTATAATATCTTGGAAAACTAGCTCTCAGCCACAAGAAATCACCCAAACTCCATGAGATGATATCATATGTGATCAGGGGGATAGTTCTCCTGCTGCTTTCCTGAAGACACAATGTTTTCTGAGTTGTTGCCTGGTTTTCCCAAGATATTAGTCACATTCTCCTTATTTTCTCCTTTATTATAAATAACTATAATTTCCTTTATTGATAAATTGATGGTTTGGGGGTGATGATGATATCAAGTGAGTCTTCAACATGGAGATGTTTCAATAGGCCAGAAGAGAGAGAAGGGAAGAGAAAAGAGAATGAAGGAAATGAAAAGAAAAAGAAAGAGAAGAAAAGAAAAGAAGGGGGAAGAGAGAATCAGAGACTGAGCATGGGCTCAGCTCAGGGTACCAAGGAAGAAAAGCCACATCCTTTCTCTGTTGCTATTCTTGGGTTCCAATTAAAATTGGGAGTTGGTAACTTGACAGCTTTCTCTCTCTTCTCCTCAGGCACTTCTCCAACCTCCCTGCTCCTGACATGGCTTACTTGGGCTATCTGTGTGTTACTGGCTTCTCTGCCTGCCATCTACCAGTCTTGGACACCATCCTCCCATCCTCCCTCAACCCACCAGTTCCACTAATTTATCTTGAGCACCCTCCGAGGGGCCTCCTCCTCCACACCAACCTCATTAGCTGGTTCTCCTCATCTCCCTTTTCTTCCTTGTCCAATCTTCTCTCCACGCATAAATTACCCTTCCAGATGACAGTATTTATGTCATGCTGGTGGCAAACTGGGTATGGTTACTCAGACTCCTGTACTTCCCAGAGATACAGATATATGTCGTCAAGTATAAGGGAGAGAATATATTTTAAAAAGCTAGAAAGAGTCATTAATTGAATTGATAGAAGAAACCCTTATTTTGCTGGAAACAAAGACCACTATCCAGACTTTTCTCTAAACCAACGAGAGTAAACACATAGAGGTCACTGTGTCTGCTTTACATGCAGAATGCTCTGTCTATTGCAACACAGGTAACCATTTCAAAAGTTAATCGGAGCTAATGAAGATATTGTCTTAGCTTCTCAACCAATATGACCAGAATCTGGTTCATAGGCTTAGGATGAGGAAAAAAAATGGATATTATTTTCAAATTTAGAGCTTAGCACCTTGCTTCAGAAATGATTAAGAGATAGACTTGCCATTCAAATTAGCTTAATATTCAAGGGAAGCTAGAATGCCATACATAAATGCAGTGAAACGCAAAAGGGGCATGCATTGACCAGAACTTTGTATTAAAAGGGGATGAACTGCATTAACCTGCTTAATTTCTGCCAGGATCTACCTTTCCTCATGCTCTCTATGCTCTAGATAAGGATACTCACCTATATGTATCCCTGAAGGACTCAGAGTGACCGAAGTTATATCTTGGTTTTTATAAAAATCGTCTCAGAAACAGGCTGTCCTTGGAGCTGACATATCAAGCTGTTCTGCCCCATTGCTCAAGCTTGTTAGTTCTGACATGCCCCGTGGAGAGTACACATCTGCTTCACCATTCTATGACCATCACCTACTAGTTTGGGATTAGCCATTGCCAGGTTTCCAGTCTACCGTGTTTCATTGCCTCCCAGCCTTAGTGCATTCTCTCTGGCTTCTGCCATGCCCCGACAGCTGGCTCTCCAGCCACATCCCAGTATCTAAATGTACACGCAAACTTCAACTACTGCTTGGTTCCCAACTAAACAAAGTAAAAGTGTAGGAAAAGTGATTCTTTGTGCTGTAGTTTATTAGTCAGTTAAATAGCCTTATTGTAGATTGATAGGAATTATTCAAGAAGGAAGCCAGAAATAAGAAAAAGATCTTGAGCTGTCTGCTGTCTGAAGGAAGTTGAATCAGTATCAAAAATTGGCATGTAGAAAACAAGACATAAAGGATGGATGTGCACCTTGAGACTGGGACCCACAGCCCCACTTCCCACAGTCAGAGCAAACCCACTCCAGAGGAGGAGCCTGACTGCACTGCCTCTTCCTTCAAGGGAATATCACCTTTGACCTGATCCCTCTCCCCATTCACTGGGCCCACACCTTGGGACTTGTGGGCCCCCGGAAGCACCAACTAGCATTCTCCAGGTTGTTCGGTGCAACCTCAAACACATAGTTTTCTCTGCTCCTGTAAAATTCCTTTTGCTCTTAGGTGCATGGAACTCTACTCATTCCCATATACTCCCCACTTCCTTTCATTTTTCTGTTTTCTGGTTACTCTGTAAAGAGCTCCAGCCCCTGATTCCTGGGCTCTCCCCTTACTCCACCTCTTATCATCGCCTGAGGAATTTCAACATTTGTGTGAAGCATCCACTGAAAACACAGTCTTATTCTTTTTTTTTCTTTTTTTTTTTGAGACCGAGTTTTGCTTTTGTGGCCCAAGCTGGAGTTCAGTGGCGTGATCTCAGCTCAACACAACCTCCACCTCCCTGGTTCAAGCGATTCTCCTGCCTCAGCCTTCCTGAGTAGCTGGGATTACAGGCATGTGCCACCATGCCCAGCTAATTTTGTATTTTTAGTAGAGACAGGGTTTCTCCATGTTGGTCAGGCTCGTCTTGAACTCCTGACCTCAGATGATCTGCCCGCCTCGGCCTCCCAAAGTGCTGGGATTACAGGCGTGAGCCACGGTACCCGGCCAACACAGTCTTATTCTTGACTTCCCTATTTCTAATAATCTTCACTCACTTCCCTTTGCTCATCCATTCTCATTGTCACCCTTATTCAGATGTATTTGTTTCTTTTTCATTTCCAATCTCATTAAGATTTTCAGTTCCACTTGTCTGTACTTTTAATTGTTTATGGCCATCTCCTCTCCAGGGGTAATTTGAAATTTTCAATATTCTTCTTTTGCTCCTCTCACCTCAATTTCCTATCTTCATGACTCTTAGTAGATGCTCATACCTCCTTCTTTGATGATATAATCAAGCCCATTCATCATGAACTCTATCACTGGGTCACTGGGTCTCTCTCTTTCTCTCTCTCTCTCTCTCTCACACACACACACACACACACACACACACACACACACACACACACACATATATATTTACTTCCTTACCTATTTGTATTCCCTTTTCCCGATCCCACAAGATGAGGTTTTCTGAGAAAATCCTAGCTAACACCCTCTCATTTTTCTTCTTCCTTTCCAATTCAGACTTCTTAAAGGAATAATTTTTTCATCTCCCATTCACTTTTTTTCCATGTACCTCCTAATCCCATTATAATCTGGCTTTCGTCTGTACCACTTTATCAAAATTGCTTTCATTAAAGTTGTCATTGACTGCTTAAGTTTCTCTGCCCAGGAAATTTTTTTAAAAAATCATTCTCTTATTGGAACCTCTTGTTGCATTTTTATATTATTAGTTATTTCTCCTTCCTAAAACTCTCTACTTTCTTTGCTTTCATTGCAGTGCTCTTTCCTGGTTCTCCTCCTGCTTTAGAGACCAACGATTCTCAGTCTCCATTGTGAGTTCCTCTTTTCAGTTCTAATTTTTAAAAGTTATTTCCCAGGGTTCTGTTTGTGGTCCATTCTTTTCTCACTCTCCATGCTCACCATTGGGAGCCCTTCTATTCTTAAACTTCAAAGCACTGTCACTATTCGAACAACTCCCCAACATAAATGTAACTACTCCTACCTCTCCTCTAAGATTAGATTCTTATTCTTTTCCTAGCAATTCAATATTTCTACCTGGTTTGTGCACAGAAACCTTGAAGTCAGCATGTCAATGTAATTGGTGGTTCTATTTGAGTACAAAAGAAACTCAGACAAAGTGAATTTCAATGCATCTGAAATAATGTTCCAGCTGGTGAATCTGTTGACTTGTTTTTCTATGAGTAGATTTGCAAGAAGGGTTGAGTTTCGGTTAAATACAGAGAAAGTATATGCCTGTGTCCATGGAAAGATTTAAAAATCAAGGACAAGAGAAGGAACACATTGGCATTTTGTCCTCTACCTAATCTTACAAACTGGATTTTGAGCTTTTTAGGAAGAAACTAAACTTCATAAAAAAAATTTGTAAATCCAGGATAGACAAGCAGTTCTACTTTAAGTCCTAATAACAAAACAAAGTACTGATGAGGATAAGGGCCGCTTTCTCCATTTCTGGCAAGAATTAAGGGACGTCAGCACCATTCTGGCCCTTGAGAGTTTTACAGCCTTGGATTGCATCAGGCGCCAACTCTCTAAGGCCAGCTTTTCCCCAGAGAAATAGGGCAGAGAATCATCTGGAAATGCTGAGTGTCCACAGACAAGATAAATACCATTGCCAGTGTCCAATGGTAAATAGCAGGAGAGCCACAGAACTGGTGGGCATGAATTGTAAAGGCACACCCTTCTGGAGACTACAAAAGGTACATTGTATGAGGATAAGATTTTATAGTTACATATTGAGCTAATGTAATTTGATTGTTAATGGTAGTATGAGCTCATTCATGCCCACAGCATTATGTGGACTGCGGATATTCAGTTTATCTCTAAGAAAATGCTCACAATCTTCCCCACACCCATTTCTCCTCCCTGGTCCCTCTCTGAATTGGTGTCACTTCTAATACTCTTTCTATGACACAAGTAGAAAACGCAGAATTCCTCCCTCATTCCTTGCTCTCCTTCACTCCACCCCCTCAGTACAATCAACCAACTGCTGATGACCCCAGAAAGAAGAGACATAGTGGTGAATATTGTTTCCCTTCTGAAGGCCACACAAGAGACCAGACATAATTATTACCAGAACATCATCAACCAGGAATATATCTGTTTCTTGAAATTCAAATATGGAAAACCTGACAAGACATTATACACAAAACATTAACTCACGTTTGCTAATTCATGTGGAAATGAATATTACTAGAAGCAAAATGGAATTTTCTCTAGAAATATTTGTGTTGTAAGAACTTGAGGTTGAAATAAAAGAAATAATCAGAGACTGAAAGGACTTAAAGTCTAGTGTCATAATATTTTAAGGTAGTCAGTATAATGCCCTCAAGGATGTCCGTGTCCTAGTCCCTGGAAGCTGGGAATATGTCATCTTACATGGCAAAAAGGACTGTTTAGATTTGACTAAAAGTACAGGCTTTGAGACGAGGAGATTATTCTGGATTATCCCAGTGGACCCAATCTAATCATACAAGTACTTAAAAGCAAAGAACTTTTCCTATGTGTCATCAGAGAAAGAGATACAGTGATGGAAACAGGATCAGAGACAGCTACAATGCAGGCTTTGAAGAAGGAGGAAGGGGCCCAAAGCCAAGGAATTCAGGCAGCCTTCAGAAACTGGACAAAGCAAAGCAGTAGATCGTCCTCTAGAACTTCCACAAAGGCATGCAGCCTTGTTGACATCCTGATCTTAGCCTAGTGAGATTTATGTTAAACTTCTGACCTACAGAAGTACAATACATTCATGTTATCTTAAGTCACTATGCTTGCAATAACTTATTACAGCAAGAATCAAAAACTAATACATCTCTTTTCACTTCAAAGTAATACCACTGGAAAATAAAAGAGCATAAAGAGAGTGAACATCTGGCTTTAAAAGATGGTATCAAATGAAAAGATTTGTTTTAAAAAACCCTGAGGCCAGAATTATGGACTCAAGAGGAGGAAAAGAGTGTATTTCACCACTCCAGTTTTTGGCAATATTTTACCCACCATATCAAGAGACCCACATAGCAAAATTTATTTAGAAGATTAGGATAAAAATAGATAACTCGTCACATACAGATACTTAGAAAGACAAAATATAAAGCACACAAAAGAAAAGTGTAGTGGGAGAGGTCCCCAGGAGAACTTGAGAGAAAATGGTCAAAAGGGAGCCAGTGTGTCAGGAACACAGGCTCTCAGACCAGAAGAACTTAGTTTCTAGGCTCACCTCCTCCACTCAATGGCTATGTGGCATTGGCAAGGCACCTACCATCAATGTATCTCAGCTTCCTCAGCTGTAAGATGGGAATAATGAAAGTCACTATATGAAAATATAGTAAATAATATATAAATATAAAGTTATAGTAACTAATGAAAATAACTACATGAAACCCACCTCATACAGTTATTGGCAGGTAAAAAATGGATAACATCTTCATAAATGTGACACTTTATAGTGTCACACATAAACATTCAATAAATTTTATTATGAATAACAATACCTATGGCTTCAAATCTCTACTTAGCCAGAAACAAAGTTCAAAAGTCATAATGTAGGAAAGCAAGTGTGATCTTTCAGACTTGGCAGGGGGCTAATCATGGCTTATGTCTAAGGAGCAGGTATACTTTGCTTAAAAGGAGCAACAGAATGGAGGCAATGCCACAATGCAGAAAGGAAGAAAGCACACTTACATTCAAGCCCTAAAGTCAATCCATGATGGGAAGTTTTTGATAACAATAAAATAGAAATGAAACTCTCCTGTGCACAAACTACAGTTGGCCTGGTAAGACAAAGGGTAGTGTGGAACTTCCATTAGTGCTTTTGGAACCTCCCAAAGGCAAGTTCCAAAATGGACACAGAAGAGGGATATAGTGATTAGCCCCAACTTCAAGTGAGATGATCCCTGCGTGAAGGCTGCTTCTGCTAATAGCAACAGCACCTTCAATAAATACTTTTCTTGACTCAAAAATTTCAAGAAACAACAAAGAGATATAATAGTTTGATTTTAATTCTCACTAATAAGAAATAACTGGCTGGTGACATTGAGTGAATAAATTTCCTTATTGAAATAAACCTCTATATTTTTAGTATTTGCAATAGCCCAGGCTGATAACACTAAAATTTCAAGCTTTACTAAATTAGATTTCCAAAAAGGAAACAATTTCATGCCTAGGACTCTCAAGAGGAAAATGGCCTTTTGGAGGTGGAAGGATAGAAAACTTAAAAATCAATTTAATCCTAGATTGTCCCAATAAAACAGAAAGAAGATATAAAGCATCAAAAAGAACCAGATATTAAAAGAGAACTCTCTGGGAAGCTAAAATTTTAAGAGAACACATATAGATTTTAGAAGGAGGAATAGCATAAAATGGTTAAAAAATAGAGTAAAAAAAAAAAGGCTTGAACCAACATACACATGAAAAAGTGCAAAGAATGATAAATTTTAAAATGTATTTGTTTCAGAGCATTGATCAAAATAGAATATAATGATACAGAAGGGAAAAGAAAAACAACCTGAACTCTTAGAAATCTGCCTTGCTACCAAGATGAATAATTATTAAAGTGGAAATCAGCTCAATAATTTATTTACCTGGCACCATTTATTTACTACTAATAATAGTGACCACAATTAATTCAGTCCTGACTGTATGCCAGATGCTTTGTATATATTTTCTCATGTAAATCTCATAACAACTTTATGAAGTTAGCATAATTACTTCAAGTTAGCATAAGAAACTAAGGCTTTCAGAGGTAAAGTGTCTTCCCCCGGATCACATAGATTGTAAGTTTTGGAGGAAAGGTTTAAACCTGAATTCCTCTAATTCCCAAGCATGCATTCTTTCTTCTAGCCTTAAATTCGTTTCCCTTATTATCTGCAAGTCACTGTGCTAGACCCTGGCAATGAAAAGATACAGAAGACACGGCTCTTGTTTTCAAGGAGCTCAGTCAATGAGCAAGACAATCATGTGAACAAATAATTAAAATGCAATGTGACAGGCACCACAATAGAAGTGTGTACAAAATTACATGCAAAAACAAAGGATGGAGTGAAAAATATGCTTAGATAATCAAACATTAATAAGGCACTGTAGAAGTTTGTGGTAGATGTTGTGCATTAGTCTGCACATAATTATTCCACCTTCCTTCTGGTCTGTCTTACTGTTCTGGAGGACAGAGAAGCTAAATTTTACATTTCTCCAGCTCCTTTGCACCCAGGGATTTGGATGAGATTTACAGTCTACGATCAGTTGTGTTCTTCATGTTAGAGTTAAAAGGTGACTGGGAGATGACCGCCTTCCTTCTCACTGCCTTCACTTACTCTGCCTGCAATGTCTGGGCAATAGTGTTCCCGCATCCAGCCATGAGCAATGTGGGTCTTCAGAAACAAGCTACGGGGCAAACCCTCTTTGCTGGTGTGGATCTAGTAGGCACAGCATGACTTAGGGATGGCATCAGTGGTTTCTTGATCTCCAGACAGCTGCTGGGCAGCATGTCCCTGAAACTGGCAGTTCTAACGGAAGCTTCAGAATTCCCACCTCCCTTTCTGTAGCAGGCATAGCAGCTCTACTTGCAGACCAGTTCCATAATCTTATTCTGAGAGATAGTTCTAGATGTTCAACCTCAATTCTACTACTCTAGCCCTTACAAAGATTTTGGAGGCAACTCAATTCCTGTATTTAATCCCCTTTTGGTTAAAATAGCTACAGTGGTTTCTGTTTTTTGCAACTATGTCTTGACTGATTCAGAGACATTATTCCAACTGTGTTTTCAATATTTGATTTTCATTCTCATGGTAGAAAGGTCAGGGAAGATATATTTAAGCAAAAGAATAATGCGACAAAGAGAAATTGCAAGTGCTAGCTGACTGAAGAAATAGTGTGAGAACTGTTTTTGAATGAATTAGTCTCCAGAATCATAAGAGGTATTCATAAGACCCCAAAAAGACCTGTTTTGGTGTTTATGTAACAAATAATTCCAATCTTTGCAGATAATAGAGTGGTGTAAGGAGGCTAAAGACTGAAACATATTTCAACTCCTGATACAGGAAACAGGAGAGATTTGGAAACTATAAATTAGTGAGCTCAATGTCAATTCCCAGAAATATTTTCAATGCATTATTAAATAAACAAATTTTTACTACTTAGACAAGAAAGAAGTAATTACTGGAACTATCATGGGCTCACCAGGAAAAAAGAATCATGCAAAACTAATCACATTTTATTGTTTTGATTATTTTGTTGAATTTTCTAGAGGAAGACACTGTTTTGGAGAGTGTGTCCTTGATTCAACAGGATATTGGATAGATCTCTCATGAGATCTTTATAAGGAGGGTGGAAAATGTGTATAATTACAGATTTATAACAACTCACACTAAATCCTGGGACTACCCCCAAAAAAGTTTTTATATCCCTAGCCCAGATCTCTGTATTTGCCCCTATTTCATTCAGTAATTTAATCAATGTCTTGCAAGAATTCATACGATGTAAGTTTGTCAAATTTGCGAACGACATGACTTAAATTTGCCTCAAAAAAGTTATAATTATGAGAGTAAACTCAGAAGGTAAAATCTAAAAGTTTCTGATGTAAAATCTACACTTAAGCACACACACACACACACACACACACAAACAAACAATTACTAAAATACAGCATTAGAAACTCTGGGTTTAACACCAATCAATGGGAGGAGAATGCCTATAGATTTCAGTTGCCAACAGTGTTCCACGGCTCTCCTGGGGGAAAATGTATAGACTCTTAGGCTGCAATCCTAGGCACAAACACTATGTACTGCCATGAATAGATCTGTCCTGGATCAGTGCTATCCTTCTTTAAGGACATTACAACTTTGGAAGACTTGCCCAGAAGAGGTAGACTAAAAAGGAGGAAAATCTGGCAACCATGCCATGTGAAGAATAGTAGAAGAAATGGTGCATATTTAGTCTAGATGACAGGGGTGGGGACAGCCTTAAAATTGTTTAAATATTTGAAATTTGATTTCATATAAAAGCCTCACTCTGTGCAACTCCAGAGGAAAAAATTGGGGCCAATGAGCAAAATTATACACAGCCATATATTGCCTCAGTATATAGAGAGCCTTATCAAATTATAGTTGTTAAGAAATGACATCCCTAACACTAGAAATATTTAAGCAGCAGCTGATGGGTTATTTGGCAGACACATTAAAGAGATAAGTTCTTATATTAAGCAGAATACCAAATTGAACCATCCTTCAAATTATAAATTGTTACAATCTTGAAGATTAAACACATTCTCATTATTTCAATGATTATCTTAATACAAATGATTTATGTATCTGTATATCCTTTTTTAAATGTTCTTATATTTTTTGAATGCACCTACTGGGGTAGCTATTGTTATGAGTTAAATGTGTCCCCCATAAGATGTTGGAGTCCTAACCCTGAATACCTGTGAAGGTTATCTTATTTGGAAATAGGGTCTTTGCAGATAATCAAGTTAAGATGAAGTCATTAGAGTGGGCCCTAATCTAATATGACTATGTCCTTCTAAAAGGAAATTTGGACACAGGGACAGATTCACATAGAGGGAAGATTATGTGGAGATACAGAATGAATATCAGCTACAAGCCAAGGAATGCCTGAGACTACTAAAAGCTAGGAGCGGAGCCTGGGACAGAATCTCCCTCACAGCCCTCAGAAAGAACCAACCCTGCTGATCTTGGACTTCTAGCTCCAGAACTGTGAGACAATATATTACTGTGGTTTAAGACCCCCAGTTTGTGGGGCTTTGTTACAGCGGCCCTAAGAAACTAATATAGCCCTCATGACCTCAATCAACAGGTCATATATCTCATTGATATAATCCTCCTACCCAACCCATATCTCCATTCTTAGTTTTCTTTTTTATTCATGCTATAAAAATTCTGCTAGTTGCTTAGTTTAAACTATAGCTAGACACCTATGCATCCAAATATTTACTAAATTCTATAGAATTTCCTTTCCCAAAGTCTAATGTATAATATATCTGCATTTTTCCTGTCCCACTGCCACTATCTGGAACAGATTCTTTATTTCTGATGTTCTATAATCTCTTCTTATTTTTCTGCCTCTAATATCACATCCATTCTAGTCCACCCTGTACAACATCAAAACTGGTGTTCTTCTGTTTACTCTTGATACCCCATGACCTATGTAATGAAGAACTTAGATTTTCTTTTAGTTTCCTTTGCCCAGGTATGGCCAGCACCACTATAGCATTGATTGAATTAGTGGATTTACTCATTAACACCAAGTGTGGTTTTGCTTTTTTATCTAC
This sequence comes from Homo sapiens, assembly GCF_000001405.40. Lineage (NCBI taxonomy): Eukaryota > Metazoa > Chordata > Mammalia > Primates > Hominidae > Homo > Homo sapiens. Next base: position 176,658,669 of record NC_000001.11, on the reverse strand, counting down.
CTCCCTGCTTTGCTCATGCTATCCTCCTTCTATATCTTTAATTATCAAAATTCTAACTGACATTCAAGGCCTCTTTTCTATAACACCTCTTCCATGAGGCCTTCACTGATCACCCCAGCCTAAAATAAGCCCCTATATCTGAATCCCTATGTCATTAAGTCTAATCTAAATACACAACCTAACAATAATATTTAGGCCTGCTTTGGCAATATTTGCGAACAATAAAGATCTTACTTCTAGATATTTAAAAATATATTTATATGAGTTTCAATTCTGCATCAACCACAATAGTATAATATAAAAAATATATAGTATCTGGAACAGATTGTTTATTTCTGATATTCTGTAATGTATTCTTATTTTTCTGCCTCTAATATCACATCCACTCTAGTCCAACCTGTACAACATCAAAACTAGTGTTCCTCTGTTTACTCTTGATACCCTTTATTACACAATAAAGAACTTAGATTTCCTTTCAGTTTCCTTCCTCCAGGTGTGGCCAGCACCACTGTGGCATTAATTGAATTAGTGGATTTCACATGTATATACATATGTACCTACATATATAATAGAGAGCATTCCTTATTTCATTAGCTGGACAAAGATCCCAGAAGGCAAGTATCATTCCTTTCTCAGCATGATAGAAACTTAGCACATCATCTTACATATTATCAAGTGCTTATTCAATAGTAGTTGATTATATTAATGCTGGAGATGGACTCTAAATGGAAAACAAGGCAGATAATCCCTCATTGTTTCCCTCTCCTAGGTTCACTGATATTATCCTGCTGTAGAATCCCCTATTAGGATGTTAGCCATGCAATGCCTTATTTACCCCCATAGCTTTAGCTATCATATATATGTTAATATTTTCTAAATTTACATGATACTCAGATCTACATAACCACACAGATAACTGCATAATAAGTATCTCTAATTTGATTATCACACAGGCCTAAAATTCCCACCCAAACTTGTTATTCTTTCTGTTTCACACTGCCTGAGCTGTCCAATTACTCAATTTAAAAACTGAGAAATTATTTTGGACTCTTCCTCTTCCTGACTACACCACATTCAATTAATTGTCAATTTCTGTTGGTTCTATTTATAAATATCTCTTAAATCCAACCACACCCTTCTAGTAAGCTTCTCTGTTCCGTGTTTTGCACTCCTTGAATACAAACTCCACGCTTTCTCAAGACTAACCTTTCAAAAATGGCAGATCTAATCATGTTCCTTCTCTGCTTTAAGGAACTCTAAATGTCTTACTATGGTTTACAAGACCTTTCAGGATCTGGCTGCTAGTAACCTCTCTAGCATCAATCTTTCTACTTCCTTCTAACTCTCGTGAATGTTTCCCTCTCTCTTATCCGGGCCACTGGGCTTTTGGACCAATAGCATCTGCCTTCCCTTCCATGCCTATCTCCAGGATAACTTCTTTTCATCTGACAGATTTTGGTATAGATGTCAATTCTGGGAAGGCTTTCCTAATACCCTAAATCCTGGTCTGGTGCTTTTGTCCACAACTTTTGTGACACCTTTTACTTTCACTGCCAGAGTGCCTGGCAGAGTGCTGCTTCTTGAGGACTCCCCAATTAAGCCACAGACTGTGGGAGTAGGAATGCTGTCTGGGCTTGTTCAGTATTGTGCCTTGAGTGTTCAGCACAGGGTCTGAGATTTAGTAGTTGCCCAGTAATTCCTCTCTGAATTAATGAGTATGTCCCCCTCACCTCTAAAGTCAAAGTGTAAAGAATTTTCAATGACCAATGTTCTTATAAGACCAGTTTACTTTCTCTATTTCAAAAAAAAACAGAAAGTCTAGAGTTCAGTTTAGTGCATGTATGCTGTCAAAAATAACTGACTTCTGGTGTGTGTGTGTGTGTGTGAAAGAGAGAGAGAGAGAGGGAGATTACAGAAAGAATGCTTTGCTTGAAAACAGGATTTGAAGAAAATCTTTAAAATGTTCTAAAGCAATTGAGGAAAGAGGTTTAAGAGAAGAGAGAAGAAGCACAAAAGAATGACTAAAATACTGGATGACTTCACAAGTTTTTACCATTAGCTGAGACACATCATGTCCGCTCCAGTTACCAACAATAACTACTCTTCCCGGGAAAAGCTTCCTATTTTTAAACCTGGTGTAATGCCTGTGGAATTACATTGCCCATTCCTACCCAGGCCCCGAGAGCTTATCATCATAGAGTGTTTTTGCCAAGAATCTGCTCTGCCCTTAGTCACCATACAAAGAGTTGTCAAAGACAGAGTGAGGAGAGAGGTTGGGCTTTGGGTGTAGTTTTGTTTTTTGCTGCCTACCAGTGGCAGCAGGTCCTATAAACTGCTCTTTGGAGTTTGGCTGTTTCAGATATAACTAGACTCTGTAGTTTAAGGGGATTCTACAGCAGAGCAATATCAGCAAACCTAGGAGAGGGAAGCAATGAAGTATTATCTGCCTTGTTTTCCATTTAGAGTTCATCTCCAGCATTAATATAGTCAGCTACTATTGAATAAGCACTTGACAATATGCAAGATGATATGTTAAGTTGCTGGGACCTGTGCTCAGGGAACCAGCAAAGAGAGAGAAAGTTCAATATTGAAAATATATTCAGAAATCTATTTCTGAAAAAAAAATATTCTGAAAATCTGCAGACAATATTAATTTTGCTTTATTTTAAAAATTAAATGTTTACTTTTGATTTATATATCACGGGACAGTGATGGAAGGGATGTTTTCTGAGGTTCTCAAAACCATTAATCTGGCCCAGGAAAAGGTATATAGAGTCAAAAGAGAAAAGAGGATAAACTCTAAGGAACAGAAATTTTTACTTTTTATTTCTTTATTTGTATAATTTATGGGGACCGGTGTAATTTTGTTACATGGATATATTGTGTGCTGGTGATGTCAGAGCTTTTAATGTGCCTATCGCCCAAATAATATACACTGTACCCATTAAGTAATTTCTTATCATCCACCCGCTTTCTACTCTTCCACTTTTCCAAGTCTCCATTGTCTATCATTTCACACTCTGTGTCCATGTGTACACATTATTTTTATCTGACTTATAAGTGAGAAGATGCCATTCTGACTGGTGTAAGATGGCATCTTATTGTGGATTTAATGTGCATTTTGCTCATGATAAGAAATATTGAGCATTTTTTAATCCGCTTGTTGGCCATTTATATATCTTCTGAAAAATGCCTATTTATTTCCTTTGCCCATTTTAATGTGATTATTTGGGGTTTCTTTTATTTTTGAGTTGTTTGAATTTCTTATAGAGTCTGGATGTTAGTTCCCTGTCAGATGAATAGTTAACAAATATTTTCTCTCATTCTGCAGGTTGTCTGTTCGATATCACAATGGATGCAGAAAAAGCATTTGAAAAAAGTCAACATCACTTCATGATAAAAACCATGAGCAAACTAGGCATAGACGGAACACATCTCAAAATAAAAAAGTCATATATGACAAAACCACAGCCAACATTATACTGAATGCAGAAAAGTTGAAAGCATTCCTTTCAACAAGTGGAACAAGACAAGGTTGCCCACTTTCACCATTCCTGTTCAAACATAGTACTGGAAGACCTAACCAGAGCAATCAGACAAGAAAAATAAAAAACAGGCATCTAAATTAGAAAAGAAGAGGTCAAATTATCTCTGCTTACTAATGACATGATCTTATGTCTAGAAAACCCTGAAGATTTCACCATAAACTCTCAGATTTGATGAATGAATTTAGTAAAGCTTTAGGATACAAAATTATCATACCCAAATCAGTAGTGTTTCTATACATCAATAATGATCAAACTGAAAAACAAATTAAGAAGGCAATCCCAATGACAATAGCTATGAAAATAAAAGCCTAGAAATACACTTAGCCACATAAGTGAAAGGTCTGTACACAGAAGACTATGAAATACTGATGTATAAAATTGTAGATGATGCAAACAAATGGAAAAACATCCCATGCTCATGGAATGGAAGAAGTAATGTCATTCAAACAATCATACTTCCCAAGCAATCTATAGAGTCAGTGCAATCTCTATCAAAATGCAACATTTTTTCAAAGAATTAGAAAAAAATCCTAAAATTCATATGGAAAAAACAGCTTGAACAGCCAAAGCAGTCCTAAGAAAAAAAAAATAGCTGGAGGCACCACATTACCTGACTTAAAATTATACTACAAGGCTATGGTAACCAAAATATATAAATATATATACTTATATTATATATATGTATTATATCTGATATAAATACAGACTCATATATCAATGGGACAGAATAGAAAACTCAAAATAAAACCTTATATCTATAGCCAACTGATCTTTGACAAAACCAACAAGAACATACACCGGGGACATGATAATCTTTTAAATAAATGTTGCTTAGAAAGTTGGATTGCCATATGCAGAAGAATGAAATTGGACCCCTATCTATCATCATATACAAAAATCAACTCAGGATGGATTAACGACTTCAATGTAAGATTTGAAACTATAAGAATACTACAAGAAAACCTAGGGAAAACTCTTCTGGATGTTGATCTAGGCAATGATTATGAATGACTATGATCTCAAAAGCACAGGTAACAACAACAAAAATAGACAAATATGAGACTTAATTAAACTAAAAAGCTTCTGCACAGTAAAAGAAATAATCGGCAGAGTGAACAGGAATAGTAAATTTTTAAAAAAATAGGCAGAAGAAAAAAACTGCCAAAGAGGTCTGAGAAACAGTAATGAAGAGGTACGAAGAAATCCAGCAGAATTGGCATCTCCAAAGCCAAGGGAGAAGATCATTCTAAATGTTCCTGGCAATTCAAGTAAGAAAAGAACAGAAAATTATCCATCAGAAGTAGAAAGAAGCAGAAGGTTGATAACTTTGACAAATGCAATTCCAAAAGAGCAATAGAGACAGAATCAGATTGCAGTGAGTAGGAGACGGAGTGGGGTATAAGGAAGAAAAGGTATTGGGCATAAACCAGAATCTCAGCCACAAAGGAAGATTATAAGGAGGAAAGGGAAAGATCAGTCAGCATGCAGAGAAAAACTGAAAGCTTTTATAATAAAAGACTTAATCATTACTAAATTTGTTGAAAAGGAAGAACCCAATAAAGAGAATGAAAATGAAGAATAACAGAAAAGACCATATAAGAAAGAAAATGAGATGCAAAGCCCAGCAGGGGAGATCTACCTTGGATAGGAGTGTTGAGGAGATGTACCCAAATTCCTGTCTCAGGCTTCACTTGTTGTGAACCTCCTGAAAGACAAAGAGGAATACACGCTAATGCAATAAAGGGGGAGGATGAAATGGAAGAAAGAATGCAGAGTTTTGAGGGTTGGTGTCATTACAGTGAGGGAATGTTCCTTTAGTTTTTGCTGTGTTCTGAATGAAGTGGAATGGGGATGATCCTCTAAGAGTGCTGAATGAGATGATGAGTATGGAGATCTGAGAAGACTTACAAGGCATGAAATACACATTGTGGAGGAACAAGGAATAGAAAACGGCTTACTAGGGAGACATAGGAGGATTGGTTGGATGGTGTTCTAAACATATACTTCCATGCTCACCTTTTCCCAAATCCAGTTGTAACTCCTGCTTAAAGTAACAGACTAAGTGACTAAGAAGTGACATCTTCATTTAAAATGGTGGTGTAGAAGCAAGCTGGCTTCACTCCCACTCCTCTCCAGAGAGAAAACCAAGAACAAATATAAATTGCTGAGGGTATCACTAGCAATGTCCCAGAACCAAAATGAGATGGAGACAATTCTCAGGGTCGCAGAGAAGTGAGAATTGGACTCCCATATCTGAGATGCTTCTCCCCACAACCTGCCCAGCACCATGTATGCAGAAAATTCCCCTAACTCATGGTTTCTACACTGGAAAAATTAAGATCAAGGTGGACAATTAGCTTCCCCACTATCTTGGGTTCCCTGGCAGGAGAACTAACTGTCCATGTCTCAACCCATGGGAAGCATCAGGAGTGACTGAAGGGAGAAACATCCCTGAGAACAGCCAGAGACAATGAAGAGAGGTGAAACTACCATCCCCAGCCCTGGAAACTCTGCTTTGTACCTTAGCCAAAGAAGATGCAAAATCAGAGTGTCTGTTTAGCAAGACCATGCTGTAGCAGACTTGCTCCACAGGTCCCATGGGCATGAATCCCTAGCCAGTTTTCCCACACTACTGGTATATCCCCTTTAGGACCTCTCCAATATGGTACAGGGCACACTCTGATTGTTTACTAGAACCAAGGTAAATCTGGACTTAAGGTGCCATTTAGTGTTGAAAAGGAGGCAGCAACCTAGTGGAAAATAAAGAAAAGCAACAGATTAATAGATACATTTTAAAGAATCTCTAAGCAAACATATCCAATATGAAACAAAACAAGCCAAAAAGAGAAGATTGAAGTAAATAGCTAATTCTTCAATGCAAAGATGTAGATGTATATCCACAAGAAACAACAGCAAATAGGGAACCAGGATCCCCCTGCCCCGCCCTGCCCCCAAAAATGAACAAAACAAAGAACCAGTGACTGACCCTAATGAGATGCTTCTATGTGAACTCTCTAACCAAAAATTCAAAATAGCAGCATTAAGGAAACTGAGTGATCTCCAAGATAACACAGAAAAAAATTCAGAAATTTATCAGAAAAAATTAACAAAGAGATTGACATAATAGTTTTTTAAAAAAACAGAAATGTTGGAACTGAGAAATACATTTGCTGAACTAAAATTATATTAGAGGTTTTCAACAGCAGAATGAAGCAAGCAGAGGAAAAAAAATAGTGAGCTCAAAGACAGATTACTTGAAAATACACAGCCAGAAGAGAAAAAAGAAAAAAGAATGAAGAAATGAAGATTGCCTACAAGATATAGAAAATTATCTCAAAAGACCAAATCTAAGAACTATTGGTGTTCAAAAACAAGTTGTGCAAGAGCAAGGGATAGAAAGCTTATTAAAAAAATAATGACAGAAAACTTTCTAAAGAAAACTTTTCTTAAGAAAACTTTCTTGAGAAAGAGATAAAATTCCAGATATAGGAAGGTCAAAGAACACCAAATAGAATTGAACCAAATAAGTCTACTCCGAGTCATATAATAATCAAATTCTCAAAGGTCAAAGACAAAGAAAGGATTCTAAAAGAAGCAAATAGCACATAAAAGAAGTTCAAATTTGTCTGGCAACAGACTTCCCTATGGAAACTATACAGATCAGGAAGGAGTGGGACATCGTTTTCAAAGTGCTGAAAGAAAAATACTGCCATTCAAGTATATTGTCTCTACAAAAGCTATCCTTCATATATGAAGGACAGATAAATTATTTCCTAGATGAATAAAAGCTGACAGAATTCATCACTACTGAACCTGTCATATAAGAAATGCTAAAGAGTTCTTCCGTCTGAAAAAAAAACACTAATATGCAAAAGAAAATATTTACAGGTATAAAACCCACTATTAAAATTAAGTATACTGAAAAATGCAGAATACATTAATACTGTAATTGTGGTGTGCAATCAATTCATAACACTAGGACAAAGCCCAAAAGACAAATCTATCAAAACTAATAATAGCTATAACAATCTAATAAGAGTTTATAAGTTTTATAAGGCAATATAAAATTTGTGAATTGAGACAACATACAGTTAAAATGTTGAAGGGATAAAGTACCAACTTTTAAAAAGTTTTCACTTTATTTCTTTGTATTATTTTCCTTGTGATCTAAGGTGTCATCTCTTTAAGATAACTTGTTATATCTATAAGATGTTTTCTTGAAGCCTCATGTGGCCACAACACAAAAGCCTATAATAGATCTAGGAAAATTACAAAGCAACAAATTAAAACAATCTACCAGAGAAAATCACATAACTAAAAAGGAAGACAGTAATAAAAGAAGAAAGAACAAAATATGAAGCAACCAGAAAACAAGCAAGAAATGGCAGTAGCAAGTCCTCATTTATTAATAACTGAATATAAACAACTCAATTCTACAATTAAAAGACATACAGAAAACCAAACACCGCATGTTCTCACTCAAAGGTGGGAATTGAACAATGAGAACAGTTGGACACATGATGGGGAACATCACACACTGGGGCCTGTCATGGGGTGGGGGGATGTGGGAGGGATAGCATTAGGAGACATACCTAATGTAAATGACAAGTTAATGGGTGCAGCACACCAACATGGCACATGTATACATATGTAACAAACCTGCACATTGTGCACATGTACCCTAGAACTTAAAGTATATAATAAAATAAATAAATAAATAAATAAAAAGAAATAGAAATGATTGTCTTGACTGAAAATGGAAAAAAAAAAGACATACAGTGGCTGAACAAAGAAACAAGACCCAATTACATGCTGCCCACAAGAAACCCAATTTATTTATAAAGACACACATAAACTGAAGGGGTAAGAAAAGACATTCATGCAACTAGAAACCAAAAATGGGCAGGAGTAGCTACATTTATTTCAGATTAAATATACTACAAATCAAAGACTGTAAAAAGAGACAAAGAAGGTTACCATATAATGACAAAGGGGACAATTGAGCGAGATAATATAATGATTATAAATATCTATGCACCAAACACTGGAGCTCCCAATTATATAAAGTATACATTAATAGATGTAAAGAGAAAGACTGCAATACAATAATAGTAAGGGACTTCAACAGCCCATTCTGAGTAATGGACAGATTATCCAGACAGAAAATCAACAAAGAAACATCAGAGTTAAATTGTACACTATAGTACATATGCCCAGCTGACATTTACAGATCATTTTACCCAACAGCTACAGAATACACACTCTTTTAATCAGGACATGGAATTATTCAGGATTGATGATCTGTTAGGACATGAAACAAGTATCAAAAAAATTTCAAAACTCAAAATCATGTCAAGTATCTTATATGATTATAATGGAATAAAACTAGAAATTAATAGCAAAAGGAATGTCAGAAAACACAAACACACGGAAATTAAACAACATGTTTCTGAGTGACCATTACATCAATGAAGAAATTTAAATGGACATTTAAAAATTTCTTAAAACAAATGAAAATGGAAATACAACATACCAAAATTTATAATACAACAAAGAGAAGTTTATAGCAATAAATACCTATATGAAAAACCAGAAAGACTTCAAATAAACAAGCTAATGGTGCACCTCAAGGAACCAGAAAAGCAAGAACAAACCAAACCTCAAATTAGGAGAAAGAAATCATAAAGATCAAAGTAGAAATAAATAAAATTAAACCTAAAAGAAAAACAAAAAAAAAACAAAAGTTTTTTTTAAAAGATAAAATATGCAAACTATTAGCTAGAATAGCTAAGAAAAAGAGAAGACTCAAACCAGAAACAAAAAAGAATTCAGCAAAAAGGACCCCTCTGTATTTCTGAGACCTCAGAATACAAAGAATCATTAAAGACTGTTGTGATCCACTATATGCCAACAAATTGGAAAATCTAGAAGTGAGTTAATTTCTGGACACATACAACCTACAAAGATTGAACCATGAAGAAATAAAAACCCTCAACAAACCAATAACAAGTAAGGAGATTTAAGCCATAATAAAAAGTCTCCCATCAAAGAAAAACCCAGGACCTGATGGCTTCACTGTCCAAAATTACCAAATATTTAAAGAACTAATACCAAATTCTACTCAAATAACTCTTCAAAAAAATTGAAGAGGAGAGAATACTTCCAAACTCATTTTATGAGGCCAGCCTTACCCAACATCAAAACCAGACAAAAACACAACATAAAAAGAAAACTACAGGCCAATATCCCTAACGAACATAGATTAAAAAATCCTCAGCAAAATATTAGCAAACCAAATTCAACAACAAATTAAAAAGACAATTTACTATGGATCAAGTAGGATTATCCCAAGAATGCAAGGATGGTTCAACATATGCAAATCAATAAACATGATACATTACATTAACATAACCAAGAACAAAAGCCATATGATTATTTCAACAGAAGATGAAAAAGCATTCAATAAAACTCAACAACAGTTTATGATAAAAACCATTAACAAACTGGGTATAGTAGGAACATACCTTAAAATAATAAAAGCCATATATGATAAACTCACAGCTAACATTTACTGAATGGGGGAAAATTGAAAGCCTTTTCTTTAAGATCTAGAAGAAGAAAAGGATACCCATTCTCAACACTGTTATTCAACATAGTACTGAAAGTACTGGCCAGAACAGTTAGGCAAGAGAAAAAATAAAGGGCATCCAAACTAGAAAGAGAGGACTCAAATTAGCCTTGCTCACACATGACATGACCACATACTTAGCAGAACCAAAAGACTCCACCAAAAAACTGTTAGAACTGATAAACAAATTCAGAAAGTTGCAGGATACAAAATCCACATATAAAAGTTAGTAGCATTTATATACAGCAACAGCAAATAATCTGAAAAAGAAATAAAGAAAGCAATCCTATTTACTGTAGTTACTAAGAATATAAAATATCTAGGAATCAATTTAACCAAAGAAGTTAAAAGTCTATACAAAAAACTATAAAAAACACTGATGAATGAAATTGAAGAGGGTGCAATAAATGGAAATATATTTCAAGCTTATGGATTGGAAGAATTAATGTTGTTAAAATGACTAGACAAAGCAATAGACAGATTCAATGCAATTTCTACCAAAATACCAATGACATTCCTCACAGAAATAGAAAAAGAATCCTGAAATTTATATGGAACCTCAAAAGACCCCAAATAGCCAAAGCAATTCTGAGCAAAAGGAACAAAGCTGGAGGCCTCAAAATACCTGATTTCAAAATACACTACAAAGTTATAGCAGCCAAAATGGCATGTTACTGGCAAGGAAAAAAACAAACAAAGAAACAAACAAAAAACATTAACCATTGACAGTTGGAACAAAGTAGAGAACCCAGATATTAATCCTTGCATTTATAGCCAACTCATTTTTGACAAAGGTACCAAAAACATACAATAGGGAAAGGACAGTCTCTTCAATAAATAGTGCTGGGAAAACTGGATAACCATATGCAGAAGAATAGAACCAGACCCCTATCTCTTACCACATACAAAAAATAAAATCAAAATGGATTAAAGACTTAAATGTAAGGCCTCAAACTATGAAACTGCTACAAGTAAACATTGACAAAATTTTTCATGGCATTGGACTGGGCTAAGATTTCTTGAGTCACACCCCACAGGCACAGGCAACCAAAACAAAACTGGACAAATGAGATCATATCAAGTGAAAAAGCTTCTGCATACCAAAGGAAACAATCAACAAAGTGAAGAGATAACCCACAGAATGGGAGAAAATATTTGCAAACTACCCATCTGACAAGGGATTAATAACCAGAATATATACGGAGCTCAAACAACTCAATTGGAAAAAAAATCCAATAATCCAACTAGAAAATGGACAAAACACCTGAATAGACATTTATCAAAAGAGGACATACAAATGGCAAACAGGTATGTGAAAAGGTGCTCAACATCACTGATCATCAAAGAAATGCAAATCAATACTACAAGGAGATTATTTCACCCTAGTTAAAATGGCTTTTATCCAAAAGTGAGGCAATAAAAAATGCTGGCAAAGGTATGGAGAACAGGGAACTGTTATATACAGTAGGTAAGAATATAAATTAGTACAATCACTATCAAGAACAGTTTAGAGTCCCCTCAAAAAACTAATAATAGAGCTATCATGTGATCCAGCAATCTCACTGCTAGGTATATATTCAACAGAAAAGAAATCAGTATATCAAAGAGATATCTGCACTCCCATGTTTATCACAGCACTATTCACAATAGCCAAGATTTGGAAGCAACCTAAGTGTACATCAACAGATAGATGGATGAAGAAAATGTGATACGTAGATGCAATGGAGTACTATTCAGCCATAAAAAGAATGAGATCCTATCATTTGCAACAACATGGATGGAACCAGATTTCATTATGTTAAGTGAAATAAGCCAAGCACAGAAAGACAAACTTCATATGTTCTCACTTATTTATGGTAGCTAAAAATTAAAACAATTGAACTCACGGTAACAGAGAGTAAAATGATGATTACCAGAGGCAGGGAATGATAGTGGGGGTCAGGTGGGGGGATGGTTCATGTGTACAAAAATACAGTTAGATAAAATCAATAAGATCTAGTATGTTATAGCACAACTGGGTGATTATTGTCAAGAATAATTTATTATACATTTAAAAATAACTAAAAGAGTATAACTAGATGTTTGTAATGCAAAGAAAGGATAAATGCTTGAGGTGATGGATACCCCATTAACCCTGATGTGATTATTATGCATTGTATGCCTGAATCAAAATATCTCATGTACCTCATAAATATATACACCTACTATGTACCCACAAAAATTAAAAATAAAAATTTTTTAAATGGATGAAAGACTTAAACCTAAGACCTAAGACTATGAAACTACTAGGAGAAAACATTGGGGAAATGCTCTAGGACATTTGCCCAGTTTAGGCAAAGATTATTTTGTAAACCTCAAAATCACAGGCAACCAAAGCAAAAATAGACAAATGGGACTACATCAAACTAAAAAACTTTTGCACTGCAAAGGAAACAATCAACTAGTGAAAAGACAACCCATAGAATGAAAGAAAATATTTGCAAACTATTCATCTGACAAATGATTGAGAAACAAAATATAAAGAACTAAAAAACCTCAATAGTAAAATAACAATAATAATCCGATTTAAAATCGGGCAAAAAACCGGAATAAACCTTTCTCAAAAGAAGCTATATAAATGGCCAACAGGCATGTGAAAAAAATGCTCAACATCACAAATCCTTAGGGAAATTCAAACCAAAACCACATGAGATAATATCTTACACCAGCTAAAACGGCTTTATCAAAAAGACAGACAACAACAGATGCTGGTGAGGATGTGGAGAAAGGGATACCTTCATATAGTGTTGGTGAATGTAAATTAGTACAGTCATTATGAAAAACTATACGAATGTCCTTCAAAAAGATAAAACTAGAACTACCATATGATCCAGCAGTTCCACTACTGGGTACATATCCAAAAGAAAAGAAATCAATATAATGAAGAGATATTTACACTCCCATGTTTACTGCAGCAGTATTTACAATAGCTAAAATATGGAATCAAACTAAGTGCTCATCAAAGGATGAATGGATAAGAAAATGTGGTATACATACACAATGAAATATTATTCAGCCATAAAAAGAATGAAATCCTGTCATTTGCAGCAACATGGATGGAATTGGAGGTCATTATGTTAAGTGAAATAAGCCAAACACAAAAAGACAAATATTGCATGTTCTCATTCATATGTGGGAGCTAATAAACATGGATCTCATAAAGATAGAGGGTAGAATTGTGGTTACCAGAGGCCAGGAATGATAGAAGGGAGGGAGGATAAAAAGAGGTTGATTAATGGGTACAAATGTACAATTTGAAAGAAGAAACAAGACCTAGTGTTTGAAAGATCAGTAGAGTGACTACAGTTTACAGTAACCTATTGTATATTTCAAAATAACTAAAAAAGAATAATTCAAATGTTTCTAAGATAAAAAAGACAAATATGTAAGGTGATGGATATCCCAATGTACTGTTTTGATCTTTACAAATTATATGAATATATTTAATTATCACATGTACTCTGAAAATATGTACAACTATTCTGTATAAGTAAAACTTTTGAAATTAAATAAAATCAGAAGTACTTGTGGCGCTGCACCTGTGTTGTGCTCTTTCCTGGTTCCATAAAATTGCATGCATATTTCTTCTGCCTAGAATGCTTTATTTTCCTGTGTCCTTTTCTTCTAACTACTCTTCTTTCAAAAGGTGGTATAGATGTCACCTTATCCAGGAAGGTTTTCCTGAAATCCACCCCAATCTTTGAGTCTAGATTTCTCTCCAAGCTTAGGTACCCTCTTAGCACATTCTGTATTACTGCAGCACAGCACTTGTCATGTTATGCTGGTGACCTGGGGAAAGCCGAAACTTGAACCTAGATTGTCCCTGTTTTCCAGCCCTTTCTCTATCTATGGTGCATATTGCCATATTGCCTCTAATGATAGACTACATGTTTCTCAACATTGAGACTCAGAAAGGAATTAAAATAAATTCCATTGTCATATGTACAATGGAATATCACAATGCAGAAAACAACCTTTTTATCCATACGTAACTCCTTTTGATAAAATAATTAAGTGTAAGGGATGGCTGGATAATAAAATAGACATTTTTAAAAAATCCTGTCACTCATAAACTCCAGGACAAGTCCTATTGGGTTGTAAGGAGATAAAAAATAAAAAGAACTAAATCCACCAAAGCTCTTTGGGCCCTTCTGATGGTGCTCACGACTTCCCCAGAAGTTGCTTGAACCTGCCTGAGTCTCACTTATTATCATATCTCTAAGAACAGAGGGCACCTAATTCACCCTCTCCCCTGCTAAGTTTTCGTAAGCCCACAGACTCCATACAGATATTCAGTACACAAGCCTCCTGGTGAAGACACTGAGCTTTTGAGAGGATAATTTTTGCTTGCCTTTTATATTATCATTTGTAAACTTTAATTTCCTTCCAGAAGGATGCCAGAGCAACCTTATCCATTTGAAAGTTGCAAGTGTTGAGGTGGCTGAGAAAAGAGAATTTCATACACACCCACAGAGGTACCCTCCACTCCCACCATCTGGCTGTCCCTCACCTTCTCCTCTGCTGCAAGAGTTGGTGCCTAGAAAGATACCTCCTTCATCCACTCTACCATGTCTACTCTTCCAGAAGGACAGAGCCTGTGTTCTCTCTGGAGAGCACATCTCTTCTAATCAATCTCCCCCTCTTCCGCCCAACACAAGTGTTTTGAAGCCATCTGAGGATCGTTTGTTGGCTGAGTGATCATATTCAGACTATGGCCGGGTTATGACTCACTCTTTTGTGGTCTCCCTGTGTTTACCATGGATATTCTATTCCAGCTGGATTTCCCTTTCCCCAGGAAATCTAGAGCTAAGCATTTTCTCCATTTTTCTCCTTTCCCTTTAGCACTCCCTACATGATCCTTTCACCACTGATAGATTCTGAAAGGCCTCTGTGTATACTGGTACTCCTGGTATACTCTAGACCAGGAATCTGCAAACTATGATGGTATAAGCCAAATTCAGCCTATGGTTAGTTTTATATGGCCTGTGAACAAAGAATGGTTTTTACATTTTTAAAGCATTTAAAAAAAAAAAAACAGAAGAAGAAAATGCAAGAGAGATCATAGGTAGCTTGCAGACCGGCAAAGGCTAAAGTATTTACTATTTGGCCATTTACAGAAATATTCACTAATCTCTTTTCTACACTAAGTTATGTTTTTAGAGCATTGGTCTGAATTCAGACAGACATGAATTTACAGTCCAGCTCTGCCATTTTTTACTAGCTATGTGACCCTGGACACATTATTTAACCCCTTTGCACCTCAATTTTCTCATCTGTAGCATAAAGTAATAATTAACTCTCCTGGTTGATGTGAAGATAAAATGGCATGCTATATAAAGCACTTAGCATATGCCTACTTATAAGATGGGTAGAATAAGTGGTAGCTGTTCCTTGTTATTGTTAATTTTGGATTCAGTGAGGTCTTATATGTTTTTTATGCTCATATAGAAAAAAAACTGACACCCAGAAAAGGCAATGCATTTTCAGACCAATAGGTGAACACAGTCTCTTAACTATTTTGTGACTGAATTTCTACATCCTCAAAAAGAAGAGAATGTCATAGCTATACGGTTCTATAAAGATTAGAGGGAAGACTAATGCTTGCACATATGATTCCAAATATCTCAATGGAGAAGATTGCAGAGTTACATTTTCTGTTCTTTTTTACCCTAAGTAGAAACTTGACAGTGATCCTTTCTCCTCCATATTCATTCTTACCCCTAACATACACTCAATTACTGATGCTTACTTATTTTAGCTATCAGTTATGTTCAACTTTATCCTCTTCACTTAAATATCATGGGCTCATTATCTCTTGCTCAAACTATAGCAGTGGTCTTCTATCTTCTTGCTACAATTTCACTGTCATCCACAAAGCATCTGAAGCAATCCATTTAAGCCACAAAACTGACCAAACTCTGGTCTTTCTTATAGTCATCTCATCTCTTGTCACTGTCAGGTTGATGCATTATGTTCCAACAACATCAAACTACTGGTAGTTTTCCACCCACACTCACCTATGCTGCTCAGTGTCTTTGTCCTTTTGCTTGTATTATTTCTACCTAGCCTCTTCTTGTTTAATTCTAAAAGTACTACATGCATGTTATCAAATAACTTAGAATACAGAAAAAGAATTTTAAAATTATATGCAATTATAGCAAATATGCAATCAAGTATCCTTTGCAATTATTGTTATTTAAATTATCCTTTGCAATTATTGTTATTTAAATTAAAATAAGTCATAGACAACTAATAATCATGCCTTCCTCATTTATGTACTCTTTAAGGCAAAATACTTATCCATACCTTTCAGAGCCATTCCTATAGAAGGAAGGGTGGCTTGGGCACTAGCTAGAGAACTAGAATGTTATCTTTCACTGGGACTTAAAATGAAAAGAAAATTCTGGGAACATGAAATCTTTCTGCTTCACAATTTTTATCTCTGATTGCTTATAGGGATAAGTAGTAACTGGATTATGGAGTCAAATGGCAGTTCTAGGAGAAATGTGACTATTTGAACTGGCTTTGATGCAAAATTGTACACACTAACCTAGACCTCCTTGACTTTTCTTAGTGTTTGTGCAAACACTTGGCTCAATAATACCTCCATCACCCAGAGTCATTAAGACCAAGTTGATGATGAGGCTGGTTCAGACTATATTAAGTTTTATGAGAAACAGTGGTTCCTCAAGAAGGTTTTCATAAAAGGGATTTCATGGTCAAAAAATAGGAGAAGAGTGTACTCATTTCTTTATTATAAGAAATGCAAATTATTAAAAATCCTGAGACCTCCTATACTAAGTAAACCCAAAATCTAAGCTGGAGGCATCACACTACCTGACTTCAAACTATACTACAAGGCTACAGTAACCAAAAACAGCATGGTACTGGTACCAAAACAGAGATATAGATCAATGGAACAGAACAGAGCCCTCAGAAATAACGCCGCATATCTACAACTATCTGATCTTTGACAAACCTGAGAAAAACAAGCAATGGGGAAAGGATTCCCTATTTAATAAATGGTGCTGGGAAAACTGGCTAGCCATATGTAGAAAGCTGAAACTGGATCCCTTCCTTACACCTTATACAAAAATCAATTCAAGATGGATTAAAGACTTAAATATTAGACCTAAAACCATAAAAACCCTAGAAGAAAACCTAGGCAATACCATTCAGGACATAGGCATGGCAAGAACTTCATGTCTAAAACACCAAAAGCAATGGCAACAAAAGCCAAAATTGACAAATGGGATCTAATTAAACTAAAGAGCTTCTGCACAGCAAAAGAAACTACCACCAGAGTGAACAGGCAACCTACAAAATGGGAGAAAATTTTTGCAACCTACTCATCTGACAAAGGGCTAATATCCAGAATCTACAATGAACTCAAACAAATTTACAAGAAAAAAACAAACAACCCCATCAAAAAGTGGGCAAAGGACATGAACAGACACTTCTCAAAAGAAGACATTTATGCAGCCAAAAAACACATGAAAAAATGCTCACCATCACTGACCATCAGAGAAATGCAAATCAAAACCACAATGAGATACCATCTCACACCAGTTAGAATGGCAATCATTAAAAAGTCAGGAAACAACAGGTGCTGGAGAGGATGTGGAGAAATAGGAACACTTTTACACTGTTGGTGGGACTGTAAACTAGTTCAACCATTGTGGAAGTCAGTGTGGCGATTCCTCAGGGATCTAGAACTAGAAATACCATTTGACCCAGCCATCCCATTACTGGGTATATGCCCAAAGGACTATAAATCATGCTGCTATAAAGACACATGCACACGTATATTTATTGCGGCACTATTCACAAGAGCAAAGACTTGGAACCAACCCAAATGTCCAACAATGATAGACTGGATTAAGAAAATGTGGCACATATACACCATGGAATACTATGCAGCCATAAAAAATGAGTTCATGTCCTTTGTAGGGACATGGATGAAATTGGAAATCATCATTCTCAGTAAACTATCGCAAGAACGAAAAACCAAACACCACATATTCTCACTCATAGGTGGGAATTGAACAATGAGAACACATGTACACAGGAAGGGGAACATCACACTCTGGGGACTGTTGTGGGGTGGGGGGAGGGGGGAGGGATAGCATTGGGAGATATACCTAATGCTAGATGACGAGTTAATGGGTGCAGCGCACCAGCATGGCACACGTATACATATGTGACTAACCTGCACATTGTGCACATGTACCCTAAAACTTAAAGTATAATAATAATAAATAAATAAATAAATAATAAAAATAAAAATAAAAAATAAAATTCATTATTATACTTTTGAAAAAAATAAAAATAGATAAATAAATTCCTGGGGGATGGCATAGGAACTGTAGTGACAAAAATTGTAGCTCTGAATTTGAATAACCTGAGATAATATAGGCTTGCCCTTTTCTTCTTGTATGAGCTCAGGCATTTTTATAATATCTCTAAGTCTCAGTTTCATGATTAGAAAAATAATCACGATCATATAAAAATGAACATAATGTAAAAAATGAGAACAAAAATAATAGTATCTATCTTCTGTAATTGCTACACTGATTAAATAAAATATTGTATGTAAAGCACATAGCAAAATACCAAGTACATGAAAAGCAATTATTTAACCCAGCATTCCTCCCGGAGGTTGCAGTGAGCCAAGATCTCGCCATTGCACTCCAGCCTGGGCAACAAGAGCGAAACTCCATCTCAAAAAAAAAAAAGAAAGAAAAAGAAAAAAAGAAAATGGGCCACTGGCCACTTTTATTATGTTTCAAACAGTGTCTATTTAAAAAACAATAAAACATACTTTTACAAACTGGTCTAGACTCAGAATAAGGCTTGTTTTCAAAAGTGGTAGAAAGATGGGAAGAAGTAGGCAGGGAAAATGGAAGAAAGACGGAACTTAGAACTATTCCTTTACTGTTTGAAAATTTACAAGCAGAATGTATTAATTTCTGAAGAAAAGCTCATTTTTTAAAGAATAAAAAAGCCAAATTAGATTTAAGTTAGAATATTCTTCCTATACCAGGCAATCTTTTTAGATGATGTAACAAAAGCAGCCACACAATGGAAGGGCCAGTATGCATAGGTTAAAGCAACAGGCCTTTCAAATGCAACTAGGTGGGGCCATGCTTCTCTGTCTAAGAGCTTCCCTAGGCAGAATTTGGTCTACTTTGTCTCCATTTATCCTAACTCTAGTATTTGGAACAAAAAGGGGGGTCAACCAAAAATAACTAACAGAGAATGGAAACATAATGGAGAAAGAACCATGTGAGTTCATCCTAGTTTTTTTCATCTGGCATTTCTCCCAGAGACACTCTTGACAAGCTAAAAAGAAGGATGGATGGGTCTTCTGTTTAGCCTCATCTTTTATTTTTTTTAAAAAAGTCAGCATTTCTAACTCCAGGATCTATTAACCAAGTATTTTGGACCTTTAGCATTCTCCACTTGCCTCCCCTACAAACACATACACACACACACACACACACACACACACACACGCACATGCACATGCACACACACACACCACAGTTTCTTAAAACCCAGGTTTATTTTTAGGCCAGAGAGATTGGATGTTCCAGATCAGGGCCCTCTGCTCCCGAGCAGACATTCTAAAAAGGTTTCATTGCCAGATATAAAAAGGTCTATATAATTTATTGGAGGAACTTTCACAAAGCTCTGATTACTTGTTAACCAGAAGGAGAAAAAAAAATCCGAGAATCCTGATCAGAGCCAATATAGCACTTGGCACATGGGAATTTGGAGGGGCTAGAAATTCTCAGCCCTCCCCAGCACTCCGGCCTGTTCATCTACAGTGCGCCATGAAGGAGGGTTCAAGTCACTGGCATTCAGTCTTCCCTCTTTCCTGAGAATGTGCAATTCGGTTTCCCTAAATAATGGGGGAGACTGGGCCAAAGAAAACTCAAAACAATACATTCGTTTAATAGTTCTAATGGCTCTGCTGAGGCTGCCAATGAAAACGCTGGCTAAACTGTTCCAGAGAGCCTTCTACCGGAGCTCAACAAAACCCACCAAATATCTACCCACCACCTCCTCCTTCTTGCCACTCAGTTTTTTTTTCTTTTTCTATTTTTTCATTTTGGCTTTTTCCAAGAGGAAATACCCAAAGAATTGTCTTTTTCTAATGTGCATTGTGTTTGGGGGTACAGATTCATACTTATCTTTAATGGGTATGGCGTGCATATTTTCAAACTTAAAATCAGGATAGATGGTTTTATAATATTAAACAACAGGAAAGAATACCTGAAATCATAACTGCCCTGAAAAATCTAAGTAGAGTCAACCTTCACTATTAAGGACATAAATATGCCTGATGTTGTGTGTTGTACTTCCTTTCAAAAATGTTTTTTGAGAATTTATTATTTTCTAGTACAGTGCAAGGCACTTGGGATGACACTAAGATAATTCAACTAAAAAGAAAAGGTTTCCACTCTAAATAATAATTATCAAGTTGTCCCACTCCCTCCTTTCCCAAAGGAAAAGGGTCATGGTGACCCTCTTGGGCTAACCTAAAGAAAAGGTTGGCAGTCAGGGGAAAAAAAGGAAAAATGAGTTTTACAAAAAGGTGAGATTAGAACATGAAATAAGAAAAGAAGCAAAAGAGTAGGCAGAGAGAAGAGAAAATCAACATGTTCGTAATACAGAAAGGCCACAAACAATTGAATCAAGAGCCAGTGTTGTCTACCAATAGTACCCATGCAAAACATAGAATAAGAAAAGCAATTAAAGCCAGACAGTTTGGATTAGATCCCATGCCTTCTCACCTTCAAATAGTCATGAAAAAGCTGTCAAAGTCTTTCAATTTTCTTTGAGGATTATAGGCCCACTTTCCACTGGTTCAGTATCCACTTGATCAAAAGCACTCAGACTTTATAGAATCTGTCCCACAAATTCAGTGATTCAAAAGACAGGGAAGGAGCATGTGAAACATGTTGTTATGTGCATTGTTATAGATGAGAGACCTCAAGTAAGCAATGGGGAAGCTAAAGCCTGAAGCAACATCATGAGTCTTCTAACCCATCTGTTTATATCCAGGTTATCCTTCCTCCAACCCATCCTGCACCCAGCTGTAAATTAATTCTTTTGAGAAATAAATGCTGGTCATGCCAGTCTCTGCTCAAAGCCAACCATGGCTCTTCATTACTCAATAATTAGTTCCAAAACTCTTAGTTTTATGTTAAAGATTTTTTATGTTCTTGCTCTTCAGCCTTTTATTTCCTTATCCTTCTGCAAGTGCCCTGATCCAGTTGAATGATACTGCTATCTACCCCAATTCCACCTAGATATTTTCTCCAAACTTTCATGCACGCTATCCCCCATTGCCTACAATCCTACTCCTCCCCTTACCAAGTCTTATTGATTCCTCAATATCCAGATAAGATTTTACCTCTTTCAGAAGTACAATCTAATTCCTACCTCTTCACTCTGGCTGTATGGAATCCACAATGACATCCCATATCTTATTTTAACACAAAATCATATTTTACATTGTTTCAGATTTCTATTTTATCTATTCCCACTACCACTTTGTGAGCTCATTGCATACATGCCTTACTGCTTTTTATCTCTAATGAAGAACATAGGTTCTTAAAAACAACACTCAATAATTATTTATTTTATAAATGAATAAACCTAGGTCTTTATGTGCCAGAAATGTGTTACTTATTAGACCAGAGATGTACAATGTTTTTCAAGGATCACAATCACCTCTGAAATTTGTTTAAAAATACATTTTTGTAGAGTTCAAGCACCAGAATTTTTTCAAAAATCTGATGAATCTGCTGTACAATACAATTTGTGAGGGAGCAATCTACAAAATTTTTGTGATGGGAAAAAAAAGTTTGAGTCAGCAATCCCAAATATTTAGGTTCAACTTATAGGTTATATCAGCCCACTAATTCTAAAAACTTCCATCTGCAAGCCATGTCAAATTCATTTGTCCAGTGTTCCTCCTCTGACTTTCTATACAATTGATAGGAATTAACAGACATAGCCATCCTCTCTGAGAAAGAGTTCAGACAGATTTGCTAGCTATTTACATTTGGAGCTTATTCAAGTACACTACTAGAATCCAGGCTTGGCTATTTAAATTAATAGCTGAGTTTAAGTCACTTAGACTCTCAAGCCTCAGTCTCTCCAGTTAAAATATGGAAACAATGAAATGGGCAGTCAATACTTCTTAACATCTTATAATTATCTCTGCAAATTGAGCAAGTTCCAGCAGAAGTTCTTTGTTAATTTATATGACTGTCACTATACTATTGTGTTTATTGATGGTGTCCCTTTCACGTTCTCAACAGCAGAATGCATCAAGGGGAAGCCATTTTATGAAGATGCCACAGAGGGAGGAAAGAACATCGAAGAATAGCTGTTTCATGTTATTTACTGTGATGCCCTGGTTTCAGAATTGATGACAAACTTCATTTGGCATTCCAGGATCTGTGGGTTCTGGGTTTCCAGGATTCATTCTTGACAATGTCAGGTTAACTCAGGGCATTTGGCAGCACTGTGCGAGGTGCCATGAATAGGATCAGTTTTGCAACCTCATTTGTCATATAATTAAATTATTATATAATGAAACTATGTACCACACAAAAAAATGTTCATTCTCCTACCGTGGTACAGTATACTTAAGCATAAAACAGCCACAAGGAAAGACTGGAAATGACATGGAAAGGTCAGCTTGTAAATTATTTTAATTCATTTAGTTAAAAAAATAATAAAAGAAGAACAAATCCAGGAAGAATTAATTTCCAAGCCAAAGGGAACAAGGAAAGTTGAGTGGAAAACAAGAAATTAAGAGAGGAGAAAACAAATATTGGGTCAGAAAAACAGAAAGTGAGTGGATCTTAGAGATGGAACTATTGCCCACAATTTCTCAAGATAAATTATGAAGGCTGCCATTTGAGAGTCATTAATATTTGCTATTATTCTAAGATGGCTGGCCAAACCTGAGAACTCACAGCATCACCACATCACTGTGGTACCCTGAATGTTTGAGGGTAGATATAGGGCAATGTTTTCAAATACTGGCTTGTGACCCATCATTCAGTTATGAAATAATTGTAATGAGCTGCTATCCAAAGTGTATTTTTATAAAGAAAAAGAGAAGAAAAATATCAGCCCACATCAAACACTGTTAACAGTAAATATTGTATCTGAAAACATTTGATTTGCCTACATTCATAAATATACACCCATATACATACTGGGTTGTCATGCAAAATGCTTTTCTAACTGGATGTCAGGGTGAAAAAAACCTGAAAACTTCTGCCTATAGCAGTCAGGTTTTCTGCTTCTTAAGTCAGCTATGTCTTCTTAGGTAGCTCCTCTTTTGCTTCCTGGCTTCTAACATGTAGTTATTTCCCTGAGGTTTAGTCCTCAGTCCTTTGCTTTGCTGTGCATCTATCTATCTATCTATCTATCTATCTATCTATCTATCTATCTATCTATTTATCTATCTATCTATCTACCTATCATCTATCATCATCATCATCATCTATCTGTCATGTATCTATGTGTCTATCTATCTATGTGTCTATGTATCTATCTATGTATCTATGTATCTATGTATCTATCTATCTATCTATCTATCTATCTATCTATCTATCTATCTATCTCTCTCCTTGGAAATTTTAACTACACCTATTAATCCTAAGTGGAAATCAATGAAACTTCTATCTCTAGAATTTATCTTTTCCCAGACTACAGACATCTGTCTTCATCTATGTACTCAATAGCGCCTTACTGTCACTCCCAAAATCAATGCATTTAAAAGTAAAATCACCTGGGTTCAAGTGTTTTTTTTTATTTTATATATATATATTTTTATTATACTTAAAGTTCTAGGATACATGTGCACAACGTGCAGGTTTATTACATATGTATACATGTGCCATGTTGGTGTGCTGCACCCATTAACTCCTCATTTACATTAGGTATATCTCCTAATGCTATCCCTCCCCACTCCTCCCACTCCACAACAGGCCCCAGTGTGTGATGTTCCCCTTCCTGTGTCCAAGTGTTCTCATTGTTCAATTCCCACCTATTAGTGAGAACATGCAGTGTTTGGTTTTTTGTCCTTGCCATAGTTCGCTGAGAATGATGGTTTCCAGCTCACCCATGTCCCTACAAAGGATATGAACTCATCATTTTATGGCTGCATAGTATTCCATGGTGTATAAGTGCCACATTTTCTTAATCCAGTCTATCATTTTTGGGCATTTGGGTTGGTTCCAAGTCTTTGCTATTGTGAGTAGTGTTGCAATAAACATACGTGTGCATGTGTCTTTATAGCAGCATGATTTATATCCCTTTGGGTATATACCCAGTAATGGGATGGCTGGGTCAAATGGTATTTCTAGTTCTAGATCCCCGAGGAATCGCCACACTGTCTTCCACAATGGTTGAACTAGTTTACAGTCCCACCAATAGTGTAAAAGTGTTCCTATTTCTCCACATCCTCTCCAGCACCTGTTGTTTCCTGACTTTTTAATGATCGCCATTCTAACTGGTGTGAGATGATATCTCATTGTGGTTTTGATTTGCATTTCTCTGATGGCCAGTGATGATGAGCATTTTTTCATGTGTCTGTTGGCTGCATAAATGTCTTCTTTCGAGAAGTGTCTGTTCATATCCTTTGCCCACTTTTTGATGGGGTTGTTTGTTTTTTTCTTGTAAATTTGAGTTCTTTGTAGATTCTGGATATTAGCCCTTTGTCAGATGAGTAGATTGCAAAAATTTTCTCCCATTCTGTAGGTTGCCTGTTCACTCTGATGGAGACTATCACTTTGGAAAAATTATCTAATCTTTGAAAGCCTTAGTTTCTTCATCTGTCAAATCTGGGTAATGGTATTTTCTTATATTAAATACAATGATGTCTATTAAGTATAATAGTTCTTGGTACTCATTAAGTATTTCATAACCACTAATTGTTCCCTACCCTCTTAAACCAAATTCCTCTTCAGGTTTTCAAATTTTTACAAGATGCAACACTTCTCCAAGACTTGAGTTATTGGAATAATTCTGGACTCCTTGCTGTCCCTTGATCCTATGTCATTCACTGAGTCCTGTTGATCCTCTGAGGTCTTGCTTGTTTCTTAACCTCCTCATCCTTCAGCCTCTCCAGAGCTGGCTTCATTTGATTCCCACACTCAGCCCCATCTATAGCTCCCATCTGTGGACCAACACAGGAGACTTTACCAGTAAAGCATGCATCTCATAATCAGCATTAAATTACTCTCATAATGCACTCTGACTGCCGCTCCTCATGCTAGCAAGTGCCTTCCAGCAAGTGACTTACCTCTCTCTGCTTCAATGCCCTCATCTATAAAAATAGAAATGATATGTTTTCTTAAATCATCAAGTTATTGTGAAGATTAGATGTAAAGTACTTAGACCAGGGCCTAGTACAAAGGAAGTGCTCAATTACTGTTTCTTCTCCTCCTTCCTCTCCTTCCCCTCCTCTTCTTCCTGTTGTTCATCTTCATCTTCTCCTTTCTCCTCTCCTTCTCCTCCTCTCCCAGCTTCATCTTGTTGATTGTTGTTGCTGTTGTTATTATCTCCATATCTTGTTTTTATTATTTCACCTCATTAAGTCTTCCATAGACCAGTGGTTTTAAAATTTTGTTCTAAGAGCCCTAGGACCCTGTGAGGCAACTCAAGGACTGCTGAAGAGAGAAAGAATACACTAAAAGATATGCCTTCAGGTCATTTGTCCTGTTTTTACCAAAGAAGCTCTGTTTATTCCCTTGGAGAGTTATTTCTTAAACTTACTTATTAAGCAAAATGGGTCTGTTGCTAAAATAAGGTTTGAGCAACTGTCTCCCAGACTACTAGACTACTATTAGCACTGTCAGTCTTCACTTTCTTTTTTATTTTTTATTTTTTTTGAGACGGAGTTTCTCTCTGTCGCCCAGGCTGGAGTGCAGTGGCGCGATCTCGACTCACTGCAAGCTCCGCCTCCCGGGTTCACGCCATTCTCCTGCCTCAGCCTCCGGAGTCTTCACTTTCTTGATCCCTTCCCCACTGACTATGTTAGTTATTCATCTTGACATTTGATTTTCTGATTCTCTTTACATACAGTAGCCCACAAAACTTCAAAGTTGAATCAGTTGCAGCATTTTGTCTTGTTTCTAGTTTCCTAAGAGCTGTTCTCACACACACACACACACACACACACACACACACATCACTACTAATTATTGGTCTTCAACCTCAGTTGAAGTTCATTTCTGCCTAGCAATCCAACATATCTCTAACAAGCATCTTTCTCCATTTCCTTCACGAGTGAAAATCTTCACTGTCTTCCTAAACCATCTACCAAGCCAAATTCCACTCAACCTTAACAGATTTGCTTCCTAGCTTAATGAGAAAACAGAAGCTACATGACAACACTTCCCTTAACTTGCTACTTCTAGGCTACAAACATCTCCATCATCCTCTATCCTTTCTCCTTTTGCTTACACTCCCCCTCTTCTCTCCTCCACCTGTGCAATAGATCCCATCACTTTCCATCTCTCCCTTACTCTTGAATCTCAAAACTTTTATATTCTCCTGGCTCTTTCCATATGAAAATGTTCTGTGGTCTCCCCCATTTTTAAAGAAATACTGCCTTTACCCTTAGCTTTCAGTTCCCTTATTCCTTTCTCAGCCAAAGTTCTTGAAAGAGTTCATCTCCACATTTTCACTTTCCATTCACTCTTACCCGCTGTCATCTGTATTTCACTCCTCCTTATCACTAAAATTTCTGATGAAGTTTGCCAATGATTTATCCATATTGTCAAATCCAATCAAGATTTTCCTGTCTTTATTTTACTAGACCTCATTACTGCAGTTTGATTTTACCCATACTCTTTTTGTTTTATTGATATAGAATTTATATAACATACAATTCACCTATTTAAAGTGTACAATTCAATGTTTTTAGTGCATTGAGAGATGTGTGCAATCATCTCCACAGTCAATTTTAGAATATTTTTTATTGCCACAAAGAGAAACCCTGTCTCTCTTAGCTACTATCTCCTTATCCTTCCATTCTCCCCAGCTTTAAGAAAGCTCTAATCTCTTTTCAGTCTCTGTAGATTTTTCTCTTCTGGGTATGTAATATAAGTGGAATCATAGTGATCTTTTGTGATTTGTTTCTTTCATTTGGCATGTTTTCAAGTTTCATCCATGTTGTAGCATGTATCAGTACTGGATTCCTTTGTGTGACCAAATAATATTTCACTGTATAGATAAACTGTATTTTGTTTATTGACCCCATACTCATTTGAGAAATTCTCTTATTCTAAATTCCTGGGACTACATAGCCTCCCAGCTTTCTTCCACCTCTGCTTTTTTCCAGTTTCGTCGAAGCATTTTTCTTCTAACGTCTCCTCATTTAACTGTCTGGTGTTCAGATTCTACAGGCTTTCCCTGAATGAATTCATCCAAATCTATAATATAAACCCTCACCAATTTGCTGATGACATATTCCTGATCGACATGCTATACTCTCAGTTTCAAACTGCATATTTAATTTTCTACTGGACAGTTTTGCCCACTTACTCCTGGGCAATTCAAATTCAGTTCAATAAAGTTGAATTTATCTCTTATACACACTTCCCACTCCCAAACGAGCTGCTTCTCATCAATTCTTTATGATGACAAATGGTGTTCACCATGTAATCTATGCCATGAATACATGTGTCACCTCCCCTATCAGACCCTCTATCAGAGCCTGTATAGTTAGCTCTTAATGTTTCCTATATCCATCTTTTTTTTCTCCACTTTTGCTGCCACTGCTTTCTTTTAGTTTAATGACTTGTCATTTTTTTCTGGGAATTACTAAAATAACCTCTACAATGTCCCCCCTCCAACCCATTCTCCATACTTCTACAAAATGTTGATCCTGTCACATCATCTGTTTAAACAATCTTCAGTGCCACACTCCATAGCTCAGCACATAGGTTCTCATTATCTGTTCCTTGCCTTTTTCCCTGGCACCATCATCAGCCTTTTCCCAAATATATCCTTTACTCTAGCTTTACAAACCTGGATTGTCATTTCACATCTCTGTGCTTTTGTACAAACTTCTTATCTGCCTAGAATAAATTTATATGTTGTACATAATATATGTAAACATATATTCCACCTTCACCTAATTAATTCTCTCATCATTCAAATTTTACTACCTACGTAAGTTTCCTTCACTTTCCTATCTGATGTAGCCAACTCTCATTAGTGACATCTGATTATATAATGATCACATCATGCTGTAAGCTTTTGAAGAAAGGACCCTCCCTCCCACTTAACTTTGTGTCCTAGAGTTAGTTAGTCGGCATATATTTGACATTCAATGATTTGTTTGTTTGTTTGTTGAGATGAAGTCTCACTCTTGTCCCCCAGGCTGGAGTGCAATGGTGTGATCTCGGCTCACTGCAACCTCTGTCTCCTGGGTTCAAGCGATTCTCCTGCCCCAGCCTCCAGAGTAGCTGGGATTACAGATGCCCGCCACTACACCCTTACATCTTACATTTTTCAGAAAGCCTTCTCTCCCCTTCTTCCTAGTCTGGTTTGAATGATTCACCCAAGTGCTTCTAAAATATAACCTATGTATTCTGTTGTCACACCTATCACATAACAAAATAGTTATGTTTGTCCTTATATTCCAGTGTCCTCCCCAATGCCTGATACACGGATGTTCAATATACACTTGTTTATTAAAGAATACATGAATAATGAGGGTGAATATATGAATGAAAACCTATATCATAAGACCCAGCCTCTGCCATTTGTCACAGTCCTGACCATTGAAATTGTGTCTGTGTTATTGTCCCTACGTTCCTTTCTTTATTACCTGCTCAGTACCTTCAGCCCACCCAGAATTACATCCCAGCTTAATTCAAACACAGACTACTTTAAGGGTCTAAAATTCTAAACCCAATATTGATATCTGAGGCTCTGGCAGACCCATATGTCTTGGTATCTGAGGCTCTGGCAGACCCATCTGTTGCCAGTTGCCCACCTGCCAACCTGCATGTTTGGACTTCCACAGACCTCATACATAAATACCAAATTTTCCATCATCACTGTGGTCACTCACTTGGATATCTCATTATTTAATATTTTCATTAATCATTAAATGATGATAAGGCTACCTTTTTTAACACATCACAAATGATTATTTGGCTGAAATCATGAAAACAATATTCTAAACAATTGATGGGGGAAACACCTTCTGATGGACTAAGTTTCTCCTGAGGACTCTGAAATCCTGCCAACTGTGTGTCCACCTATATCCACCTACTCAAAAAGAGGCTGGCTCTGATACTGTATATAACCTCCTGTTAACATCACAGGGAGTTATTGGAGTAAATGTCTCTCTCTGAGAAAATACTAAACCACAACAGATGGGGGTCAGATTGGTCTGTTTACATCAATTCTTGATTGCTTTTCCATTGCCGGTGAAGGCCTTAAGTTTCATGGGTAGCATAAATCACAACTTCAGCCTAGGAGTCCACATTCAACTCTTAACATGAAAGAACTGTCAAATGCAATATATCTTGTGAAGAGCAGAACCAGAAAGAAAGATCGAACTTTATCCATAAGCAAGCTCTTTAAAAATAGAAGACTGCAAATCCTTATTCAGCACTGAGAGACAGTTTCAATTCCAAATGATAAAGCAAATGAAAAGGCAAATACAAGATTATGTTTTTAAAGGAAACTTTTAAAACCATCTCACACAGTTCATCATATCTACCTCTACTTTGCTTGGGTTCATCAACCAGAAATCAACATGTACCTGTATATGCTCAGGTGGTAGCAAGTATTCAAAGAAAATATCCAATAGTAATTAAACAATAGCATTACAAAACATACAAACACTCACAAAAGGCTTTTGTTTTCTATTTTATTATATTTTTCACATCATTTTCTATTTATCAATTGGATTATAAAGTCCTTTAGAGTGGAAATCAAGGCATGTCTCTTTATGTCTCCCCTACAGTACATAACAAGGTAGTATAAATCTATGATTAATAACAAGTTCATTAATTGAAAGATATTTATTCAGCAAATATCTATTGAGAGCCTACTATGTCCCAGTCTAAACATAGCTCTGAATTTGGCAAATGGGTCTACAGGACACAAGGATTTCTGAGACACAGACATAATAATTTTTCATCATCAGATCACTCCCTTGCATACATTCTGAACCCTCCTGCCCTTGCTTTCTCTATTTCATTGTACTCCCTTGGCAAAATCCCAAACCTAGCTAAATCAACCTTTCTGTGAACTGTCTGCACCCATGTAGCTTATGGTGACCAGAGAAAAACATGGAAATATGGTGTCTGGATTCAATTTGAATGCATGGTCTTTAATCTCGAGTGGCCCTTCTGCAGTCCAGATCCTACTACATTTCTCTGGCCCATTCATTCTCCTGCTCGCCTAATGACCATTTCATACCTTCTCTTCCCTGCTCAAACCCTTAGCACCTTTCTCCTCACAACCTGAAGTAATCCTCAACTGATTACCTTAATGCGTATTTCAAAGGGAAGTGGAACTGAGAAGAGCATTTAAGCAAGTTCTCACCTTCACATCTGACCTGACTTTCTCCATGGACTCTTACACTCTGCTTTTCCTACTGTTATGTGGGTGACCTTCACAGGCTCTGACCCAAAAACAGCCTTCCTATCGTGAACTAGATTTCCCTCTCACCTTCTATAGGTTTCTTCCCTAGACAGACTGATTTTAAAGCTGACATGCTACACCCTCAAAGAGTATCTTGAGTTTTTCTTATAGGGAAGGATAAATTACAATGCAAAAATGTATTTTTTAAATAATGAAAATAACACCTTTTTTAAGACTCTTTTTAAAAGAATAGCGTTAAAATAAAATTCAGTTATAGACACCAGATAAATTAAATGAAAACTTGGAGGCAGTGGATAAGAGCTTTCGACCAGGAACTAAGAGACCTAGGTCTAGTCACTGCTCTTTGTGTAATTTATTGAACTTCTCTCGAGCTAAGGGGATTAGACTTAGAGATCTTTGCTATCCCATCCAGCTGTCAGATTCTTATCTAGAATTTGAATTCTTTCAGATAGCTTTTTAAAAAACAACTTATGGGTAACAAGTTGTTGACTTAATCCAACCAACTTTTTTCAGAAATAGTTATTTATTTGATAACTTTTTGGATTTGATGCCAAACCAGTGGACACATATGAATGTTATCAAGTCTGTATAGCTAAAATCACTTGAGTAATTAACAGGAAAATGCACCTTCTTGGTAGCTAGATGCCTCAAGAACAGAGCCAGTCTTTCTTTTAGTACCAGTAGCATAGGTCTGGATGTACAGGCCTGAATTATTAAGAAAATAGGAAGAAATAAAGGAAGCTCCTCAGATACAAAAGGCAAAACAAGCCGGGCATGTCGACTTGGCCTGTAACCCAAGTACTTTAAGAGGCCGAGGTGGGAGGATCGCTTGAACTCAGGAGTGTGAAACCAGCCTGGACAACATAGTGGAAATTTGTCAAAAAAAAAAAAAAAAAAAGGAAAAACAGGTATATCTTCAGCTGTTCACACACTCAATCTTATTGCCAAAAATACAGTACTTCCTTCCCTGGGCTCCTGGCCCAAAAAGGTAGTGAGATTTCTCATCACCTTGTGCTGTCTGGACATCAAGTCTCCAGCTGTCCTCCCTAATCCTCATGCTAATTACACTCTTCTTTTCCCCATCCCTCAAATGCACTCCCTTTTGACCTCCATGTGAAATCAATTCTAATATAACTCCATTGACAAGAATTTCCAAAACACTGTCTAAGTTTTTATTTTTAACCCAGTCATTTTAAATGACTACTATGATGAAATTTTTGTAAAATAAATAACCACCTTCAATGTTTGTTTTGTCAGTTTGACTTTTCTGAGAGAGGAGCATGGCTGTACACTATAGCTCACTCAGAAATTTCCATACTGAGGGTAAAAGGTAAACATACTCTCCAGTCCTCTAAGCAACAGAGATGTTTAAAAAAATCTCAAAATAAATTAACATAATCTTACGAATATAATGTTTAGCCAAAGAAGCAAGTGACACACAAATAAATACATATATGAAGATTCTATTCAAATAATGTTCAAAGCCAAGCAAGCTAAATATATATTTTAGGAACACATGCATAAATGATAAAACTGTAAAGAAAAAGGAAGAAATTATTATCAGAAAAATTAGGATATGAGGGAAGAGAAGGAGTGAAATCAGACAGAAATGTATACACAGGCCTTTCTGAGGCACTGGCAATGTTCTTTGTCTCAACCTGGGTGGTGGTGTGAACTTTGTAATTACTTAAATTATGTAAATTATTTAAATAATGCAGTTATGTGGTATTTTGTAATTTTTTTTTAATTTTTACAAATCTTTTTAGAGACAGAGTCTCACTCTGTTGCCCAGGCTGGAGAGCAGTGGCACAGTCATAGCTGACTGCAGCCTCCACCTCCTAGACTCAAGTGATCCTCCTGCCTCAGTCTCCCAAGTAGCTTCGACTACAGGTGCACACCACTACATCTGGATAATTTTTTAAATTTTTTGTAGACACAGGGATCTTGCCATGTTGCCCAGGCTGATGTTAAACTCCTGGCCTCAAGTGATCCTCCCATTTTGGCCTCCCAAACTACAGGGATTACTGGTGTAAGCCATTGCCAAGTATGTCGTATATACTCTTCTCCACATATGACATTTTTATAATAAAAAGTAAATTATGCCAACTCTATTTTTGAAATAAATTTGATGTACTATACTTTTCAGTATGGGATGCCAGTGGGATGAGAAATTAAGATGGGGAATTATAATCAGACAATTATGTATTGCATCACCAACATATTAGTTGAGTGTTTCTATTCAACTAATGGTAGATAGTGCAACAGAGAGTGTGTTTTATAGAGGCTGAGGACTATTTGTGTATTTACTGATTTGCTTCTTCACTTTAACATTTATTGAAAGCCTGTTACATGTCGGGCAGAGTATTAGGCACCAGGGAGACACAGACGAATGAGACATGAGGTCTAATCTGGCAGGGTGTGTGTTCTAGTGCTAGGAAAGTAGCACCTTTCTAATTTGCCAAAATGACAGTCCTTCTCTGCCTTCCTCACTCCTTCTAGCTGAAGACTCTGACACTCTCCTCCTGTCTTCTCTCCCTCTTCAGCTTCTAAGTTAACTATCTGAACAGGAGCTTTTTCAGCAGGGTGGAATTGATGATGCTGTCAGACTCAGTGTCCAGTGGGTCAGAGTGAGCCCTGGCTTTCTTACTCCTGTGGTATTGACCAAGTCTACTGTCCAATTTCCTTACCTAGCACTGGCCTTAAACTCCTTCTGACAGCTGGACTGCCTACAGACAACAGTCCTTTGATCTGAATAATCGCCCACAATGTAGACCCCAGATATCATCCCTGTGTGGAGGATCTCCGGAAGGCTCAGTGCCCCTTGGCCACAGTGTCCTTGGCTGCTTATTGCTGTTGCCCACCCACTTATACATCCACTCTCCTGCCTGCCCTCCTGGGGATCTGCCCTGCAACCTGGTTAAGTTGCTCTGTCCCAGCCCTGACAAGTTCTCTTTCTCTTCACCTTTCTCCTGAATAGTCCCAGTAGACTTTGCTCCCAAACATCCTAAAATCATTACAACAATGTAAATAAATATGATATGAAAGCACAGAGGTAGGACTGGGATGGAGATAGAAGTGGAAGGAATACTTAAGATGAATCTTAATAAGTGTATCAAATAGAGGATAAAAACAGTATTCCAGCAGGAAGGAATGACTTCTTCAAAAAAATAAAAATGGGAAGAAGCTTGATGTGTTTGGAAAATAACGAGAATTTAGAGAATGATGAGAGATGAGAGTAGAATGATAGATAAGAGGAAAATGAAGAAAGGTCTTAAGTACCTTGCTAACCAAAAAGGTGACAAAATCGGCATGCATTTAATGTATTCTGATCACTAAAACAATGATGCTATCGCTGACCTGAAACAATGTAATGCATTCTGCTATTTGGGAATTAGTGTTCCGTCACTCTCATGATTTATAAGGCTTAGTTTTCAAGGAAATCTGAACCCCCGTAGTACTACTTCAGTCATCCACACTATTTCCTCAGGTAGGTGCTAGAAACAGGCAGAGCATCTGCCCAGATGTGCAGCAATTTTAATGGGTGTATTTAAGGATATAACATAAAGGAAGGAGCATAGGTGGTCTTCAGTGAAATATTGTTGAATGTATTTACATTGAATCAAACAAAAACCTGGTCCCTTAGGAAGTCTCCCAAGAATTCTGTATATTTTATTTTATTCATTTGAGTGCCAGGACAGCTATCTCATCCGTTCCCTGTAGGAAATGCAGCTTTAGCCTGGAAAGCATGGCAAAACTGCATCTCTACAAAAAATAGAAAGTTTAGCTGGACATGGTGGCATGCACCTGTAGCCCCAGCTACTTGGGGGGCTGAAGTAGGAGGATCGCTTGATCCTGGGAGGAAGAGGCTGTAGTGAGCTGTGTTCACACCACTGCACTCCAGCCTGGGTGACAAAGTAAGACCTTGTAGAAAGAAAGAGGAGAGAGAGAGAGACAGAGAGAGAGAGAGAAGAAAGAAAGAAGAAAGAAAGAAAGAAAGAAAGAAAGAAAGAAAGAAAGAAAGAAAGAAAGGAAGGAAGGAAAGAGAGAGAAAGAAAGAAAGAGAAAGAAAGAAAGAAGAAAAGAAAGAAAGGAAAGAGAGAGAGAAAGAAAGAAAGAAAAAGAAAGAAAGAAAGAAAGAAAGAAAGAAAGAAAGAAAGTAAAAAAGGAAGGAAGGAAGGAAGGAAGGAAGGAAGGAAGGAAGGAAGGAAGGAGGGAAGGAAGGAAGGAAGGGGAAAATGCAGCTGTTCCAGGAGGGATGTCTTCACTAGGGACAGTCCCACATAAAAGGAGGACTAGCTGTTTTTATGCCTCTACTATAATGAGTGTGGCTCTAATGCTTCCTGGCATTGCTGAAGTTTGCACTATTCATTTCAATGGCCTCCTGACTTTCAGAAACTCTTTACTTCCCAATGAGCCATGTGGCAACAGCAAATTATCAGAAACACACATGGAATGTTTCACCTCTCTGAATTAAAGATACATTGACTTATCTGACCAAAAAGACTTCGTTCAGAGCAGAATGAGAAAGGGAAAAACATTAGGCCAGAGAGTGGGAATGAAAATGGAAGTTCTTGGGGCAGCTGTAGAATGATTATAATAATAATAAACGGAACAAAATATGTTGAGCTGGTAGTCAGTGACTTCCCTTACCATTTGCTATGGTCTGAATGTGTCTTTCCAAATTTCCTGTGTTGAAATCTAATTCCCAATGTGATAGTTTTAAAAGGTAGGGCTTTCGAGAAGTGATTAAGTCATGAGGGCACCACCCTTATGAATGAGATTAGTGCCCTTATAAAAGAGGCTCAAAGGATGTCTTTCCCCTTTCTCCATATGAAGACAGAAGTACTGTCTTTGAGGAAAAGGTCCTCACCAGACACTGAATTCGCTGGCACTTTGATCTTGAACTTCTCAGCCTCTAGTACTGTAAACAATAAATTTCTATTGTTTATAAATTACTCAGTCTAATGTATTTTGTTGTAGCAGCCCAAATGGACTAAGACACTATTTTATCCCATTTTTATTTCTCTTGGACTTAAATGGGCAAAACAGTTGATTTTGAAAGTCCCACTATATCATACTAAGCACATAATGTTTTACCAACTCTCTATACATCAGCTGTGCTCAAAGTCAACACCTTAACCTCAGAAAGAGCTGTGCATTCCTATGGCTTACCATTATTAAGTTAGAAATGGCATTTGCTTCAAGATACCTTGATCTCAAACAAGAGGCAAACCAGCTGGTAAGTGACCTCTGGGCACAGTCGGTGTTCTAAGCTGATCATTCTAAGACCCATTAGATCTTTAGAGATCACTCTTGACCTCCTTAGATCACAGTTTTTATATTTATACCTTCAACAAATTTATTTAGCACAAATTTGTTGAGTACCTACCATGTTCTGTATGCTATATTATCCTAGCAAACTGTGAGAGATTCAGGTTGTTGCATCCATCATATGAGGCTAAAACTAATTTCTCAGTATAGAAATTAAATGATGAAATAAATGTAAAATATTTACCTCAGTGCTTGACACAAAAATCAGGACTCATATCATTTCTTTCATTTCTGGCAGTACAAAGATAAACTGGTACACTTCTCTTTCCTCAGGAAACTCAGTGTAAATGTTGCCTGAAATAACCCCAGTGTCTCAGAAGCACTATGAAATGGAGACAAACTACAGATAGCTGATATTTCATGATCTCTGCAAGCAACAACTCCCAATTCAGGTCTAATTCTCAGCATTCTGGGCAGAGAACACCATGAGATCTTTCTCCTGCATGTGTTCTAAACCCTAATTCTATTACCCTCAATAGGTGTTAAGTTAAAAAAAAAGCTGTGAAATATTTCAAATTTAAGTATAATTGATTAATGAGAACACCATAAAGGTGCTGTCAAATAATAATAAATATTAATAAAAACTCTGGCCAAAGACACTCTATAATTCATATGAAGTGTTCTTTATTATTACTTTTTAAAGAAAGAGCAATGTTTCCTGGCATTTGTGGGTGGTGTGTTCACTAGAGGCAGTTACTATAACAGACAGGCCATTGAACCTGATCAACTCCTCACTGACAGAGCAGGTTCCTCACAGTAGTTGCTTATGCCAAAAAAAAAAAATTGTTGCCATCAACTGGTCATTTCTGGTTTTGAATGAAATTTCAATCTTTACTTCTAAGAAATTGGCTTTGTCAAAAACAACCACCATTGCGTTCTTTCTCTTTTTGTTTCAGATTGTTTCTTAAATAAGGCCTGGTGTGCTAAATTACTTAGAAGAGTGAGGTCTTATGGGAAAGTTTGGATAGTAGCTACTAGAGGTGTCAGTCATTCCAACTGGGTTAGGGAGCCAGGGTGCCAAGGGGGATGATGGTGAGAACAACAGCTTTGGCCGGTAGGTAGGATATCCCCCGTTTGTCTATCACTGTGCCCAAGGCAAAATCTGAGTTTCCTAATGAGCACATTACATACTTTCTGATTTGGGGCTTGTCATCTTTCATCACAACAAATGCTTGTTGGATTAAAAAAATAAAACAATGACTTAGTCTGCGAACATCTCAGAAGACCTCAAGTAGCTTTCAGATCAATGATTACCAGATGTCCTCAACCTCAGAAGAATAGATTAAGTTATTAACATATTCATGAAGCAACATTCTTACCTGTTATGAATATATTAGTTATGCTTCCTTTTAGTCTTTCAACAACTCCTTCTGGCCTGGGGTTTTCTATTCCTGCTGTCTTCTCTCACTTAGGAGCCATTCTTTTGCCCACCTACCTTCCTCTCTCTTGATCCCTCTCTGTGGAAACTTTAACCTCTTTGCTGGTATCTCTGGCATCTCTATACCTGAAGGCAGAATGTACCTTTAGTATAGAGTCCATAAAAATATTGTTATACCTTTATGAGGAAAATATGGAAAAGGGGAAATCAAGTAATATTTATCTTGAGACAACATACATAAATTTTGAATTACTTTTTATACTCAGCTAAGCCACTCACAGATTTCTGACCCTCAGAAACTGTGAGATAATAAAGATTTGTGGTTTTAAGCTATAATTTTTCATTATTCAGCAACAGATAACTATTATCTGGTGAGACAGATTAACATAGGGGTTGGGAAACTAAAGCTCTAAGGCAAGAAACTATTTTTGTAAATGTTTTATTGGAACACAATCATAATCATTCATTTACATATTGTTTGTGACTGCTTTCATACTACAACAATAATATGAAGTAGTTGTGACAGAAATTGTAAGGTCTGCAAAGCCTAAATTATTTACTATTAGTTCTTGATTAAGAAAGTATATAATTATAGAAGAAATGTGATTTGAAATGTCTAGACTATTAATTTGAAAAAGGAAACTCAGAAATCAATTTTCCTTTTTTGCAGATTAAATAACTGTGACTTTAAGAAGTAGGTGGCCTAAATAGCATCAATATAACTAATAGCAAAGCTGGACAAGAAATCCAAATTCTCTATGGTCTAAATGTTTGTGTCTCTCCCCTGTCTCCGAAAAAAAAATGTATATATTGAAATCCTAATGCCCAAGGTGATGGTCATTAGGAGGTGGGGACTTTGGAAGGTGATTAGATCATGAATGAAATTAGTGCTTTAATAAAAGATGCCCAAGAGAGACCCCTCACACCATTCCACCATGTGAGAACATGGCAAGAAGGTGCCATCTGTGAGCCAGAAAGCTGATGCTCACCAGGCACTGAATTTGCTAGTGCCTTGGTCTTGGACTTCCCAGCCTCTAGAACTATGACAAATAAATGTCTGTGGCTTATAAGCCACCTATATTATGATAGCTTGTCATAGCAGCCTAAATGGACTCAGACATCTACCTCCCAATCCAGTGGTTTCTTCAATACACCATACTCCCTTCCCTAAGATAAGGCACCAAAATCAATGAATTGTTTTATTATGAGTTTACTGAGTTACTTTAAGTCACTACTGGTCCCTTTACTCAATTTCCTGCAGTAGTATTGTAGTATCATGAATGTGTTACTTGATGACCATATTACTTGATATATTTAAGTTCATTCAAAAGTATATGAAAAAGAAAAATGGCAGATTACAGAAAGACCCATAGAAAAGGTCACCTAGCACTAAGAACAGTTATTCAATTTAATTTTATTATTTTTACTCTTGTTCAGAGATTTAATAATTGAAAGTGGTAAGCTGAACAGTGTATACTTATTTTCAAAAATTACCTGCTGAATTATATATAAATGCTTTTATAAGAGAAAGCAAATGAGCAGCACCAATTCAACTTCCTGTATCCATAGTAGACATTGTTAATCAAACACAGCATTCTTTCCCACTGAATCAGGTTACAGTCTCAGAATCCTTCTCAATACCATGCTTCAGGAATCTAACGTCATTCAGTCAAAATTGGCACCTGAGTTAAAACTTATGCACTTTCTCTGACATACAGAACACCTTGCCATATAGTAGTCTTCTTAGAGCTTGTGTAGATATAAGTTGCTTTCAGATCTCTTTTTAAAATTGATTGGCTACTGATTTACTGAAACAATTTAACTTCAATCTGTTTAACTCTAAGGCAGCTCCAAGGCACACATGTGAAAGATGGTACTAATGGGATATTGTATTTGAGAAAGGATTTGTAATTCTGGTTTAAATTTACTGCAAGTTTCAGTTTAAATGCAACTTCCTCCATGAGCCATACCCGTATGAAGTATGTCCTGGTTTACCTGGGTGATACCAGTTTGTTTCTCAATTATTAGTAGCCATACCCCCTTCGACTCTCAGTGGTGTCCCAATCTGGATGAAAAACTATATGGCTATCCTATTGATGACCCAATTTGGAAGAGGCCTCTCTTGTCTCTAAAACTCCTATAATACTTAATGGTTCAAATGTGACAAATGATTTATCTAGTATAATAGCTACTTCTAGTTATAATTTATGCCCCCACAGCCCACTTCCCAGTCTGGATTACAAACACTTTGAGGGAAGTTGTATTTTACTATTCGTGGTTTCTAAAACAGAGATGCAATGAATACAAATCCCATTACTCTTTTAATCCTAGTGCCTCACACATACTAAACTCGAAGAGAGAATTTGTTGAATTACTTGAGACTGTAAATTCTTTTACAGTTAAAACTATACCTCATTTATCTGGTAAACCTCACAGAGGCACAGGGCCTTGGACATCATCTATGTTTACAAAATTGTTTGAATGAATGAACAAATGAGCGAATGCACACAGTACAATTTTTCTCATGTTGTCTTTCACAACACTACAGAGAAATAAACTGGCAAAAGCTCATTAATTAAAATATCAACTAATATGGAGCAAACAAGACTAGCATCTTTTCTTATTTCTCAGTTCATTTGAGTGGTTGACTGAAATACAATTAAGTCTTTTTCTCTGAGTATTTTGGTATGGTAACTAAGAAGCATTGGGTCAATGGTGGCCCATCTCTGAAAATAAGACATAGATCTGATGACCCCTGAAGGCTTAGGTGGCACATCTGGGAAAACTGTTTTGACAAAATGGGACTCAGAATATGAACTACACATGGAGGTCATAAAATTCAATCTATAGTGGCCAAGTTCAAGGTTTAGCTTAATATAAAAATCTGCAACATTCCAAAGTGGAAAAACTAAGGCTAAGAGACCACACTAATCAGTACTTACTGGGGTCAGAAACATCCTGGGAATTGTCTTTCATGATGCAACTTAACTACATTTCTCAAATTCCAGCTTTCACACTTAGTATGTCATCTAGCTGCTCCAAACATCACTCTCACAGCTCCAAAACCACTAGTTACAGGCCTCAACCTTCCTTTACTGAGCACAGTTTCAGTCAGCTTAGATTTTCAGACAAGTCATTTCAACCAATAAGATGTCCTGATTCCCTAAGAAGGAGCACCTTTTCAATTTCCCATGGAGTTTACTTGGACTTGGAACCTTCTCCATGCACCACAGTTTACTCAAAAATGGACCTAATCCAGCAATCCC
Source organism: Homo sapiens (assembly GCF_000001405.40). NCBI lineage: Eukaryota > Metazoa > Chordata > Mammalia > Primates > Hominidae > Homo > Homo sapiens. Next base: position 176,617,812 of record NC_000001.11, on the reverse strand, counting down.
ACTACTGGGTACCTACCCCAAAAAAGACAAGTCATTATATGAAAAATACACTTGCACACACATGTTTATAGCAGCACAATTTGCAATTGCAAAAATATGGAACCAGCCTAAATGTTCATCAGCCAATGAGTGGATAAAGAAAATGTGATATATATATATATATATGCGCCATGGAATACCACTCAGCCATATAAAAGAATGAAATAATGGCATTCACAGCAACCTAGGTGGAGTTAGAGATCATTATTCTAAGTGAAGTAACTCAGGAATGAAAAACTAAGTATCATAGCTAAGCTATGAGAACACAAAGGCATAAGAATGATATAATGGACCTTGGGGACTCAGGGGGTGAGAAATAAAAGACTACAAATTGGGTACAGTGTACACTGCTCATGTGACGGATGCACCAAAATCTCAGAAATCACCACTAAAGAACTTGTCTGCTGCATCACCACCACCACCACTCTGCCACAACCACCGCCACCTCCTGCCCTGTAGCGCCTGCCACCCCCTATGTCACTGCTGCCTCAGGACCAGCTGTATGATTAGGCCATAATCTTCAGAGAATAAATACATTCCTCAGTTCTGTGGTGTTCTTGGTCACACATTGAGTTTCTGAAGGGCAGTGAAGATTACTGCCAGGCACAGCACAACCTCTATTCAGACATGTGAACTGTAGAAATTGATTACTACTCCACCAAAAAGCCCCTATAAGAGTGGTTATCCTGGACACAAAAGTGTTGAATTGAAATCCACAGAGCATTTTATAAGAGTTCTGACCTGGATGGGGTAAACCTGAGTGCACTTCTTGTCTGTTTGTTGCCTCAGTATTACTGGATTGCAGAATTGCTGCTTCTTGTTAGGAGGTTCATTTCATTTATCATTACTTACAACTTCACACTCAAAGCACTGAGAATTTCAAGTGGAGTATATTGAAGTCGACTTCAGTTTCTTTGAATCATTTCTGTATTCAATTTTTTAATTATTTCATAACCCTATTGAGTATTTTTTAACTAAATTAATACACCTCGAATGAACCACCCAGCTCCTGTGAAAGTCACATACAAGAACATGAGATTTCCTATTACACACAATCCAACCAATGTGACCTTAAATAAATTTATAGAGGAGCTTAAGAAGTATGGAGCTACCACAATAGTAAGAGTATGTGAAGCAACTTATGACACTACTCTTGTGGAGAAAGAAGGTATCCATGTTCTCAATTGGCCTTTTGGTGATGGTGCACCACCATCCAACCAGATTGTTGCTGATTGGTTACATTTTGTAAAAATTAAGTTTTGTGAAGAACCTGGTTGTTATATTGCTGTTAATTGCATTGTAGGCCTTGGGAAAGCTCCAGTACTTGTTGCCCTAGCATCAGTTGAAGGTGGAATGAAACATGAAGATGCAGTACAATTCATAGGACAAAAGCGGAGTGGAGCTTTTAAAAGCAAGCAACTTTTGTATTTGGAGAAGTATCATCCTAAAATGCGGCTGCGCTTCAAAGATTCCAATAGTCATATAAACAACTGTTGCATTCAATAAAACTGGGGTGCCTAATGCTATTGGAAGTGGAACTTGAGATAGGACCTAATTTGTTATACACATTAGCCAACATGTTGGCTTAGCGAGTAAGTCTAATGAAGCTTCCATAGGAGTACTGACAGGCAGTTTTACCAGGCTGCAAGCTAGACAGATTTGGCAACCTCTGTGTTTGGGTTACAGTCAACCTATTTAGACATTTGGCAAAAGATTCTTGCTGTCAGTATATAAAATGTGCTTGTCATTCATACCAACTGACCTTTCCCAAAATCAGGCAGTACTGAGTTAGGACTTGTTTAAATCTATTCCCATGCCAGAATCTTATCGATACATAAGAAATTTAGGAAGATTAGGTGCCAAAACACCCAGCACCATACTTGTATGTTTTTAGCACCATACAGAGCTAAAATCTCAGGAACTATGAACACTCTAGACCTTATGTGGTTTATTCCTTCAGTCATTTCAAACATTGAAAGTAGGGCTTACATGGTGATTTGTCTGCTCACTTTATGTTTACGTCTCCCACATTCATACTAGTATACATCAGGTTTGCTTAGCCATTGATATTTTTTTAACCAAGCCTTACAGTGATTATTTCATGTGTTTCTATAAATCTCACTTTGTGCTTTTATTAAAAACCTCCAGGCCAGGCGTGGTGGCTGACGCCTGTAATCCCAACACTTTGGGAGGCCGAAGCGGGTGGATCACGAGGTCAGGATATCGAGACTACCCTGGCTAATACAGTGAAACCCCGTCCCTACTAAAAATACAAAAAAGAAAAAAGAAAAAAAAATTAGCCGGGCATGGTGGCAGGCACCTGTAGTCCCAGCTACTCGGGAGGCTGAGGCAGGAGAATGGCATGAACCCGGGAGGCGGAGCTTGCAGCGAGCCGAGATGGCGCCACTGCACTCCAGTCTGGGCGACAGAGCAAGACTCCGTCTCAAAAACAAAACAAAACAAAACCTCCATTGTGAAAATCACATTGTACAAAAGCACATGTCTTTAATGTCTTCAGACAAAAAAGTCTTACAGTTAATTTAATATTTGCACTCTGAGGTGCAGCTTAACAGGGAGGGCCTGAGAAAAAAATGGGAGGGAGCTATTAATTATTTTTAGCAAAATGTTGCCTTTGTCTTGTACAGAACATATAGAATATGCTCTTTAATTTAGTAAAATATTTTTAAAGGTAGAAATGCTTTGTTATTATAATCATAAACTTCCTGAAGTTCTTGTAATTTTTTCCATACTTATCAGAAGTTGTTTACCGACTTATTTTTGTTTGAAAGTGTGATTTTTTTTTCCTTCTCTTCCCAATCTCACTTACAAAAAAAGAAGTGGGTTTCTGCTCATGAACTGATAAGACATCTAATATTTTACATGCCTTTCGAGCTGTGTAACTTAATATTTGGATACTTGATAATTTGTTTTACTATGTAATTGATAAAATGGTGATGTGCATTAATGTTAGTTCAACCATATATTTATACTGCCTGGGGATGTGTGGTTATAGTACTGTGGGAGAAATAATTTGTCAGTGTTTACCAGCTTGTAAAAATGTAGTGTGAGAGTTTAAACATCTAAATAAATAATGAAATGCAAAAAAAAGAGAACTCGTCCATGTAACCAAAAACCACCTGTCCCCAAAAAGCTATTGAAATAAAATGAAATAATGGACTAAATCATTAAAACTCATACTTGAAACCCTGCTTAGTCACAATATGAAGTTTCTAGATATCTGAGAAGGCCCTTGCATGAAAACTGACAGGGAGGAAATTAAGAAAGAAACATGATCTCAAATGGTTTGCTTAGTTCCTGGCCAACTTTTCAGGTTTTCATATGTAATAACTGTGAACATTTAATAGGCTTCAAGCAAGGATGACTTAACACCAGATCCTGCTACAAGACAGTACGTGGCCCAATTAAGTTAGCTTCAATATCTCTAGGAAAATGACTAAGTTAGACCCTCCATGTGGCAATAGATGGGTCAATCTGATCTCCATTTGACACTTAGTAAAGGCTGGTAAATTAAGAAACAAGTTCCAATTAAAGAAAAGAAAGACAAAGTGCCTCCTTTCATTCCCCTCTTTCCCTTCACTATCCAACTGCTTTATCTCTCTTGCCCTCCCAGCCCCGCTTCTGGGTTGGGTTAGTAGCTTACTCATTCTTCAAAGCAGAATACTGCCTGCTCTAGAAAAAGGATATGGCTTTCTCAGCCCACTCATCATTGGAGTTTTTCCTTATTTCCCAACCTCTCCTGTGGCAATTGCAATGAAGCATGGGCATATAGTTCTTTGTTCTTTTTAAGTTGGGACTTGCAGGCTGCTTTCCATGCCAACTGCAAAAAGAGATGCTGTTTGGTCACCAAGCCTGCAGCCTCTCTGGGGGCCCCACCGTGGACAACACTGAATTAGCCCATTCAAATTTCCTGGAGGTCACATTACCCATTTGACAGGCAGTGCTCGGCTTTATTCTTATTCTGAATTTTTCTTCATACCCTCTTCACACCTGATCATGTTCCTTATTTTTCTCCTTCCCCAGAATCATCTACTCTATTAATGATTATTTTATGTAAAACTAGATGAAAAATACGATGATAAACCTATGGCCACAAAGGTAAGGGAGTCTACTAGGAAAGAAATCTATGATTTCAAACTTCTCCTTCTGAGCCTCAAAAGATAGTTTTGAGGCTATGGAGAGAAGTGGAAGCATGGAATGAAATGCAGAAACTGAGGCATAGACTTTGACATAGCGTCCTCTGCTTCTTGCCTAATACCTTGGGTAGCTGAATACAGTGCAGTGGGGAAACAAACAAGAGCCAGTTGACTTCTCTTTGGATTATCTAATCCAATAATCAACTGGCTCTGTAATTTGAGAGACGCCTCCTCATCCATAAATAAAATGAAATGGTTGAACAAGACGGTCCCCATGGTCCAGCAGTGAAGTTCTGTAACTCTGAATCTGAGTGGGCTAATTATGTCTTTCAGAATTTACCTGGTGGCACCTCCTTAGAGGTTTACAGCAGCTGGTTTCAGAATTGCTTTTTTTCCACAATGACTTGTGAAAGAAGGAAATGGAGTTAGACACATAAGTTTTCTTCACATTTCAGCATTTGAAGATTGACTGGAAAGAGGCTACTGTGAACAATCTCCACTTCCCTCAAGTTTCTACCCTGCCAACAATCTTCCCCCTCCCAAGAGACAACTGCCTTCTTCATCAAGAAGATCAAGGCTACCAGGAAAAACTTTTTCTAATCTCTGCCTGCATGCCAACAACTCATAAATCTGCATCCACCCTCCACTCCTTCCTTCCGGTCTCAGAGAAAGATGTGTCCTTTCTTCAGTTTGTGTCTGCCACTAGTGCTTGGATTCTGACTCCCTTCCTCCCCGACCTCCAGAAAAGCGCTACTCTCTTGATTCCTCTTCTGTAAAATTGTGCTGGAATAAAATTATTTTAACCCTTCTAGAAAACGACATTGAGGACATAAAGTGGCCTTTTTCTTGCACTTAGGAGCAGAATCAAAACTGATTCTTTAAGATGATACTGGATTTTTGCATAAAGATATTGTTCAGAACATTGTTCATTACACTACATAGCTTCCTCTATGTGTAGTCCCCAGGAGAAATTTCTGTCCAGTATGATTACCTATGGCAGTTGTTCTCTTGAGAAGCTGTTTGTTTTCATCTTGTAAATCGAGTAAACAATGTAACTTACCTACTTCCCTGTTTGTAGTGATTCTGGGAAGCTCAGAACTAAAATGGTGGCCTTGCTCCAGAACTCTAACTCTAATACATGGGCAATCACTTTGTATACTGAATTTGCCACTACCTTAGTCTTTTTTTTGCTGTCGTTGTTGTTTTTTGGTTTTTGGTTTTTTTTTGAGACAGGGTCTCGCTCCGTCACCCAGGCTGGAGTGCAGAGGTAGAATCTCAGCTCACTGCAACCTCTGCCTCCCAGATTCAGGCGATTCTCATGCCTCAGCCACCCAAGTAGCTAGGATTATAGGCATGCACCACCACGCCCAGCTAAGTTTTGGATTTTTAGCAGAGACGGGGTTCCACCATATTGGCCAGGCTGGTCTCAAACGCCTGGTCTCATGTGATCTGCCTACATCAGCCTCCCAAAATGCTTGGATTAAAGGCATGAGCCACCACAACTGGCCAGTCTTTTCTTATGTGTCCTCATTTTCCCTTTTTAAATTCATATTTCTTATATTAAATTCTTGTATTATATGAACATATAAAATCCAATTTAAGTCCTACCTGCAAAAAGGTATGTTGTAACTAGCACCTAAACAGATGAATGGATACTTATTTCAGCAACCTTTTATTTAGAAATATGTGTCAAAATATATAAGGATTTCTCTAGGCATGGAAATAAAATTCAGATGAGTTAATGAATGAATGGATGAATGAGTAGGATAAATGAAAGAAAGTAAAGCTAAGAAAGGCATTGGAATAAGCCTTAGAAAAAGATTCCTTAGATTTGAGTTTTATTATAATATTGGCCACAATAAAGCCTTGAAATAATATAAGCCACTCAAATTAATCTCATAAAGATGCTCTAATAGCTCCCCAAGAATGCTACAGATAGGAGAGGTTACTACTGCATAGGACATCTCCATTACATATCCTTATCAAAACTTGTGGTGGACTAGGCTACTAATAAAAGAAAAAAATGTGATTTTATCAATTTGCTGACCAAGGGTCAATGATCATACAGAAAGGTACAAATATGACAGAATTAGGGATGATGACTTTTCCCATTATATTAAAATCTATGGAAAAGGGGTAGAACAAACTATTGAACAGAATACTTACATATAATTACAAGCATTTAATGAAAATATTATGTGCCACATGAAATTAGTCTGAATAATCATCATTTTAATATTGGACTGTGAATGCCCCATAATGCTACCTTGTTTTCACTTTTAATGGTTAGGTCATTGAACAAACAGCAGTTATTATTATGGTTATTATCTGATATCTTCTTATAGATGCCAGATGCCAATTCTCTGTGACATTATGCCCCCATATAATATACTCTCTCTACTGGTCTCACTACCCATCTTTCAAAAACAACCTCAAATCCCATTCCCTCCCAGATTGAGTCCTTCTAGTCAGAAAGCACTCAACATATAAATGATTCTTAGAATGATTATTTTGATGACAGTGTGCAGGGTTAATTTGGGGTTAACATGGAGGGAGCCCAGAAGTAGAAAGACAAGTTGGTTAGTTATCATAAAAATTCAGACTTAGGGGGCTAAAGATAATTAAAGATAGCACTTGGCTTTATTCTACTCAGTACTGCAATTATATGCATACATGTCTGTCTCTCCCACCTGAACTGAGGACAAGAGTCATACTCCTAGTGTCTGCTACTGTGTCTAAATCGTAGTAGATACTCAATAAATGTTTATTATAAACTGAATGAGTAAATGAATAAATAAATAGAATGAGATGCAAAAAAGGCCATTGTGACTCTTTTTAAAATTCTTTTCTATTGGCTTCTCAGCAAAGCAGAGGAAAGTGAAAACCTATATTAGAAAGAGAAGAGGCCATTTTACTATCTTAATCATCACCACTCTCCCCCAGACCTTGTATGTGCTTCAGGTTGTTGATGTTCCTCATAAAACCTGCTGCCCAGAAATGTGCAGATTCCAGACAAAAACTGACCAGGACTGTGTCTAGGGGGAGCATCTCCTTCAGCAATCTGCACTCTTTCTCCTTTTTAACAGAGCCCAAGACTGTGAGATATTTTTAATGACTACATCACACTTTCATTTCACATGAAGCTTACAGCCACCCAACATCCATGATTATTTTCCCACTGAATGCTGCAAACATAGGTCTCCACCAGCTTGGTTTACACATTTTTTATATCCTAAACTCTAAGTTCATTCCTATAAATCCTACTCCCCCCCCCCACACACAACTTTGCAGCATTAATTCAGCAGGCAATTCTGAGTACCTACTCGTACTGACCACAACTAGGAGACATAGATATTCCTAGGAATGGCTATGGAATAGGAGACATAGACATTCCTAGGAATGGCTATGGAATAGGAGACATAGCCATTCCTGAACAATAAATCTTCCTGAAAGCAGAGTACAGTAGAGAGGACATGCTCATTGTACTCAGCTTTATGTTTTTATACTCAAATAGGAAAGAGGCCTCTGAGGGGAGATAGGGTACAGATTCCCTATGGGGAAGGGTGATTCATGTTTCGTGCTTTCTGCCTCATGATGAATCCTTATTACTATATAAGGTATGATCCTGCCCTTGTAAAATTCCATGCTGAGATAAATACCTTTTTCACATCTCCTCTTCAATCACCTTAATGTCTTCTTGAGATTACCCATCATCTCATCAAATCCACCACTGAATCCAATGCAAACACTTCCACTTATGAAATATCTTTAAGTCACAAGGCACTTTCAACAAGCATTATCTCATGTGAATTTCACAATATCCCTCTGAGGTAGTCAGGGCAGTTAGCCACTTCTTTACACATCATCCACAGGTACCACTCTACCACAGATGGCCCTCTGCTGCCCAAGCCCTGGAAGCTTCACAGCTCATTGAGAATGGCCTCATGGGCTCTATGTCTCCTGTCTTCTCCAACTACTCTCTGCCTAACTCATTCAGTTCAGGCATGCTAGCTCCTTCCTGTTCCCTCTGCCTGGAATAAATCTAGATTCCACGTGGCTCACTCCCTTGCTTCCTTCAGATATATGCTCAAATATCATCTTTTCAGTAAGACTTTCTATGGATACACTTCGCTTCCATGGCAAGTACTCTCTGTTTCCCTTATTCTGCTGAATTTCCTTCTCTAGCACTTACCACTGTCTGGCCTTTGATCTACACATTTGTTTATTCATTGCCTGTCTTACAGTTCATAGACTGTAAGCTCCATAAGAGAAGAAAAATTTGTTTTCACTGCTGTATACCACACTGCACTACAAAGCTGAAAACAGTGTCTGGCCTAGAACAGGTACTCAATTAACATTTGTTGAATATGAATGAATGAATATGAATGAGCAAATAATTAAATTATGTGACTACGCTGGAGCAAAAACCATAATCTAATTCTTCTCATTTCTAGTTTCCTAGTTCTTTTCACTGTGCAAAAATAATTTTCCTAACCATTTACAACCTACTACCCTTTTCTATCTAGATTACTATAGGAACTTACTAACACATCTTCCTGCCTCTAGGCTCCCTAGTCTGTAACACTGATTCTGGATACTGCCTCCAGATTAGTTTTCTGAATAATTACTCAAATATTCAATATTCAATGGCTTAAGGCTTCTGTTTCTAGTACAAAGAATTTAGAATCCCTGATCATCCCTCCACTGAAAACAACTAAAACCGGTGAATAATATACAAAAATAAATTTTAAATACATTGTAAAGTTGGAAAGAGATTAAAGGATATCTTCAGACTCCACATACAAAGTTAAAAGAGGAATCTAGAAAATAAACATTTTCTGAAGCCACTGACTTCTCTGAGGGCTCTCCCTATTCCTAACGCCCAGGAACTTGTTTGACAGTCTTTTGAGAATCTTGAATAAAAAAAGGGCTTACAAAGGTAGGGTGTTCGATAAGAGAGCCTCACATAAAGCCAGAATTCCCACGGACTGCACTGTCGATAAAACAGAGTACCAAAAATATTAAAAATTAAAAAGCCCACTTTATCAAGAGGTACAGCAAGAAAACCTGTATTCCTTGGCCTTGACCCAAAACACGGGGAAAATTTTCCCTGAGAATTGTAACTACCAGCCAAATATCACAGATTTGCACCGCAAATTCATAAGATGGTATGGTATAAAAAAATTCATGCCAATAATATATTTTAAAGTGGTTTTATGTTGGTAGTGCCCTAGGCAATTGTCAGAAGTAACACAGCATAGATTTAACTCAGGCTGGAAAGAAATTGAACAGATAAAGTTTTAAGGAACATGGACTCACAATCAAAAATCATAAAGCACCCATGAAGAAACAAAACACTGTGAGGAAGAGCAAGCAGTAATATCAAATATCAGAGTAGCTGATGTAAAATATTTTTAAATGCCTAATGTTTTTAATTAAATTTTTTCTTTTGAAATAAACTGTAGATTCCCATTGTAAGAAATATTACAGAGTAATCTTGTATACATTTTACCTGGTTTCCTTCAATGATGATATCTTGAAAAACTATAATACAGTATCACAACCAGGATACTGACATTGATCCAATCCATCAATCTTGTTCAGATATCCCCAGTTTCACTCATACTTGTTTGTGGGTGTTTTTATTACTTATGTAAGTTCATGTATCCATCACTTTAACATGCTTTTAAAAATAAAAACAGCATATCCAAATTACGAATTAACAAAAATAAATTAAAAACGGCTAGGCAGATGTGACAAAGAACTAAATACAACTTATGGAGATTAAAAGTACACTAATAAAAATTAACAGTTTATTGGTGAGTTATAAAAGCCGGTTAGCCAAACCTAAAGAAAGAGTTGGCTGGGCAGTAAATAAAAAACAGCTATTCAAATGCAGCACAGGACAGCAGAGATATGGAAAAACTGAAGAGATATTAGGGCAAATGGAGGACAGAGGTACAAGTAGTCATATACATTTAATAGAAAGTCCAGTCAACCTAAGTGTCTATCAGTGAACGACTGGATAAAGAACATGTATATATACACGATGGAATAATATTCAGCCACAAAAAGGAATGAAATCTGCCATTTGCAGCAACATGAATGAAACTGAAGGACATATATTAAGTGAACTAACTCAGACACAGAAAGTCAAATGTTGCATGCTCTCACTCATATGTGGGAGCTAAAAAAGTTGACCTCACAAAGGTAGAGAGTAGAATGATAGATACTAGAGGCTTAGGAAGTGTGGAAGTAGATATGAAGAGAGGTAGGTTAACAGGTACAAACATGCAATTAGATAAAAGCTATAAGCGCTACTGTTCAACAGCAGAGTAGAGTGACTATAGTTAACAACAATGCATTATATATTTTAAAGCAGCTGGGAGAGAGGAGCTTGAATTGTTCTCAACACATAGCAATGATAAATACTCAAAGTGATGGATACCTCGAAAACCCTGACTTAATCATTACACGTTCTATACATGTAACAAAATATCACATGCACCCAATCAATACATAAAATGTTAGGTATCAATAAAAATAAATATAAAAATAATAAAAATAAAAATAAAACATATATATCTGTTAAAACAGACATGTATATATCCATATATCATTTATGGCTCCTAATTGCTTATGGTTCAAATCCCTTAGCCCAACATCTAAGACTATTGTCCAGTATAACTTTTCCAGTTTTCTTCCTCACTTTTCTCTAAGAAATTTTCCTCCTTTCAAGCTGTTCTTTTTAGAGTGGCCTTAACATGTTTGCACATCTGTACTTTGGTTCATGTAACTGACCTTTCCTAACAAACTCTTCTTTCTGCTCTCTACACTGTACATATTTTAAGAAACTCAGCCAGGCATGGTGGCTCATGACTGTAATCCCAGCACTTTGGGAGGCTAAGGCAGGCAGATCACAAGGTCAGAATTTCAAGACCAGCCTGGTCAATATGGTGAAACCCCATCTCTACTAAAAATACAAAAATTAGCCAGGCATGGTGCCGCACATCTGTAGTCCCAGCCACTCGGGAGGCTGAGGCAGAAGAATCACTTGAACCTGGGAGGTGGAGGTTGCAGTGAGCTGAGATCACGCCACTGTACTCCAGCCTGGGTGACAGAGCAAGACTCCATCTAAAAAAAGAAACTCATCTCTTCTATAAAGTATTTCCTAATCCCTAAGCCCATAGTAGTTTTCCTTTCCTTGCCCTCATTCTTCAAGAATGTATTCTCTGAAATAATCATTACATAATTAAAATCAACAAATACTTAGTTTTTATCCACTATCAGCTAAACATTTTGCTGGTGTGTAAGACTTATACTTAACACACAATATAGAATCGCAGTTGGAAAATCAGGCTCTGAAGTCAGAGTTTAACTTATGTCTGCTATTGCATAATGATAGGTATTTGACTATCTAAATTTAAGTATAAAATACATATAATCAAAATATTTACTTTTTGGAGCTATGGTGAGCATTAAATAAAATAATCCATGCAAAATGCTTTGTTTCATTGGTATAATTATATATATATGTGTGTGTGTATATATATAAAATATTATATATAATTTTACTATGAACCAGGTACTTCACTTGGATAGCCTAGCATATTTGAGTTTGAAATCTAAATCATGCAATTCCAAGAGTAAAATTAGCATTAAAATTCAGTGGGAGTTACATCACCAAGAATACCAAGGTCTAAGGTCTAAAGAAAAGGACATTACCAGAATTAAACATGTCAGAAGCTTCATCCTCAAGTAGTAAAGATGAAAAACCAGCTCATTCTACTCCGAGTAGGGTTGACATCAGCTGAGAGAGATTTGCAGACCTGGAGCTCTGAGGAGCCCTCCAGCTATCCTGCTCTTTTGGCCACGGTTTCTTAAACCCAAGGTTGGCCAGAAACCTATGACTTCCGAACTAACATGTAAAGATGAGTTAGGCCAGTTGACACTGACTGTCCTCAGAATTTGAACCAAGGTACTATGAGAAACTGTGGCAACTGTCAATAGGATATAAATCTGAAGGGAAAAACTCAATGAGATAAATTAGGAGCCAGAGCAAGCTGAAGCAATGTTTTAAACTAAAGCTATAAGGGAGCAGAAACTATGAGTAATCTAGCAGATTGCTAACAGACATGAATGGTGAGAATGAACTAAGATTTAGAGAAATATGTACCCTTTGAGAGAGATGGAGTTCCTGAATGCCACAGTCTCTGCAACTCTCTAGCTCCACTTTCAGCCCATATGTAATTTTACAATAAATCCAGTTTCTGCAGTTAACATGAGCAGGTCTGTTCCCTACAATTGCAAAATCCTAACTAAAGTGCCTGATAAGGATCTTGCCTAATCTGTAACATCATGTCCAAGAGGTCTTGTATTCCTTTTTTGGAGTCTGGTCTTTTTCTCATTCACTGACTCGCTAGGTAAAGGGGATTCATGTTATTAATACTTCCTGGCTATTGTAGCTATTTTTATGCTCATCAAAATTTACCCCATGTTTCAGATTTTTAGAGCCTCCTGGGGACTCAGGTACTCAAATAACAAGTTAATGAAGAAAATGGCTTAAAGCCATTCCCTCCTTAGCTAACAGGTTCACACTTCCATGAGTATTGTCAGTTATTTTACTTACTAGATCTAAATGGGGCAACGCTACCATAGCAATGAGACCAGTAGAAAAGTTTACTATAGTGTAGTCTCTGAATACCCTTCTTTTTCCATACATAGTAGTATCCTCTGCCTGTAAATTTTTACTCTACTAAAACCCTTGCCCTACATTGTCATGTCATTGGTTTTCCATCTACATACAGATATATATTTATATGTATACACTAATTCATTTTTAAAATATCAAATGTGTTCCAAGAACTGTGAACAAAGAAACTAAAGTCTTGTGCAAGAGACAGACAAGAATGGGAAGTTACAGTATGGTATGATAAATATGTATTTAAGCAGGGGTTGGCAGTTTTTTTCATAAACGGCCAGATAGTAAATATTTTAGGCTTTGTGGGCCACATGGTCTTTGTTTTAACTGCACAACTCTGCCACATGAAAGCAGCCATAGACAATATGTAAACAAGTGAGTGTAACTGTATTCCAAAATAATTTTATTTACAAAAACACGTGATAGACCAGATGTGATCCATGGTCCATGGTTTGCCAACCACTGTACTAGAATAAGAACATTCCTTTTTTTAACAATTATTTATTGAATACTTAGTCTGTTCCTTTTGCTGTTGTAGGTGTTATAGTATGAGAGTCGCCCAAACGTATAAAAACCCCTTCCCTCGTAGAATTTACTTTCTAGTGGAGAAAATGAATATTAAGCAAAATAAACAAAATAGCATGTTTGTGATAAATTCTAAAAAGAAAAATAAAGCAGGGGAAGAAACCATAAAGAGCCAAGACAATGTGTACAATTTTACGTGAGGTCTCCAGGGAAGGCCTCACCTAGAAACTGACTTTGAAAAAAGACCAGAAGAAAGTGGGAAAGTTAGCTGTGTAGAAATCTGGAGGAAGAATATTCCAGAAAAGTGAAAAGCCACTGAAAAGATCATGCAGTAGGAGTACATCTGGCAAGTCAGAAGGCCAGTGTGGCTGGAGTGCAATAAGGAGCATGGTAAGAGGTGAGGCCACAGAAGTGACTGATGCTATATGACCCTATAGATCAGAGTCATGCTGTTGGCTTTGATTCTGAATAAGCTGGTAAGCTGCTGGAGAATTAGGGGGAGAGGAATGACTTGATCTGAGTTATACCCTAATAGGATTACTCTGATTGCTATGTTAAAAATAGACTCGGGGCAACAGTGCAAGGGCAAAAGTGGGAGACCAGTTAAAAGACTATTGCAATAATCCAGATGAGTGAAGATGGGGACCTGGATTAGGGTGGTGGCTATAGGGGGATGAGAAGTGATACAAATGAGGTAGCTAATTTGTATTTGAGGGCAACAGAATGCTTCCAAGAAGGAGGAATGTGCATCCTAGTTGAGACTTGAAGGATAAGTAGTAGTTATTTAAGTGTTTGTCTCTGGAAATCAGATCCACAACCATTGGACAGCGCTCTGGGTAAGAAGTGAGAGAAACCTTGGAGTTGAAATTAATAATAGATCAGGAGCTTCCTCCAGAGGCTGGTGCTCTGATGGAACCTCAGAAAAACCCCTGACGGCCACCCTAACTACATGTCCCGCCCACTACCCACTCTACAACTCTGACATCAAGGGAAAGAGGGCCTGGTTAGGGGAAGACCTACCAACAAGATTTCATTTATATCCAGTCACTGAAGTAATTACAAACCAGAGTCCAAGGCAAAGAAAAATGTGTAAGTGTGCAGCTGTCTTTCAAACTCTTAGGCTTAAATTCTAGGAAGGAACCTGTAAGTGAAATCATCTGAAACAGATTGGCATTTGGCCAAGGCCCCAGGGATAGCACCCCAACTCCTAGGAAAAAGCCGAAGTATTTTGAATAACTGAGTGTATTTGGAGACTGGGGTCTCTCTGGAAAAATTTCTAAAAGGAAATATTTTTAACCCAGACAGACTACATGGCTCACTCACAAGTCTGTCTATTTGGCTAGAAATAAACTATGAAAAGGAGAAAAACAGTCACCACTCCCCAGCCCCCCACTCACCTGAGGAGGAAAGTCCACAAGCCAGGTGAACAGAGAAACTGGGGATTTCATTTGCTCCATAATACGGTGCCTATTGGAACTGTGGAGAAACTGGCTTATAGGAAAATAAACAGGAGACATTTCTATTTGTAGGTAAACTTATTGTGCTTATCTATGGAACCTCCTCTTATTTCTTTCCTTCTATTCCCATTGCCAGTTGACGTGACCATGAGAAGGTGACACTTGCTCTAGAGTTCACACTGCCTGTGAATTTTGAAGTGAGGGAACTGGCAGTTTTTTTTTTGCTGTTTAGTTTTAAAATTTCTCCTCCACTTCTTTTCTTCCTGCCCTCTTCTACCCCTTACGCTTATTTTCCCTGCGTGTGTTTTTTTTGGCTTCAGGGAACTTTGAATCTCAACTTCAAAAGAAACCTATAATGAAGCCTGGCTGATGTTTAACAGACCAGCCACTGCAAGGGCCCAGCCTGACCATGCCTTTGGCTCAACAGCCTCCGAGTGTGGGTGAGCAAAGCACAGCTAATCCAAAGCATCCAGGTCTGTGCAGCATCAACTTCTTCACCTGTTCCCTTTGATGCCATGTGCCTCTACCTTCCTGTCCCAAGATACACCCTTTCTATTGTATACCTGCAGACTCCACTCTCTGCCATATCCCTCAGGACAATTCCCAGCCACCCTCTTGAGGACTTCTTTAGA
This sequence comes from Homo sapiens, assembly GCF_000001405.40. Taxonomy (NCBI): domain Eukaryota; kingdom Metazoa; phylum Chordata; class Mammalia; order Primates; family Hominidae; genus Homo; species Homo sapiens. Next base: position 176,602,304 of record NC_000001.11, on the reverse strand, counting down.
GGGGAGTGTGCCATGGGCAAGCCTTGCTATGTATAAGAGTCCTCCGCCCTCGAACTCCCCAGTGAAACCTCAGGGAATGAGGCAAAGAAGAGACAATGAGTTGCCAACACATAGAGATGTTAGCCCATCACAGGCTTCAGAAATTAGCCCATCACAGGCTTCAGAAACAAATATAGAGAAAACAAATATGCAGTATCCCCATTTTCTGCTTCAGAGCATGGTCAGACACTAGATGATTGATGCCTTGTTCAACCATTTGTTTTTATTTGGAGACTTTTCTCCACATTATAGCAATATTATGAGATCTGAGATATAGAAACCAAAAAAGAGAGACAAGCAGAGTTCCAGATTTAATGAAATACTTGCTCAACTCTATTGCGAAAAGGAGAGAAAGCATGGGATGGAAAGTAGGTGCAGCAGCAAAGAACTGTAACTCTGAGACATAATTTTAGGGAGAAATGTGACAGAAACAATTAATAACCAAAAAGAAGCTGAAGCCTGCAAAGGTCAGGGAAGACAAGTTCCCCTGAGGGTACAGAAATTCCTTTGGGCTGAGCTCCCTAGTATGTACCACAGGGAATAGTCAATGACATTTGTGATTTTACTGAAGTGGACACTCAACACCCTTCCTTCCCTTAACTCTCGCAGATCATCTCTCAGGGCAGCTACTATGTAGAAACAGACATCTGGCTTATGTAGCCCTGCCTAGTTCCAAGTTCCTTTATCTTGGTAAGTCTGTTCAACTGGCTGGGTAATGTATCTGTAATTCATATCTCCTCCTGACCAGTCCAGAGCTTGATAAGTACTCTCCCTTTGATAGGCCCATCTGGGTTGCAGATGTTTGATGCTGGATGCGTCAGGCTCTCTCTCCTCTCAGAGCGTTTGGGAGAGGAACTACTTTGGGCTAGATTTCTGGTTTCTTGCTGGGGGTGGTAGGAATGCATCTTTGTTTGTTTTGTGCTGCCATAGCAGAATACATGAGAGTGGGTAATTTATGAAAAAAAGAGATTAATTTCCTGCAGTTCTGGAGGCTGTAAAGTCCAAGCTCGAGAGGCCTGCATCTAGTGAAGGTCCTCTTGCTTCATCATCACATTGCAGAAGACAGAAGTGCAAGAAAGCAGACATGACAGAGGGGTAGCAAACTCATCTTTTTATCAGAAACTCACTCCTGTGATAACAGCATTAATCCATTCACGAGGGCAGAGCTCTCATGACCTAAGTATCTCTTAACATTTTCACCTCTCAACACTGTTGCTTCAGGGATTAAATTTCTAACATATGAACTTTGGGAGACACATTGGAACCATAGCAGGAAATAAGAACTTTGGGAGACACATTGGAACCATAGCAGGAAGATTGAACAGGATTTGGGAAGTGAGGAGAGTTGTTCATACATCAACCCTTGCATTCGAATGTTAGTGATCTATTTGTAGGTCTGTCCCCCACTTTCTACTACTCTCCCTCAACAGTCGAAGGTGCTTCCACTGTGAGTGGAAAGACTCTGTGCCTGGAGCACTCCACTCAATAGATGACTCGCAAAGCATTTCTCAAAGTTGAGTCCCTTCAGAGTAACAGTATAATGGAATTGTGAGCTTGAGCTCTGTGATTTTTTTTTTTTTTTTTTTTTTTGAGACGGAGTCTCGCTCTGTCGCCCAGGCTGGAGTGCAGTGGCGCGATCTCGGCTCACTGCAAGCTCCGCCTCCCGGGTTCACGCCATTCTCCTGCCTCAGCCTCCCGAGTAGCTGGGACTACAGGCGCCCGCTACCACGCCCGGCTAATTTTTTGTATTTTTAGTAGAGACGGGGTTTCACCGTGTTAGCCAGGATGGTCTCGATCTCCTGACCTCGTGATCCGCCCGCCTCGGCCTCCCAAAGTGCTGGGATTACAGGCGTGAGCCACCGCGCCCGGCCGAGCTCTGTGATTTAATTGTAATAATAGGGAGGCTCTACAAAGCTAATCTAGTTCAGAGACTAACTCCACCAAGTCACAGGACCTCATGGAAACCCAAAGATCTATATCTCTATGAATCAAAAGTCCTTTCAGGCAATCTAAACCATGACAAAGAAAAGCCACATCCCATGTTCTGCTTTTAATGCCTCAGCCTGGATTTAAACCCAGAGAATTCAGATAAAATTACTGAACTTCTCCTCCAAATCGTTAGCCCTTATCCTTTCCATAGTCTTTACGTGTGTCCCTCTGCTTACCTTACCATGCCTGACACATCATAGAAGCTTGATAAATAATGATTTTTCAAAATATTGCTTTTGCCAAGAGTCATAAAAAATTAATATTTTTAATAATAAAGATTCAACACAAAAAATAGGATAGGGAAGGCAGAAAAGACCTACACACAAAATAAGTATAAGAGAGCTGAGAAGAAAGAAAACCTCTCTCCTCCTCTATGTTTCTGCCTTCAAATTTCTTTTTTCAAAAGAGAAAATTCATAGATAATTATTCTTTCTTAGATCGTCATAGGTAGAGATTTAAAAGTGTGGTTTCTACTGTGAATAAGCATTAGACATTTAAGGAAAGTCACCAGCATAAATGATAGTCATGAATTTAAAATATAATAAAAAAAGAAAAGTTGACTTCAGATGCATCGGATATAACACACAAAAAAACAATTCCAAATGAATCACATTTTTATCTTTGAAAATGCTTATCTTAAAATTTTTTAAGATTATATTAAAAATAATCAAAGAATAAGAAGGTTTTTAAAGTATGATTGCTAAAATATAAAAGTAAATAAAAGCATTGAAAGATAGACTCAAAGAAATCTCAAAAAAAAAAAAAAAAGTAGAACAAACTAACAAAGAGAACGTAGGAGAGAAAAGAGAAAAAGAGTAAGTTCAGTAGATTCATCCCCAGGAGTATCAGGGGTAACAAAGAGAACAGAGAAAACTGAATGAAGAAATATCAAAGTAACAGTTTAAGAGATTTTTCCAGAGACCAGGGGCATAAGTGTCCAAATTGAACAGTGTTCAACAAAAGAACAATAAAAGGCAATCCCTAAAAAATAATCTTACAAATCCCTAGTGTAACAAGGCTAAGGATAAGATGCTAAAAGAATATGCAAATATATTTGTGTGTGTGTGTGTGTGTATATATATATATGTACATACATACATACATATATGGGTGTATATATATATACACACACACACACCTATAAAAATACACACAATTATCAGAACAGAAGCTAGAAGTAATTAATGAATTTCTTCATAAGTTTGAGATAAACTGTTTTTCAATCCAAAATTTTATACCAAGTCAAACTATCAATTTTGTAGGAAGGCAGAATAAAATCATTCTGAGAAGTGCATTTTCAAAAAAGATTACCTGAAACATCTTTTCTTAGAAATTTGCTTGAGGATGTTTTCCAGTAAAATAAGGTAGTAAATTAAGAGATATTCATGTAATTCAGGACACAGTAGCTCTAACCCCCCCAAAAAAACGCATTGAAGAGAAGTCCCAGGATGACAACTGTGCAGCAGACCTAAAGACAACTGGCCAAGACTGGAAGAAAAGAATAGAATTAACTAGAAGAGAGAGCTCTATAGGAGTGTAAAAAACATTTTTTTAAGGGTGAAGAAGAAGAGTTTTATTTAGTGTTAGAACAGCTCAGAGGAGGGGAACATTTTCATAAATATATTCTACAAATTAGTGGGTAAAATAAAGCATTTGAAAACAATCAAGAATATCAAGAAAGAATAAAAGAAGAAAGGAAGGAAAAATAGAGACTCAAGGGGTGGGGCTGGAAATGGGAAGAAGCTGTGCAAGGAAAGAAATATAATAATAGAATAGTACTTTGTTCTGCAACAATTAACATTTCACAGTCATAATACTATAATACATACAATTGATTCAACAAAAAATAGTAATTATATGGAAGGATGCAAGGGCAAGGAAGGAGATAATGTAAGAGAGTTAGTCTTGTCTGTATCATCAGAAATCAATGGATAATGTTTAAAATTGATGAACCAAGCAATATAAATATAATATTTGGAGGTGTACAGGAAACTACCAGAAAAAAAAACAGGTGAAAAAAATAAATATAGTAACCTGTGCAGAGCAAGGACAGAGTGTGGAGAAGGATGGGGAAGAGTTAGGCAGGACACTGTTTTTCTTCCTTCTGTCTTTTGGTATAATTTGATATTTTAAACCATGAGCACTTTTTTACTTTGAGTTAGTATTTTTAACTATCAAAAAGTATAAATATTTCCTTTGTATTCCACAAAGCAGGTTTTATATGTGGGGGGTAAAAGAGTCACTTATGAATAAAGGTTCAAAACACTACTGGGTCTATAAATAGGAGTGAGTTCCCCTTCTGCAGGCAGTGAGGTGAGTAAGTTATAAACACCCAGATAAGGGCAGTGTGATAGGAACTCAGAGAAATAAAGGGAAACTCTGAGGAGAATAATACCTGGATACCTTGAAAGACAGCTCTCTCAGACAGGGCAGTGGGTTATTACTATAAACTAGGAGACCAGACTTTCTCATTTATCTGGGGGATCCTAAGTGTTGCTAACCACTGCTGTTAGTGAGGTTTAGCTTCTGCTTAAGGTTACCAAAATCTAAAAACCAAATCCAAACACAATTTTCTTTTCTTCTTTTTTTTTAAATTATACTTTAAGTTCTGGGATACATGTGCAGAACGTGCAGGTTTGTTACATAGGTACACACGTGCCATGGTGGTTTGCTGCGCCCATCGACCCATCATCTACATTAGGTGTTTCTCCTAATGCTATCCTTCCCCTAGCCCCCCAGCCCATGACAGACCCCGGTATGTGATGTTCCCCTCCCTGTGTCCATGTGTTCTCATTGTTCCAAACAGAATTTTCTTATACAAGTAGTTCTGATAATTTGATTAGCTCTCTTTGCATTATTATGTAAATAAAAGCTTGCTATCTGTCAGCCTTAATAATAAGAACTAATCTTATTTTACAACAATTTGTGTGCTTTGAAAACTTTAGAGCTACTTTCCTATACTTTATTTCATTTGATTCACAAAATAATCTGAAAATACTGATAATGCAAGGTATTACTGCAATCATCCCTAGTTTACAGACAAGACTTCTGAGTTTCCGAACGTGACTTGCGTAACTTGCAAACCTAGTTAAGTAGCAAGGACTCCAAAATTTAACCATGTCCCTTGATTCCAAATTGTATTCTCGATTTTTGATACCACATGCTTGAAGTACAGGCCACTCTATTAGTGTTAACTCATATCAAGAGGACTCCCCACACACAGGGATACCATGAACTACTTGTACAAATGGTGTCCAATACAAAAGTAGCCATCAAGACATTGGGTGGAAGCTGAGATCCTGTTCTGCCACCTCCCACCAGCCCTGTACCCTAGGTCAGGTAAGCCTTTTCATAATTTGAACAAAGGCACCAGTTGTGTACTGGGGATACCTTGTCCACATACACATATTAACAAGTTCACTAGCTACCTACCTACTTTCTTACCCTCCTCTATTATGTCCAACCCCTGCAACAGCCGTCAAATGAGAATCTTCTTAAGGCTTCTGTCTCAGAACAAGAGACACACCAGATCCATTTATTCATCAACTTAAACAACTAAATGTCAGCTGCTATTCTAGGCCTTGGGAATATAGTGGTTAACAGAATAGACAAGGGCCCCTATCTCATGTAGCTGATATTCCAAATAGGGGAAAAACAGACAAACACATGAACGTGAAAGACAAATTATCTGAAGTACTAAGTGTTAAACAGGAAATTTAAATTAGTTGATGTAACAGTAATTGATAGATTTAATTTGAGGGATTAGGAAAGGCCTCCCAGGTGGTAACATCTAAGTAGGTATTTGAATGACAAGAGAGAGCCCACCATGGGAATATTAAGGAAAGGAGGATTCCAAGAAGATGGAACAGCACATAAAAGCCCTGAGGGCAGAAAAAAGCTTGATCTGTTCAATGGAACAGAATCAAGTCAGCGAGGCTGTGCTATATAGGTGGTGATGGAGAGGTAGACAGAGGCCAGATTGCATTAAGAGGCTGTGTATCAGGTAGGGGGTTCAGATTTTATTCTGAGTGCAGTGGAGGAAAAAATCTTAAGACGAGAAATGACAGGATCCAACTTACCTTTTTAAAAAGATCCTTCTGGATGCTGCACAAAGAATGGAATTTAATGGGGCAACAGTGAAAGATCCCAGTCACCTAAAGGAGACTAGTGGCGAGATGTAACACGAAACTTTACGAAACTGCTGAACTGCTTAGACTAAATAGACCTAACACATTTTCACAGATCTGTATTACTTTGCCAAGATGCTAAGACTATAGGAAGTATTGTCACGTGTAATTAGTATTGACTGGTGTCTAGGCCTGGATGCCTTGTTTGTTCTCCATGAAGATTTCCTGGCCTCCTCTGGTAGAGTAAGTTGTTCAGCTTTCCTGTGTCCCAAGTACCTGGTGCATATGCTTTTGGGTGCGCTTCACACTGTGTACACAGCTTTCTGCCCCACAAACAGTGAGTTCTGTGAGGACTGTCTCTTTTCTCAGTCATCTGTGCCCCTAATTACCTAACAGAACACCTAGCACTTCACAAAAGCTTAATACTGTCTGATGGGGTGGATTAATGTCTTATTCAGGGAGTGTGTGAACACATTTGCCTCCAAAACCAAACAGATAAAATGATGTTAGAAATGCATCCTACAAGTAGGACACCCCAAATCCCAGTCCCTTACCTCTTGGGTGAGTCAGGGTCAAAGCAGGTCTTGCGCACATCAGCCACCTGGGGGTCGCAGCAGTCTCCGTCGTCAAAGTCGTTCAGCATGTTGTTACACTCCACGTGACAGAGCCCATCCCTGCGGTTCCAGGAGTAGCAGCGGCCCTGCAGGCGGCAGTCACCCCCATCATAGCCTGTGAGTGGGTGCTCACACTCGGGGTCACAATGGTCATTGCCAATCTTGCTGGGCTCACAGTTCACAAGCACAACCCGGTGTCGCAGGGTGGAATTGTGGACCTGGTGGACGCTCAGCTGCCAGCTGATGTTGTAGCGGCTGAAGGCCTCATTCAGTGCCTCGTGCTGCAGACGAATCTGCTCCTCACTCACAATGGGGTTTAGGCCCTCATCATCACAGATGTTCACCACCTGGTAGCGTATCACCTTCTCTCCCCGAAGGGGCCAGTATCCATTGTACTGGGAGATCAATTCCACATTGTCACAGACTGTTTGCCCACAGAGTGGGGGCTGCAAAGGCGACAGAATCTCAGGCTCTGGCTCAAAGCCCTGGAGAACCTCAAGTCGTGGGTACTTCTCATCTCTAAAGGGAACCCACTCTGTGTTCACAGGCTCAAAGCTCGCTGTCAGGACCAAGTCAGTCGCTTCCTCCTCCCCACTTGAATGCTGAGAACTGTGCTGAAAATGGCTTTGTGGCAGGGCGGTCGACCAGAAAACCAGTGTGCCCAGGTGTCCACGGAAATAGTGCCCATCCTCAGAGCTGTCTCCCCCCAGGAGCAAAGAGCGGCAAGATGCCATGAAGGGGCTGTTCAGGGGACCAGACTGGTCTAGACTGCTAGCCACCTGAGTGCCATCCACATACAGGGCCATGTGCCGTCCATCGTAAGTGGCTGCCACATGGGTCCATGTGCCTGGTTGGTAGCGACTGTGGCTAATCAAGATGGTGGCTTTCTTCACGCGGTCGGTGCAGAGGGAGAAGAAGAAGCGAGCATCCCGCTTTCCCTTGTCCTTCCCTGAGCGGATCCCCAGGGCCCAGCCTTTGTCACTGACAGTGTGGGAGCAGTTATCAAACACACCTGGGAAAGAAGGAAGAATCGAGGGAAGAGACAGATACCAGATACAAAGGGGAATGGAGAAAGGGAGAAGAAAGCCCATGTAAATAACAAGAATGCAGGTTTTTAATGGGGAATAAAGTAAGCGACACAGATTTCTCACCTGAGATGCCTGCTCATATCCCTATATCAGGCCGTTCTGGCATATCCTATCCCCAAAAGGAATGATTTGAGATTCCACCCAAGTTAACTCATTCTGGTATGTTTACATAACTAAAATGGAAGCTGGAAAGCAGATGTTCAATGCAAATGGCAAGAATCCTCTAGCACTCCATCACGAATGTGCTTCATGCTCATGACTGGCTTTAAGTCCATGCCTTTCCTCACTGATCCTAGCTTTTTCCATTTCCTCAGAAGCCATGAGAGTAGTCATACTTTTTGCAAATGACAGCCATCTCTTACCCTCTGGAAGGTGATTTTTCTCTACTGAACATTAAAAGGATGACACTCATGGGGAAAACAAGGAGTTGATTAATTAGGGAGTCTTTTTAGAGAAGATGGTAACATCCCAGACATCATTCCTAGCACACTATTCCCTCTAATACCTCTCATGGCTAAGGATAGCCATTCACAATGAATAACTGTTCTCCAGAGAAAGCAATATGGCACTGCCCCATGGTCCTAGCCTAAAAAACTAACCACTGGGTTAGTAGAATGACTGTTCTATACCCAATACCACCCACCGCAGTACGGAAGCAGACTGTTTCCAGATTAGTAAAGGTCTTATCATACACTACCTGCCTTGCTCAGGGCAGGCCCAGGGCATTTACAGGCATTTACAGGCTATTAAATCTAGTGGAATAAACAAAGGATAGAACACCCATAAACAGCTAGATCATTAATAAGTTGGCAGCAGGAATGGACACAAACTTTCAGATGTGGCATGATCACAGATGGGACTCAGGCAGTTTGGAAGCCTTAAATGTTCCTAGTAACCCATCTTCAGTTTACCCACCATCTCCTCCTCAGTACCTCTTCTAGTACATAGTCTCTCAGGAATAGCTTTTACTAATAAGTCACATGAAGTCAGTACATCACATAGGAAATGCTTAATAAATATTGCTTGCACTGATTAATAAATGATGGAAAAATATACTAGTCTTTGGATCAGATACCTGGGTAAACATCAAGAGTCATTCTCCCCAAGCTTGTTAAATAAGACTTTTATTTGTTCCCTGACCTCCTATACAATCCAGTCCAACAATAATTCTCCTTAGACAGTCTAGATTTATAAGCCATGAGGCTTCCTATTCTGACGGCAGGCAAGTGCTTTACAAGTGGCTATATTTCCAAAAGTGACAGAATATCTTTTCTGTCTTCAGCACAAATTAATAACTCATGGTTTATAAAATAAAAGTACTTTTTAGCAAAAATATTTCCTCCCTAACCCAGTAATTCTAACAACTATACTTTGAATTACTAGTGATGACTAGCTACAGTACAATGGGGTGTTCTGATTTTGGTTTTGGGGTTTTAGTTGTTGTTATTGTTTTCACACTGGGGTCTATCTGTTAAAGAAGTGTAAGGAATACTCCTCTACAAACTTTTGTATTGAGAGGATTTTCAAAAAAGCAAACAAATCTAGTGAGATTAATACTAAGTTCCCTGATTCATATTTTCTCCTGGTCCACTTATTTTAATAAGCAGTAAGTAGCTTTAATTATCTGTCTGACCTATGAGCACATGGGCTGCAATATTGAATATCAGGACCGTGGAGTTACTAATCTATCAGCTATTTGCTGATCTTTAAGAGAAAGTACTGGGGAGGTTACTTTATATTTGATGCATACACACAGGTAGATGTATGCGTTCAGATATAAATTGTTAGGCTTGACATATAAGTTACCAGATAATTAGCATGATTATCTGCCAGACATCTACTTGCAATTTAAACACTTTAATTTGCTGTCCCTAGAACTTCTAGTCTATTATCAAAAATATAATTGTTCTTATTTGTCTCATAGAAAGGTATAAAGTTATTAATAATGTATCTGAAATGATATTTCTAACTTCTTGAAATACTAAATAGAAGATGGACCACTCTGATTATACCAGTCTAGTTCTGATTAGTGTAAGTTTTAGAAATTACATCAAAAAAGATTTATAGCCAAGACCACTAAGATCATCTATATTACTTGTGAGATGTAGCCAGTATGTAGAAGTATTATTTTGAATGATTATCAAAGTAATGATTATTTGCTCTCTAATTTATTAAGATGTCCAAGCAGCAAATGAAGAACCTCACTAGGTGCTTAGATAACTACATTTTACTTGCTTTGTTACCATTGTTCATACTTCATCTGTAGGAAAATAGAGTACATAGTTGCTGAAGCACTATCCTGCACTCCTTCCAGTTAAAAAGGCATACTTAGCAAATAGAATTCTCTAACTCAATGCCAGCAACTCTAGTTGTGGATCAGAGTCACATGTGAAGCTTTCACAAATACAGACTATTTTGAAGCCATATTGAGAGCTTATACCATATTACAAAAGAAATCAAATTCCTCACTGAGCTTAGTAGAACGAAATGCAGAAGACAGAAGTTGAGAGCCTTAGCATTTTTCATCCAGTGAAGGAAAGTTAGCAAGATTGATATCAATGGTAAGTTAAATCAGACATGAAAATGTAAAAATCATCTGAAATTCTTTTAAATCATTTGTTTAAAAATTATACTAGATCACGCATCTTAGATTTGTCCAAGGTGCCTATGCAACAGTGATACATACTTGTTCATTAATTCAGCAAACTAACGGAATGAGAAGTAGTTAGGATAAACGAGGACCTGTTATGAATAAGTGCACAGAAACAGACTAAGTTAGCTCACCCATGCAAGTGCAAGTTTGGTAGATATTTACAAAGCAATACTATCTGCTAATCTCAGTACTTGGTGCTGGAGATTCTATAGTGATCAAATAATTATATGATATCATGGAGAGTTCAATATAGTGCAGAAAATAAACCTGAAATTAATAACAATGGAATACGCTTACTATTGAAAGCATAAATAGCTCTGGGAGCAGCAAAAGGACCTCTTTATTAAAACATGGTCATAACATAGCAGAAATTCTCCCTAAAGTCATTAAATGTCAACTTCCCAACACTGACCTGTCTTGTTAACAATTTGATTCCTAGAAGGCATCCACCATCCAAATCTGCCCATGAGATTAGGGCTACCTTGATCACCAGTCAGACTGTCTGGGAAGGCTAGAGAGTGCCAAAGCCAAAGAATTCCAAGAGATAAGATCAGATATTGCCAAGCCGAACATCCTGCCAGTTTACCCAGTAATATTCATTATAAGAGTCCTCAGAACCTGCCTTTATATAAATTACTCACTTCAGCCAAATCTTCTACACTGGAATTTTGTGTGTGTGTGTGTGTGTGTGTGTGTGTGTGTGTGTGTGCATGTGTGTGACTATATTTACTTTTACTTAGCCTGTAATGTTATCTCCCATTTATATAGTCCTTAAGCTTTCCAAATAAATCTTTTGTATACTATTATTTAAGTGGTAAAACCATCCTCTGAGCCAGGTGGAGTTATTATCATTGGCCTTATTTTATAGATGCAGACACTGAGGTTCTGAGAGATTAGGTGTCAGACTGGGTGCAGAGAGTGCACTAGAACCAAGATATCATTATTTTGAGCCCAGAACAGTTTTCTACAAAACCTATGCTGGGAAAGACCATAGTGCATGTGGTTAAAAGCATGAGTCAGCCAGAAATTACATTCTACAATCTACCACTTACATGCTGTATCATCTCAAAAAAAAGTTATATCACCTTATTGAGCTCTGGTTTCCTTATTTGAAAGTGTTACCTGAGAAATAAAATCTGTGCATCTTCAACCACAAGCTGAGACTTAAACCTCATGAGGTTGTTGTGAGAATTAAATAAAATAACACATGTGAAGTATCTTAGCACAGTGTTCAGCTCAAATAAAGTGATTAATAAACATTAGCTGTGATGAGGAGAAGGAGTTTCATGATGTGTTATCAAAGGAAATAACAAGTTAGATATAAAACCAGTGGTATGCTAGTAAATATTTAACAACTGGTCCTCTGAAGATAAAAAAAAAATCCAAGTCCTGATTTGCAACATTTGCCAATTTCTGTGATATAAATTACTCCCACAATGGTCAATATTAAGTTACCAGTATGATGTCACTGAACATGGGTTTGGGAAGAGATGGGTACAATTGGCTCTGATGAACCAGTTTGAGTCGATTCCATTACTGTAAAGACTAAAAAGGAAAGCAATTGCAAGCTGCCAAGTGTCTCCTTTTCCCTTTGACTACTAAAGTTAAATGTGGCTGCTTTGCTGATAATATCATTTTGTGTAATTTAAAAGGGGGTAAATATTGCCTATACTCTGAGTTTTCAGCCATAACATGTCTACTGGAGGACCCAGTGACCAACTGTACCTGTGAACAAAATGTGTCCATCCCAGGTCTGCTCTTCTTCATTCTCTAGCTACAAATTGGAGTCATAGAGTAGCCTGCACAGGTCCCCACATGCTCCCAGGAGGGACCCTCAGCCCTACTTTCTTGACCTCATTAAGCAAAAGCAAGATGAAGTTTGTTTCAAAGGAAAAATTACAGAATCTCACATTTAGGAGACTTTTTCTTCCCAGTCTAGCAGAGTAAAGACTGACAAAACCAATGAAGTCCAAGCCAATACAATATACTTGGTGAAACTCTTGAGTTTGTGCAACATTGAGATTTTATAATTTTGGATGTACATGAGATAGAAACAAACATGTTATAACTGTTGTTTATTCATCAAAGCCACATTCTTGGAAAGAACAGAGGGACCAGTACATGAATATGATTTATGAAATTATTCAACACTAAACTGAACTATGATAGCCCATGGATTAGAAAAATCAGATCAAATGTTGTAACTCAAAAGATGGTGGTAGTGTGGAAGCCAAACATTTGGACCACATCATCTTAAAACTGTAAAAATCATTTTCTCAAATGGCTTCCATCATATATATTTACTAAATTTAAAACTGTTTAAGCACCTTACCTTGTACTTAATCTGAGTTTTGAGACAAGGTAAATTGAGGGAGGATATTTCATTAATTGTATTCCTGCTCTCAACTCCAAAAATTGTACTTAGAGACCATGTGTATCTTAACAGAGCAATATGCTCACGTGGGTCTTAGCAAACATCATTTGCATCCAGTTCTCTACTATCATTAATTACCAGCACTTGGAATTGATAGAGTCAATTATCCTCAAGGAGAAAGGTTTTCTCTCAAACTGGAATATAGTCCTCCAAAGAGACTCTGAAAAATTCTAATAAAGCAGTGAACACTATAGATAGAGTTACAAACAGCTGTTTCATGAAAAAAAAAAGTTTTGAATGTGGCCTCTGTAAAGTAGTAATCCTGCTTCTTTCCATTACTTGAGTTTTTTCTTGATGCTCAGGATATCTGCTGCTTATGCCAAAAAGAGATAAAGAGACTTGAATTATCTTTTATAATTTGTCTACTATGTGCGACTCTATCCCTGGTGAACATGCCCCTACGCACAACAAAGTCCTGAAAAACAGCTTGGCAGACCACCTTGGGCAGACACATCTTCAGACTGACCAAATGACTGTGTGCCTGTTCTTGAGGCCTGAAAAACAGCCCAGTGGGCTTGCCCCTCAAGGACACACCCCCAGGGCAGCCAAGCAGCTGTATGCCCACACCCCTGGCTAGAGTAACAGGCTCATAGCCCCAACCTCAGTGAGCCAGACCCCCAGCTAGCTGACTTACCATGGACATTATGTGCACTCACATCCCTCCCTCCACCTAAGAAATAGCCCAGCAAGCACACATCCAGCAAAGTTGTGCCACTGCTGCCACAAACTCTTGCAGCCTAGGCCACTGAGATACAAAAATCACTAGCACGAATTACAGCTGAAGAAACTGACTAGAGACTACTGTGTCCATGTGGAATTAAAGCCAACACATCCTACCCAACTGACACCCTAAGACCCATCTATAGAAATAAGTCTTTTTCCAGTGATGCCCTCTCTCACTTCTCCTATCTGACATAGTATTGGAAGTTCTGGCTAGGGCAATCAGGCAAGAGATAGAAATAAAGGGTATTCAAAGAGGAAGACAGGAAGTCAAGTTGTCTTTGTTTGCAGATGACATGATTTTACATTTAGAAAACTCCATCATCTCAGCACAAAAACTTCTTGAACTGATAAGCAACTTCAGCAAAGTCTCAGGATACAAAATCAATGTGAAAAATCACAAGCATTCCTTTACACCAACAACAGACAAGTGGAGAGCCAAATCATGAATGAACTCCCATTCACAATCACTACAAAGAGAATAAAATACTTAGGAATACAGCCAACAAGTGATATGAAGGATCTCTTCAAGAAGAACTACAAACCACTGCTCAAGGATATAAGAGAGGACACAAACAAATGGAAAAACATTCCATCCTCATGGATAGGAAGAATCAATATTGTGAAAATGGCCATACGGCCCAAAGTAATGTATAGATTCAATGCTACTCCCATCAAATTACTGTTGACATTCTTCACAGAATTAGAAAAAAAACTATTTTAAATTTCTTTTTTTAAAGTTTATTATTATACTTTAATTTCTAGGGTACATGTGCACAACGTGCAGGTTTATTACATAGGTATACGTGTGCCATGTTGGTTTGCTGCTCTCATCAACTATTTTAAATTTCATATGGAATCAAAGAAGACCCTGTATAGCCAAGACAATCCTAAGCAAAAAGAACAAAGCTGGAGGCATCACGCTACCTGACTTCAAACTATAGTACAAGTCTACAGTAACCAACACAGCATGGTCCTATTACCAAAACAGACATAAAGACCAATGGAGTAGAACAGAGACCTCAGAAATCACACCACACATCTACAACCATCTGATCAACAAACCTGTCAAAAACAGGGAATGGGGAAAGGATCTTCTATTCAGTAAATGGTGCTGGGAAAACTGGCAAGCCATAGTCAGAAAACTGAAACTGAACCCCTTCCTTACAACTTACACAAAAATTAACTCAAGATGGATTAAAGACTTAAATGTAAAACCCCAAACCATAAAAACTCTAGAAGAAAACCTAGGCATTACCATTCAGAACATAGGCATGGGCAAAGACTTCATGACAAAAATGGCAAAAACAATTGCAACAAAAACCAGAATCAACAAATGGGATCTAATTAAACTAAAGAGCTTCTGCACAGCAAAAGAAACTATCATCAGAGTGAGCAGCCAACCTAAAAAATGGTTGAAAATTTTTGCAGTCTATCCATCTGACAAAGGTCTAATATCCAGAATTTATGAGGAGCTTAAGCATATTTACAAGAAAAAAAAAACAAACAACCCATCAAAAAGTGGGCCAAGGGTATGAACAAACACTTCTCAAAAGAAGACATTTAAGTGGCCAACAAACATATGAAAAAAAGCTCAACATCACTGATCATTAGAGAAATCAAAACCACAATGAGACACCATCTCCTGCCAGTTAGAATGGTGATTATTAAAAAATCAGGAAACAATACATGCTGGCGAGGATGTGGAGAAATAGGAAAGCTTTTACACTGTTGGTGGGAATGTAAATTAATTCATCCTGTGTGGAAGACAGTATGGTGATTTCTCAAGGATCTAGAACCAGAAATACCATTTGACCCAGCAATCACATTACTGGATATAGACCCAAAGAAATATAAATCATTCTACTATAAAGACACATGCACACATATATTTATTGCAGCACTATTTACAATAGCAAAGACATGGAACCAACCCAAATGCCCATCAGTGATAGACTGGATAAAGAAAATGTGGTACATATACACCATGGAATACTATGCAGCCATAAAAAGGAAAGAGATCATGTCCTTCACACAGCCATGGATGAAGCTTGAAGTCATCATCCTCAGCCAACTAACACAGGAACAGAAAACCAAACACCGCATGTTCTCACTCATATGTGGGAGCTGACCATTGAGAACACATGGACACAGAGAGGGGAACAACACACACCAGGGCCTGTTGGGGTATGGGGGTGAGGGAGGGGAACTTAGAGGATGGGTCAATAGGTGCAGGAAACCACCATGGCATACAAATATCTATGTAACAAACCTGCACATTCTGCACATGTATCCCTATTTTTTTTTGAAGAAAAATATCTAATAAAAAATAATCCTACCTGGATTTGCTGCCAAAAAAATAGAATTGTATTTGAGGCAAAATATTTGAATAATTTTTATCAAAGATGTAAATTAAAACAAATGTAAAAGTAAAAAACAAAACACACAAACACACACAAAAAAGAAATAAGCCTTTTTCTATAAATCTATTTCATAAAATTGGAAGAGGTGACTGTTCTACTGGATGCACAGAAATCAGTGTAAGAACACATCAAACATAGAAAATCAAGGAAACATTACACCTCCAAAGGAACAAAACAATTCTAAAGTAACAAAATTCAATTACAAGGAAATATACAAAGTACTGAAAACAATTCAAAATAATAATCTTAAGGAAAATCAGTGAGATATAAGAGATAGATAAGAGATATAAGAGATAGATATTAAGAGACAGATAGATGGTTAAACAAAATAAAAAAATTCATTATTTGAATGAGAAATTCAATAAAGAAATATACAAAAGAACCAAACAGATATCTTGACGCTGGATAATTCAATGAATAAAACAATAGAAAGTACAATCAAGAACTTAAACAACAGATTAGACCAAGTAGAAGAAAGAATTTATGGACTTGAAGATAGATCTTTTGGAATAACTCAGGCAGACAAAAAAAATATATTTTAAAGAATGAATAAAAAGCCTACAAAAATGTATGAAACATCAGTAAGTGAACAAATATTGGCATTATGGGAGCTGTAGAAAGAGAAGAAAAGAGAAAAGGTGAAGGAAACCTATTTAATGAAATAATAGTGAAAAACTTCTCATGTCTTAGAAAAGGGGTGGACATTCAGATCCAATAAACTCAAAATCTCCAAATATATTTAATCCAAACAAGTCCTCTCCAAGGCATATTTGAGTTTTGCCAAAAGTCAAAGACAAAAATAGCTAGAGAAAAATATAATACCAAGTCACATATAAGGGAATACCCATTAGCCTAATTGCAGATGTCTCAGCAAAAAATGTATAGGCCAGAAAGAATGGAATGAAATATTCGAAGTACTAAAAGAAAAAAAAAACAAACAAATCCATCAGCCGAGAATACTATACCCAGCAAAGCTATTCTTAGAAATGAAGGAGAAATAAAGTTTTTCTCAGATAACCAGAAACCTGGGGAATTCATCACCACTAGATTAGCCTTACAAGAAATGTTTAAGGGAGTCTTACCTCTGGAAGCAAAAAGATAGTAACTGCATGTGTTCATGAAAACATATGAAAGTACAAAACTTGCAGATAGAGCAAATACACAAAAAAGAAACAAATCAGGCCAGGTGCAGTGGCTCACGCCTGTAATCCCAGCACTTTGGGAGGCCAAGGTGGGTAGATTACAAGGTCAGGAGTTTAAGACCAGCCTGGCCAAGATGGTGAAAACCCATCTCTACTAAAATACAAAATACAAAAATTAGCCAGGCGTGCTGCTGGGCACCTGTAATCCCAGCTACCCAGGAGGTTGAGGCAGAGAATTGCTTCAACCTGGGAGGCGGAGGTTGCACTGCGCCGAGATGGCACCCCTGCATTCCAACCTGGGTGACAGAGCAAGACACCATCTCAAAAAAATAAAAAAGAAAGAAAAAGAAACAAACCTTATCACTGCAGAAAACCATGCCAAACATAAAAAATAAACAAAAAGAGAGAAAGTAAGAAATAAAGAATATACAAAACAATGAGAAACAATCAATAAAATGAACTAAATTCCCCAACTAAAAAATATAGATTGACCAAAGGGATTTTTAAAAGATCCAACTATATGTTGCCTATAAGAAACTCAATTCACCTGTAAAGACACACATAGACTGAAAGTGAAAAACAATATTCCATGCAAATGGAAATCAAAAATGAACAGGAGAAGCTATACTTACATACAATAAAACAGATTTTAAGTCAAAAACTAAAAAAAAAAACAAAAATGCATTATATAATAACAGCAGGATCAATTCGGCAAGAGGATATACCAATTATGTATGTATATATGCACCCAATACAAGAGCACCCAGATATATAAAGCAAATATTATCAGATCTAAAGGTAGAGCTAGACCCCAATACCCATTCTCAGTATTGGACAGATCAACTAGATGTAATATCAACTAAAAAGCCCATAAAATTTGAACTGGTCTATAGACTGAATGGATCTAACAGAAATTTACAGAACATTTCACACAACAGCTGCAGAATACACATTCTTTTTATCAGTACATGTAACATTCTCCAGTATTGGCAAAACATTAGGACACAAAACAGGTGTCAATACAATATTTTTTCGAGACAGGGTTTTGCTCTGTCTCTCAGGCTGGAGTTCAGTGGCAGTACAGCCTCAACTCCCTGGGTGCAAACAATCCTCCCACCTCATCCTCTCAAGTAGCTGGGACTATAGGTGTATGCCACCACATCTACCTAATTTTTTAATTTTTAGTGGAGATAGGGTCTTACTATGTTGCCCAGGCTGGTCTCAAACTCTTGGGCTTGAGCAGTCCTCCCACCTAAGCCTCCCAAAGTGCTAGGATTATAGGTGTGAGCCATTATGCCTAGCCTCAAAATAATTTTAAAAATCAGCATCAGCCAGACACAGTGGCTCATGCCTGTAATCCTGTAATCCCAACATTTTGGTAGGACAAGACAGGTGGCTCACTTGAGCCCAGGAGTTTAAGACTAATCTAGGCAACATAGTGAGACCATGTCGCTAAAAAATAAATAAACAAATAAAATAAATAACATCAAATATCTTATCTGACCACAATGGAATAAAATGAAAAATCAATAACAATAATAGGAACATTTTTGAAACCATAAAAATACATGGAAATTAAACAACATACTCCTGAATATCTAATGGGTGAAGAAATAATAAGATAATACATAAATTTCTCAAAAAAATGAAAATAGAAACACAACATACCAAAACCTATGGAACACAGCCAAAGCAGTATTGAGACAAGATTATAGCAATAAAAACCTACATCAAAAATTGGAACTATTTCAAAAAACAACAACGTAACAATGCACTTCAAACAATGAGAAAAGCAAGTACAAACAAAACCAAAAATTAATAGAAGGAAATAAATGAAAATAAAAGGAAAAATAAACAAAAGAGAGACTAAGAAAGTTCAATGAAACAAAAACTTGGTTTTCTGAAAAGATATACAAAATGGACAAGCCATTAGCTAGAGTTAAAAAAGAAAAAGGCCCAAATAAATAAAATCAGAAATGAGAAGATGTTATAATTCATGCCACAGAAATACAAAATATCATTAGAAACTATTATGAATGCTTCAATAAATTAAAAAGCCTAGAAGAAATGGATAAATTCCTGGACCATGCAACCTGCCAAGATTTAACCAAGAAGAGATATAAAACTTGAACAGATCAATAACAGGTAACAAGACTGAATTGGTGATTTAAAAAGTATCTCAACAAAGAAAAGTCTTCACTGCTTTACTACAAAATTCAAACAAAACTTTAAATAACTAATATGAATTATTTTCAAACTAATCCAAAAAAATTTAAGGTAGGGTAGTTCTTCTAAACTCATTCTACTAGGCCAGCATAACCCTAATACCAAAACCAGACAAGGATACAGCAAAAAAAGAAAATTACCTACCAATATCCAATAAATATAGATGTTAAAATCCTCGACAAAATATTAGCAAACCAAATCTAACAGCACATAAAAAAAAACATACACTATGATCAAGTGGGATTCATCCCAGAGATGCAAAAATGGTGCAAAAATTATTTATTCATTTCAGCGAATATATTATGGAAAAAGCATTTAATAAAATTCAACATCCTTTAATAATAAAAACTTTCATAAATCAGGTAGAAAGAAAGTACCTTAACACAATAAAGGCCATAAGTGACCGCTAATATCGTACTGAACAGGGAAAAGCAAAAAGCGTTTTCTCTAAGAACTGGAAAAAGACAAGGATGCCCACTTTCACCACTCTTATTTGACATAGCACTGGAAGTCCTAGCCAGAGCAATTAGGCAAGAGAAGAAA
This sequence comes from Homo sapiens, assembly GCF_000001405.40. Lineage (NCBI taxonomy): Eukaryota > Metazoa > Chordata > Mammalia > Primates > Hominidae > Homo > Homo sapiens. The sequence goes on along the minus strand of NC_000001.11, from coordinate 176,582,306 downwards.
ACAAAAGGCATCCAAATTGGAAAGAAGCAAGTAAAATTGTCCATTTGCAAATGAAGTGATCTTACATAAAGAAAAACCTAGGCCGGGCGCGGTGGCTCATGCCTGCAATCCCAACACTTTGGGAGGCCGAGGCGGGTGGATCACAAGGTCAGGAGATCGAGACTATCCTGGCTAACACGGTAAAACCCCGTCTCTACTAAAATTACAAAAAAAAAATTAGCCGGGCGTGGTGGCGGGCACCTGTAGTCCCAGCTACTCGGGAGGCTGAGGTAGGAGAATGGCGTGAACCCGGGAGGCGGAGCTTGCAGTGAGCCGAGATTGTGCCACTGCACTCCAGCCTGGGCAACAGAGTGAGACTCCGTCTCAAAAAAAAAAAAAAAAAAAGAAAGAAAGAAAGAAAGAAAAAAAGAAAAATCTAAAGACTCCACCCCCCCAAAAAATAAACAAAAATTTAAAAAAAAACTCTTATAACTGATAAATTCAGTAAAGGTGCAGGATACAAAATCAACATACCAAAATCAGTAACATTTTTATATGCTAACAGCGATCAATCTAAAAAAGAAATCAAGAAAGGAATTTCATTTAGAATAGCTACAGAAGCAATAAAATACCTGGAAATAAGTGTAACCAAGGATGTAAAAGATCTCTACAAGGAAAACTACAACACACTGATGAAAGAAATAAAGAAGGCACAAATAAATGAAAAGACATCTCATATTAATGGATTTAAAGAATATTGTGAAAATGACCATGCTAACAAAAGCAATCTACATATCAATGCAACCCCTATCAAAATACCAATGACATTCTTCATAAAAATAGAAAACACCATCCTAAAATTTTGCAGGCTACTGCAAAAGACCTCAAATAGCCAACACAATCCCGAGCAAAAAGAACAAAGCTGGAGGCATCACACCACCAGACTTTAAAATTTACTACAAAGCTATAGTAACCAAAATAGCATTGTACTGGCATAAAAATAGGCAAATAGACCAGTGGAACATAATAGAGAACCCAGAAATTAATCCATGTATCCACAACAACTGATTTTTGACTAAGGTACCAAGTACATTGATTGCGGAAGGGAAAATCTTTTCAATAAATGGTGCTCAGAAAACTGGATACCCATATGCTGAACAAGGAAATTAGACTCCCACCTCTCACCCTATTAAAAAAAATTTCAAAATGGGTTAAAGACCTAAATGTAAGACACAAAACGACAAAGCTGCTAGAAGAAAATATAGGGGAAACACTTCAGGATGTTGGTTTGGGAAAAGATTTTATGAATAAGACTTCAACAGCACAGGCAACAAATGAAAAAACTATTGAACTAAAAGCTTTTGCACAGCAAAAGAAACAACTGAAAGAGTGAAAAGACAATCTAAAGAATGGGAGAAAATAGTTGCAACTATTCATCCAACAGTGGTTTAATATCCAGAATATGCAAAAAATGCAAACATTTCAATGGCAAAAGTACAAATAATCAGATGAAAAAATGAGCAATGATCTGAACAGATATTTCTCAAAAGAAGACATACAATAGCCAACAAATATATGAAACACTGCTCAACATTATTAATTATCAGGGAAATGCCTATCAAAATCACAATAAGATATCATTTTACCCCAGTTGGGATGGTTATTACTAAAAAGACAAAAAAAAAATGCTGGCAATGATGAAGAGAAAAAGGAACTCTTATATACTGCTAGTGGGAATGTAAACTAGTACAGCCACTGTGGAGAACAGCATGGAGGTTCTTCATAAAACTATAAATAGAACTATCCTATAATTCAGCAATCCTATTACTGGGCATTTATGCAAAGCAAAGGAAATCAGTATGTTTTGCAGCACTGTTCACAATAGCCAATATATAGAATCAACCCCAGTGCCCAACAACGGATGAATAGATAAAGAAGATGCAGTATATAAACACAATTTAATATTATTCAGCCATAAAAAAGAATGAAATCCTGTCATTTGCAGCAACATAGATAGAACTGGAGGACATTATGTTAAGTGAAATAAGCCAGGAACAGAAAGTTAAACATTTCATGTTCTCATTCATATGCAGAAGCTTAAAAAGTTGATCTCTTAGAAGTAAAAGGTAGGACAGAGGTTTTAGAGGCTTGGAAGTGTAGCAGGAAGAGGGAGATAGGGATAAATTTGCTAAAGGATACAGAATTACAGCTAGGTAGGAGGAATAAGTTCTAGTGCTCTATAGAACTGTAGGATGACTATGGTTAAAATAATATATGATATATTTTTTAATAGCTAGAAGAGAAGATATTGAATTTTCCCAATACAAAAAAAGATAAATGTTTCAGATGAAGGAAATGCTAATTACTCAGATTTGATCACTACATACTTCATAAATATATACAATTATTACATATCGATTTAAAAGCTAAATGAAAAATTGCAAATGTCTGCTGCTCTAAATGCTGCACACGTGCCACTCTATTAACCTCTACCATAAATGTATAAGCTGAGTGTATCAGACCAAAAAACTGAGAATCAGAGAAGTTGAGCAAGTCATCCACCATCTCACAGTTAGCAAATGCCAGTAAGGTATCAAAACCAAGTCTATTTGACAAAAACTCCATGCTCTTTCTACTACACTAAAACATTTTAAATACTAAATAATTAGTTCTTAATTGTTATTTTGGGGCAAGAAGAGTGACATGGGCTGGTGAGTGTGACATTAACAAATTTGCAGACCACTACTTGCAGATGACTGGGATCTGACTCAAAAAAATGTATAGACTGACATCCACACCAGGAAATAGTTTGGAGGAAAGAACAGAGTGGCTGGCCCAGCTGTTTATGTCTCCCTGTTGGCCATTACTAAATTGACAGGCTGCCTTGCCGAACATTTGGTAAAATTTCTGGGTGGCCCTGTAGGCTTTTGACATGTAACATTTAGTAATCACTTCTAGAGGACCCCAAGATAAGGAGGGGCTAATGGGAAGAGCATACAACAGAAAACTCACTTCCAAACAAGCGGCTTCAATCCCCACTTCCTCCTTTTTCCTGTTCCCCATTTGGTATGTACCTGGCACAGTAGAAATCTGTATTTGACGGGAATGTAACAAAAAGAAAAGTGAGATAGCCCAGCTAGGAACTGCTTCTGCCTCTCAAATGCTCTGATTGCTCACCCTTTCTTTACTAGAAAGCTCCCCTCTCCCCTATGGAACCTTCTGTCTGTGGGTTTTGACAGAATGGAGTCACCTGACCACAAGACCAGATAGAGTGGGTTATGCTTCAACAGTGCCCCCACCACCCTAATGAGGGGGAAAAGTATAATCCACCCTGGGAATTATAACAGTTAATTAAAAAGTGAGAAAAATATCTTCTAAGAACTGTCAGAAATCCACCTGTCCTTGGTGTTCTTATTTTATGGTAGCGACAAAAGGGGAAAGGCGCCATCTCATACCCTTTTCTTCCTCAAAGCCAGGTATTTCAGGAACATTGTGCCAACTTATTTCAGAGTGTTTACATAAATGGAAAAGCAAAAAGTGCCCCTTTCTGAGAGGTTATATAGGCCTGATACATGTTATCAATACGTATCTCTCTCTGTCTGAAATGCCTCCCTTATATGGATATGCCCTTCAAAACTTACCTTAAGTTTCATCCTGTCTATGAAGTCTTCCTTGACTACCTTAGTAAAAGTGATCTTGTTGCAGGTTGCTGAGCCTTGTTGAACTGCTGCTATTTGTGAAGAAATCTGAGAGTCCCTTGATGACAAGAGCCTATCTTAGACATCTATGAATTTACCACAGGAACAAGAAAGGATGGGTTGTATTTCCTTGTTCCCACTCTGCTCCTGAAGTCAAATGGAGTCATGAGAGTCTTGACTCAGAAAAGGAGCATTTCCCTCCAGTCTTGGGGAACCCTAGTAACCTTGCAAGTGCATCTGACCTAGAAGAATGATCCAAGGGGACCGAGCACGCCCCTTGCTCTGCAACTACATGTGGTTGATTTTCCCCATAACGTTAGATGAGCTTTTTCACAGCCATCACATACTAAGATGCTTTCTTCTAGATCCTACACAGTTAGATTACAGCATATGTGATAAATCTTATTGACAGCTTTTCTTGGACAAAGGCTCATTCTGGAGGGAACATTTATCCATGGCAGAGTCTCACAGAGGAGATCATTTAACAACAAGCCAAGGTGGCAGAAGATGAAGATAAGGTCCAGGCAGAAATGCTGCTCTTGGCACAGACACATCCATGGAATCTCACTTCCAGGAAACCCCCATGGCAGAGTTCTGCTCTGTACCTCTGGGAGGATTAAAGTTAGGAGTGAGAGTCCTGCTTCTCCAAGAAGCCCCATCAGCTTCCAGGAAGGTGAAGCTCTATTCAAAAAAACAGAGGAGTCATGCAGTGTCATCAACTCTGGTAACTAAAAAAACATGCTGTGTGGTGCAAGTTTGTTTTTAGGAGGAAAATGAGCAAAAACAGGGCCAGGTTAGGTCATGACCATAAATCAACAAGCTACGAGGCAAGGTCCCTCTCAGGATGTTATGCCTGTAGCCGTCCCACACATGTACGTGCAGCCTTCTGCAGAACTACTTATCCAACACCCCGACCCCCCAGAGAGAGCATGAGGGGAATAAAAAAACCAAGGAGGAGAAGGAAAAGAAGCCATCCATCAAAGATCAAGCAAACCTGGCAGACAGCAGGACTGTGTGAGCAGGAAGAGTGGGAGAAAGTGAAAAAAGAAGCTTGGGGAGGTGTTTTTCAGCTGTTCTAGATAACTTTCCTCTAAGACAGGATTAGGCTTAGCTTTTTGTCTGTGACTCCAAGCTTTTACAAATAAGAGCACAGAGAGGGAAAAACCTCCTGGGGACTGTTTCACTAGCACCTTTCCAGTAAATTTTTCACCTTCTCATTACAGTCTATTTTTATTATAGTCATGCTTTCATGTGCAAGGATACTAGAAAACAGGAGAGGAGATTCCCCTGGCTTTCCTTAGGCCACCCGTGTGCAGGGTGGAAGTCAATGAAGCAGATTTGCAGGGAGAGCATGGGGCTTGCTCTTGTGATTGCCTGAGAGAACAGGAAAACATAGAATGGTGAGATGGGGGATAAGAATCTAAAGGAGTTGAAGAGGTGGCCTGCATATGATGCCCATAGAAGGTAGTTGGCGTGGTTCCTGGCACAGTATCAATAAATATTAGCTACTCTTACAGTTATTATTATTAGTCATTAGGAATGGGGGAAGTGCAGGGAGCTAAATCAGAAGCACCAACATTTTCTACACTATCTAAAATCAGCCCCACCTATCTGGAAGTCAAGCTGAAATTGCACACAGACCTCCTGAAAGACAAGTCTGGAGCTTCTCAGATTTTACTGTGGATACAAACAACCCGGGGAACTGAATAAATGCAGATTCTGATTTAGCAACATTTTCTACACTATCTAAAATCAGCAGCACCTGTCAGAAGTCAAGCTGAAATTGCACACAGACCTCCGGAAAGACGAGTCTGGAGCTTCTCAGATTTTACTGTGGATATGAACAACCCAGGGATCTGAATAAATGCGGATTCTGATTTAGCAAGTCTCAAACGGCACCTGAAATTCTGCATTCCAATAGACTATCAGGAGAAACTGATGCTGCTGAATCTCAAACCATACACTGAGGAGCAGGACTCCAAATCAGGGCAGACCACAATCTGTTTCCTGAGGATGGGCCTTTGTTAGCAGTGAGTAATGGACAGAGACTTATCTAGTGGCTCAATACAATCAACATACTCAGGTTAGTCTCCACTCCTACCTTCACCTCACTTATGACAGACACACACAAACACACACACACACACACACACACCCCATTGACGTGTTTCCCTAGTGACCATTTGGGACACTTCTCTCTACTTACATATCACCTGCACAGTAACATTGGGTGACAGCAATAGAAAAAAAAGTAAAGGGTGGAAAGACACTGATGGGGTAACTCAAAAAAGAAATACAAATTTTCAGTCTTTAGTCTCAAGAAAACGCAAATGAAGTCAAGATTAAAACTCTTGTCCATTAAGTTGGCAAAGAGTAAGAACAATAACAGTCTCTAGATTTGGCAACACTGGGGAAAAGGGCACACTCATGCACTGCTGGAGTGAGAGAGAGTTAGTAAACCATTCCAGAAAACCATTTAGCAACCATTTGCCAAAAACAGCCTCATGCTCCAGCCCTGTAATTTCACTTCTAGGAATCATTGTTAAGGAAACAATCCAAGAGCTAAGGATGAATATGGATGTTCATGACAGCATTATTTATAATAGAGAAAGAGTACAGTCCATCTGAACAATGGAATACTACCCTACCATTAAAAAATCACACCTGAGAAGAATATTTAGGAACACAGGAAAATATTCACAGCCTACTTATTAGAAAACAAAGTAAGTTCTGGGACAATATGTATGCTCTGACCCAAATGGTATAAAATAATAAATAGGTGTTAATTTCCTAAGTACAGATTTACAGGAAAAGTATTTTTTAAACTTCTACAATAAACCACTTATCCGAGTCTGCTCATCTCTAGAATAAAACTAATGATATATCTACCTCATTTGAAGATTAAATACATTAATACACATAAAGCCTAACTACAGTAACTCAAAAATGTTAGCTGTTATTAATTATGGGCATTTTTGCCTGGTTTGCTGCCATATCTCCAGTGCCTGGAACAGAACCTAGCACATATTGCATATTTAATAAATACTTGTTGAATATACAAATTCATGAGTGAATCACGCACTGCATGCAGGGCACTGGCATGAAAACCAGATATGTTCATTGGAGTAGATCATAAAGGACATTGAATAAGAGTGAACCAGATTTGACTTTACACTCTGGGTGACAAATCAGGAGCCACTGAAGGATTTCAGAGGTAAGACATGGCAGATGGTGATCTAATCAGATTTATGTGTTAAAAATTATAATGATTATATTAAAAAATTATAATAATAATGACAATGTGAGGACAAACGTAGATAAATATTTGCCCACTGACCATTTCCATTTCTGCATGGGCTTGGGGTTAATTAAAGGAATTTTGCACACTGTGGAAAGTCAAGAAAGCAAAGGGCTTGGGTCACTGTGAAGCCCACAGCTGCAAAGAACCAGGTCCAGCATGCCATTGACCTCAGATAAATCTGGAGCAGCAGGGGTCTCCTTCCTAAGGAAGCTTCCTTGGCCATCCAGCAAGAATAAACATGGCTTTAGGCACTCATCACCTACTGCCTGGGTGTCACATACTGCTTAACAACCAGGATATGTTCTGAAGAATGTGTCATTAGGCAATTTTGTCATTGTGTGAACATCATAGAGTGCACTTACACAAACCTAGAACATACCGAGGCTATATGGTACAGCCTATTGCCTCTAGGCTACAAACCTGTAAAGCATGTGACTGTACTGGATACTGTAGGCAACTGTAAAACAAATGGTATTTGTGTATCTAAACATACCTAAACATAGAAAAGGTACAGTAAAAATATGGTATTATAATCTTATGTGGCCACTATCGTACACATGGTGTCTTGTTAACCAACACATCATTATGCAAAGCATCCCTGTATTTTCTTGCAGAAAAAGTAACCCACAGGGATCAGTAAAAGCTACCTAGGTAGTCAACCTGGAGTTATCATGTGCCTTCCAGAGAGTAGCCAATAGCTTCAGGAGCCTCATGAGAATCTCCCAGGACAAGTCTGCCCCATTCTCAACTTCCCAAACTCTCTAAGCCTTGATCTAGACCCACAAATAGCCAAAGGGAGCTGCCCAGCAGTCAATTGAAAATTTTTTTTAAAATGGTAAACAATATCCTAGGTAAAAAATCAAATGGTGGGGCTAGAGCCACCAGCTAGATCAACTAGCTCAATTACTAGATAAACCAAACTTAATAGCTGTACAGTCTCCAGCAACATAGAGAAATCCTCAATACCTCATTTTCCCCATCCAGTAAATGGAGATAATAATAGTATTAATTTATACGGTCCTGGAGAAGACAAAATTAATTCGCACATGTAAAACAGTACTTATTATGCTCAGCACATAATAAATATTCCATATTATTATTCCTGGCTAATATTATTATCATTTTAACATATATAGGCCTATATCTTCAACTGTATTATAAGTTGACAGCTGGCAAAACCTGCCTTGTACTTCTCCACATTCATTTGTATCAAGGCCAACATCTTGCCTATGGTAAAAATAAGTAATACACTAATGGATTGAATCAACAAGAGATAGTTAGCAGAGATGTCAACGGTATCCTCTCAAACAATGATGCGTCACATGACACTCTAAAAATTCCACTTCCCCTAATTAAAAAAAAAAATCCATTTATTACCCTTTCCCACCCAACACACACACACATACATACACCAGTCACTCTCCACAACGAGAACAGTTACTGACTTGACCTAGCACAGCTCTGCCCACAGTGCCCCCCTCTGAAAGCATGCCAGCTTTTCATCTGCTTTGATATTACCTACTAGGGATCAGGAAGAATCAAGAGTCATAACCAGACTTGTCACTCCCCACTCATCTTGGACAATTTTCTCTAGAGTCATTACTTTGCTCCAATACCATCCATTATCTCAGTACATTTCAGCGACTTTAAATTATTTTTCCTGCAACTAAATTATTTAGTTGAAAAAGTAATATATTTTCTATGTCTTGTCATTACCCCCAAAACAGAGAGAGAGACAGAGAGAGAGAAAGAGAAACTTCCTGAGTAATTTTAAACACGTGATTTTTTTGGAGTGTCATTTCGATCATTTTTAATAACCTTCAAGGACAACCAGTGTGAAATTTCCTGAGCATTCTATATTCTCTGCTGGTCCTGTGACTATGGAATTCCATAAATGGCACATCAATGTCCAATGGCTAACCGGCTGCAGTTTCCATAATGGGCATCTAGAATGTGAGATGTCAGAGGCTGTTCCTCAACAGAAGTGGAGAGCTACCTGTAGGCTTCTCTTTCTATCAAGATGATCTTCCACCTAAACAAAAATAGGAATTCATGTGCTTGGAATTCCAGTAGCACAACAGGATCTACATCCCCAAATGCAGAGGATAGCTCATGCAAAAGCCAAGAAGTCACACACCTTAGGGGGTGTGAAGTGGGCCACATTCCTTAACCTTGATAAGATAGCTTAGTGACCAGCACCTGTCGTCCTGGAAGAGACACAGAGACCTGGTGGCACCCACAACAGGATGCCTCAGCACTTCTCCACCCTCACCCCATCTCTCTCAAGGTTCTTTGGCAGCACCACACCAATTTCCCGGATGTTTCTCTTCTCAGTCAAATAAATAATTTTGAGATCCCTCTCAGAAATTTTCTTTGGGGTTCCTGTTACCAGGTACAGTTTATAGAATTAATACTACCCTTAGAAAGTATTTAAATAGTGTTAAATATATTCTCAGTGATCCAGGGACATTATAGGAGACACTATTTAAAGCAAGCATGAAGAAAATCCTATTGCAATGAACATGACCTCTCAGTTTATCCATCAGCTAAAGTTAGACGTTCACATGTCAGGTTTTCTTAAAGTGAAACATTGTATGACTTTCACAGCATTAGTATTTGTCCAGTGTTTCTTATATTGCTTCAATGTACACATCCTACTCATATTCACTTAATAATACCTGAATGTTTTTTGTTTTTTGTTTTTGTCTCTACCATGTGGTCACAAATAACCCAAGGAGACTCTGACTGCTTTCTAAGAATCAACTTGTTGGTGATGTCAGGCAACCCAGGGACCACACAAAACCAAATACTATGCCAATCAGAACCTAAAGGCTCAGAGTCTCTTTTTTCCCTCACTGGTTTGAGAGTCTGAGAGGAAACTAGAGGAAACAGTCTGTGTGTTCTCAAATTGAACCCAGGTGAGTCTTCAGAGCCCAGTGTTCAAAGAGGATGTGTAAAGCTGACCTCTGGGTCAACCTCTGCTGTGCAATAGCTTTGGCTGCTTGGCCCCTGAGTGAGAAAGAGAAAGGTCAAGGAAACTAAGTGATCTAAGGAATTGACACGGGTTAAGTAAGGACTAAAGCCATACATTTTCTTATTGAAACTCCTTCTAAAATGTTTTCTTCTGCTTTCCAGTAAGAGGCTTAAATTAATCAGAGGCATCCTGGAAGAGTGGAAATAACACCAAATTAGGAGCCAAGTACTTAGATTGGGGTCTCAGTCTGCCCCTGTGTAATGTCAGGAAAGTAACTTTCCCTCTCTGGGTCTCACTGCCCCATCTGTGAAGCAGAGATGGGCTGGGTTGTCACCTGGCCTGTGATGCTCTGACGGTCCGTGCCCGGAATCTTCATCTCGAGGTTTATCTCGAAGGGCTTTAAGATCATCAGCCTTCTAACCACTTCTCACTATCCCATACCCTGAGTATGTGGCCAGAGAAGGTAAAAAGGATTGGGCTGAACCCATAAGTTAATGGGCAGGTTTTGTTTCTACTGGATTCTTCTTTTGAATTTATCTTGTAATCACATAACTCTATCTCCTAAGAAGCAGAATAACTAAAATATTATAGTTAGTTGAGAATAGTGGTTATGTGGAATCTGTGGAATCAAAATCTCACTACAAATAATTTCATGCTAAGTTATATCACATTGATATACATGCAACAAGCATTCAGGAGGAGAGTTTGCACGGACTAGAATGGGTAAAGAAGGCCTTGGGACTGAGGAACATGAGCCAGACCTGGCCAGTTTGGATGGCAGCATCTTTGGAGCAAGTCCTGGGTCCCTTCTGTGACATCACATCTTCACAGAAGGGTGAAATAGCAACAGGCATTAACCAAGCCCTTATGTTCCAGGCATGGCTCTCAACACATAGTTTGTATTAATTTATTTAACCACAACAATTCTGAGACAGAAATTACCATTGCCTCCATTTTACAGATGAGGGACTTCAATTTGCCAAGTTCCCACAGCTAGTAAAGGGCTTGAATCCAGACCTTCAGACTCCAGATTCTGCATTCCTAACTAATACAGTGAGGGAAAGAACTTAAATGGATGAGGAGGTGGAGGTAGGACAATTAAGGTGAGGGGATGGATGGCTTGCACAAACTTAAGGAGCAGGTAATGGGTGGGTCATGTGGAGAGAAGAGAAAGGAACATGGTTCATTCTGGAGAGTCAGGAGAGATCAAGTTCTGTGTGTATGAGGAGCCAGATTGTCCTCCATGCGTCCATTCAATGCCATTGCCCATACTGCTGCAGGCCCTGCCCTGGGTGTTGGAGGGGCACACAGATGATGGAGATCCACAGAAGCCCCCAGAAGCCTACAGACAATCTGAAGGCTTCCACTGCTAAGCAGCTTGGACTTTCAGGAAGGGAGAACAGTGTGGAAGAGAGGACAGCAGCAGTGTAGGGAGGCAGGGTCAGGAGAGGAGATGTTCACAGAAGGGCGGGGAATGGCAAAACGAACAGCTGCCTTCCTCAAATGTGCTTGGCTTTTGGCAGCACACCACAGTAGAGGACATAGCTGCTAAGTTCCCAGAAATGCTGTAAGCAGAGAGCCAGAGGGGCTGGGACCACCTCCTTGTGCCCCCTCCTCTGCCATGGCACCTGGCTGTCACCTGCCTGACCTCAGCCAGGGACCAGCCATGGCAGAGGAGGGGGCACAAGGAGGTGGTCCAAAGGCCCAGCAAGGCTGCCACACCCAGGAGGGAGCATTGCCCAAGTTCCCTTTTATCTTCAGGATCCATGCCATGGGTTGTATTATAAGGATTATAAGAATATTCTATTGTGCAATTATTTCAAGTTATTAATGTGCCTTGAAACAAACAATGTCTAAAATAGAGCTCTGCTGTGGTTAGTGTTTACTATTATTCTGCATGAAGTTGGAGTTAATTTCAAAAATAGTAATTGAATACCTACTTTGTGCTCAAGAAGCATCAGCTGAATAAATGAATTAGTGAGTGAGCATATGGCTAATAAATAAACTCAGCTAGGAACTGTCTATAAACACATTTGATGTTAAAAGAATTTCACCCCCCCAAAAGAGAGTTTTTAAAACTCCAGATTTTCAAAGGGCCGGAGAAGGTGCAAACGCTGGAGAGACTTGGAACGGAAGCAGAGTTTCTTGGCCCCCAGTGGCTTCGTCTTCAGGTAGCAAGATTTACCTTTCTCTAGGCATATACACTCCTCTTCCTCCCGCCCACGGGAATAATGTGCACAAAACGAAAGTTCTATGAGAATGAGAAAAAGACAACCTAGAAGAAGCAAATAAATAGAAAAGATAATTTCTGAAAGTTTAGAAATAAACATAGTTAAACCAAGTTGTAAATTATATCCAGTTTTTCTAGGAGACAAATTCCTAGTCTACATTTGTCAGGTATACCTAGATTTGTGGGGATGAGGAAGGGGGAGTTGAGGTAGAAGGTAAGGATAACTCCTCCTTCTAGATACTACTGAGGGGAATTTAAACTTCCTAGTCATCTTCAACATCAATAGAACTTAAAGATTACCAGGTTTTCATGTGCCTACTTCCAAATAGAATTAGTTCATCCTTCATCTTCTTATCAAATACATATTGAATTAGTTATTTGTTATTAACTCACAAAGCACTAGGTGCTAGGAAGGCAGCAAGGAACAGATGCAGCCTCTGACCCCAGACAGCTTACAGCCCAGTGGGAGCTAGCCTAGAATAGAAATGACTGGGCAGTGGAACCATGTCTGCTTATTTAACGTCAAACACCCAGTCCAGTGCCTGGCAGACAGTAGGAGCTCAATGAGCTTGTGTTCAATTAATGAGAAGTAAAATGGAAATTACGGTAGGTTTCTCTTAGTGTCTTGATAAGGCACAGTACAAGGTATCAGGAAAACATAAGCAAACCTAAATCAGTCTTTAGAGAGGCCAAGGAAGAGTTCCTGAAAGAGATGTCATATTCACTAAAAATCTAGGGGGTTAAATAAGAACAATTCAGGTGCATGTGGTTTCGGGGAGTGGTTTCATATTAGGAGAAAAATTACAAAGGACAGACATCAGGGGCTAGAGGCCAGGGAGAGTGCTGTATCTGTGGCACTGCTAATGGTTTGGTGTTGCTAGAAATTGGCCTGGAAGTATATGCGTGAGTGCATGTGAGCATGGTGTGAGAGCATGATTGTATCATATATGAAGGTGTGGGTGTGTGGGTGGGTGTGTATGTATATCTGTGCACATGTGTGCACGTGTGTACATATGGATGTGCAAGTTTGTGTGAGTGTGCTTGTATATATGTGCATGCATGTGTACACATGAGTATGCATGGGTATGTGTGTGTCTATTGTAGAGTCAGTGATGAGATTGAAAAGGTAAGTAGGGTCTCATATGACACCTTAAGGAAGCTGAACTTTATCCTGAGGGTGCAGCAGAGTCTTCTGATGGTTGTAGGCAGGAAAGTGACTTGCGCTGCTTTGTATTTGAAAATGCTCCTCTTGGTTGCAATCAAACAGCTGAAGAATAAATTGATCTCTCGGGTTAGAGACAGTCAGAATTATTGTGACCGAAACTTAGCTTTAGTTTGGTTATTGGGATGAACACAACAGGGCCAAATAAACTGAAGAGGCCAACCAGACAGGATTTGGTGATTGATTACTGGCATTACATGTCATGTGGAGAGTGAGGGGCAGTGATGTGAGACAGGAACTCCTAGAGTTCTTGGCCCTTTGCTGAGATACAGAAAACAGGACAAGCAATGGATGTGAGATGGATAAAGGGTTCAGTTGAGGAAGGTTGGGGCTCTTCACTCCTCACTGCTCCTGAGATAAAAGATAGTGACAACATAGCACAGTGGAAAAGAACTCTCAGGACAAATGTCCAGGTTCACATCTTGGCTCTGCCTGCACCAGCTGTGTGACCTTGGACAGTATCCTATTTCTCTCTGTGCTCTGGTTTCTCCATCTTCTTCCTTGAGTTGTCCTTGGGAGCATGTGAGTTAATATTTGTAAACAGACCACAGTAGTGCTTGGCACAGAGTAAGTGCTACAGAACCACTTGTCAAAGGAAAATTTATGCAATAGATTTTTTTAGAGTGATTGAGCGTGCATTTGCATGCTTTATATTTCTGTTACTTTATCTACCATCATTTTCCTGTGTTTATGTTGTCTCCTACTTTAGATGACCAGTTCTTTAATACAAGACCTTGAGTCTTGCATCTTTCTGAATTTAAAATAAAATCTCTCTGAACCCATATCTACTTCTGACATCTCCTCTGCCCCTTCCATCACAGCCAAGTTTCTGCATAGAGTGCAATCCTTGTCTTCACTCCTTTACCTCTCATTCATATCTCTACTTAATGTGATGTGGATGCACCCACAACTGAGGTGTGAAACTGCTCTCCCTAAAGTCATCCATGATTCCCTGACTGCTAAATCCAATGCACCTACTTTAGGCCTGATATCTTATTTGGTGCTCCTGTGCCATTTGACACTTTGAAAACTATCATTTTCTCTTTGCCCTAATTCTGCTACTCCCCAGTACTTGTTCTGTTTCTCTGGTTACCAGCTCTCCTTTCCTAGCCTCAAGAAATCCTTTTGGTTTATCCAGGCAGGACCAGTTACTCTCAGTAGCCAGGCTGTAATAATCTGTTTACATATACACATATAATTTGTTATTAAAACAAATTTAATAATCCGTTTACAGTTTACAGGCCTAAATTCTGAGCACCTTCCAGGCATAACTCCTGCCTTAGTAGTTCTTGATTCCCCAACATGTGGTTAAAGGCTTGATATTTCACTTAATAGAAGCTCAATAAATATTGAATGAACAAATAAAACTAAACTACTTTTATAACCTTCCCAGAATGTAGAGCAATTATTTGTAGGAAAGTTAGCAAATGCTGAGTCACCACTTGAATGATGACTCACTAACTGATTAACTTATAGGCTCTGCAACGTTCCTTCTGATCAGGTAACTGGATTTCTAATGCAGAAATGAGCCATACTTGCTCGTCTTGATAGCCCAACCAGTTGCCATGGCAATACTTCAAATGTTCTGAGACTTTGGATTCCAGTTTCCACATTTTATATTTGGGCAGAACCACTTTTCTTCACCACTCAATTCTGACTCATAAAGAGAACTAGGATGTTTTTGTTTGCCCACTGAGTTTTCTTTACTGGATGTTCTCTTTAAAAAATCCAAAAAGGAAGGTTGTTTTGAGACAGGTAGTAAACATGGGAAAGAAACGATGCTGTTATTTTTTGGATACAAACTTAGCATAGAAATATGCTTTCTGGAAGGTTCTAGGGCCAGGGGGTGTATGATGTGAGCTGAAACAAATCTGATGAGCCCCCAGAATAATGTTAATTCCATGTACTCAAGAGCGAAAGTATGGAATCTGTGTCCTTGTTTATGACATCAGGAACTGAAGCTAATGGATGTGCAGGGTATACAGGCTCAGGAGCCAAACTAAGGTGTTGCCTTTCTGTTAGTAAACACCAAATAAAGTGTTTATTTGGCCTCCTCAAGGCACAGATTGGAAGAGGAAAGAGGAGTCAGACCTCCTGGCACACACATTCTGAGTGAATCACATGGTCAGCCCAAAGAAACAAGAAAGAAGTGCAAAAAGGAGGAGGCAGGAGGTGAGGAAGGACAAATTATTGCTGGTGACAAGAGAATAGTTGGATGTATGTGGGCTGCCAAAAGTGATTCCTACTTTCCAGCCCTGCCTCTGTCACTCCTGAATATTTCCAACCTGACAATCTTTGCTCCACCCCAGAACTACACCAGAGTCTCCATGGGTTTCCATCTCATTCCTGTGGTCTGAGAAAGAACACACAGCTCCCAGAGGATGGGGAGGTGAGCAGCTAATGGTGCCACCTGGGTCAGTCAAAGCCTCATCCACTGCATTGTCTCCCTGAGATGCAAAGGACCAGGAAGAGAATCTTTTACAGTAAATGAAAATTGGGGAATGAGGAGAGGAAAGGCAGTAACAGGTGCCAGGCACTGAAGCTGGAGTGTGGTGAATAGGATAATCACAGGCCATTCTTACAGAAAACCCCTCTACACCACTGCCTGGAAGTGATTCTCCTTCCCCCACCTGCACCCCAAACGACTGGATGACCCCAAAGGCCCAGATCTAACCCTGTGAGTCAGACACCAAACCCTGAATGGTCTGCCAAAGAACCCAGCTGGGGCCAGACATAGAGCTGGAATCTAGGAGAAAGTTCACAGCTATGTGAGCTATGTGAGCTTCATCTTCCCTTCTCCCCTCGGTTTCTCTTCTCTTTTTCTTTCTGAAGGTGCTGCTGCATCAGAATCTGATGCATTGTGACTTCTAAGCACCTGAGTGTTTCCTGTATGCCTATCATTGAGGGTTCAGCCAGGTTGCAGGTAATAGCAAGTAATACACTTCAGGCCAAAGGTGAAGGTTCAGGGAAGAAAAGGCCCATCTGAGGATACCTTCAAGAAGCCAGAAGAGGGAGCTTGGTGAGAGAACCCACTTCAACTAGGAAGGACTCCCTGCTATTTCAGAGGCGTCAGCATCAGAGCCCAGATGTCTCTCCTCATTGTGCAACAATGGCAGATTTCTCCAAGACCACTGAAGTATTCTCAGATGCTAACAGTGGCCAAACCATACTCACCAGTGATGTCGCAGAAGCCCATTTTATTTTATTGAGACAGGTTCTCATTCTGTCCCCCAGGCTGGAGTGCAGCGGCACAGTCATGGCTCACTGCAGACTCGACCTCACCAGGCTCAGGTGATCCCCCCACCTCAGCCTCCTGAGTAGCTGGGACCGCAGGTGCATGCCACTACACCCGGCTAATTTTTGTATGTTTTGTAGAGATGGGGTTTCGTCATATTTCCCAGGCTGGTCTTGAACTCCTGGTCTCAAGCGATCTGCCTGCCTCAGCCTCCCAAAGTGCTAGTTTTACAGGCGTGAGCCACTGTGCCCAGCCCCCATTTCATTTTAGAGGGTCAGAGGCATAAAACCAAACCTCCATGCATTCATGAGGATTACTAAATTGTGCAGCCACTTTGGTAGTCTGGTAGAGCCTCAAAATGTTAAATATATAGCAACCATATGACCCAGAAATTCCACTCCTAGGTATCTAATCAAAAGAAATAGAAAAATATCCACTTGTGCACAATGTTCATAACAGCCAAAAAGTGGAAACAACCAAAATATCCAGTAATTGAAGACTGGATACACAAAATGTAGTATATGCATGGGATATTACTTAACAATAAAAAGGAATGAAGTGCCAATACATGTTGCAACATGGATAAGCCTCAAGTGAAAGAAGCCAGCCACAAAAGATCATACATTGTATGATACATTCCATTTTTATGAAATAACACAGAATAGGCAAATCTATAGAGATAGAGAGTAGGTTGCTGATGGCTATGGCTATGGTGGATTTGGAAAGGAGGGGAGGGAAGTGGGTAGGGCTAATGGGTACAGCATTTCTTTTGGGTGCCACTAAAATATTCTAAAATTAGATTGAGATAATTGATTGAGATAATTGAGATAATAGGTTGAGATAAGTCTGTAAGAATACTAAAGACGTTATTTGTACACTTTAAACACGTGAACTTTAAGATAAGTTACATCTCAGTATGCTTTTTTCTAAAAAAAAAAAAAAAAAGAAAAGGAAAGAAATAAATATAAACTCTGCCTGGAATGCTCATACCAAGAAACTAGCATGACTTGTTTCCTGCAAGAAATATCTGGGAAGTTCTGTTTATACTTGAACAAAAGGTATGTCCCACCACTGATAGTGCCACAGTCTCTCTGTTGGAGTTATTTTGCATAGCGTGAAACTAGAAAGCAAAGCACAAAAGGATGGTGGAAAAAGCAGTTGGCAAACTACTGCTCATGAGAAAAATCTAGCCTGCCACCTCTTTTTGTGAATAAAGTTTTATTGGAACACAGGCATAGAAATGTGTTTACATATCATCTACGACTGCTTGCACATTCTAACAACAGAGTTGAATTTTTTGCAACAGAGACTGCATGGCCCAAGAAGCCTAAACTATCTACTATCTGTCCTTTTACAGAAAAAGTCTGCTGTCTTCTGCCCTGGGCTCAAGAGCTTGGACTCAAGAGTCTAGAGTCTTGCAACTTGAATTATGGTCCACATACTAGCAACAGCAACAGCACCTGAAGCCTGTTAGAAATGCAGAATCTCAGGCTGCCCCAGACCTATTGAACCCAAATCTGCATTTGCGTAAGGTAGTTGTGTTAGTACAAGAAGTAGATGCCAATACAGGATTAAATATGTAGGATTTTACTGGGGGGGACAATTCCGAGGAAATATAAACAGATCCTGAAAAGGCTGGGAGAGACATCAGTCATTGCTGCAAGTCTGACTCTGAAGGAAAAAAAAGAGGGAAGGAAGGTGGGATGGAAGTGTTGTTGACTACAGTGCAGTCTAAGGAATTTCCTGCAAGGCCTTTTTGAGTCCTCCAGCCAAAGTCAATGACTGTCTCTCAGGAACTGGTCTGCCTTTAACCATGCCACCCCAGGGATCTGTGGCCTCAGTGAAAATGCAGTGATGTGTTTCAGAGCACAGCGCCTGGGGTCCTTGGTCCATGAAACTGCCTGCACTGTGCAAGACGTACTTACATTGCACCTGCTGCCAGGTGTATTGCCATGGCAGACATCTTAAGAATAGTCTCAGCTGATCTCTATTCACACTGAAGTTTGAGAAGAAATGCTCTAAAGTATGAGTTAGCAAACTTTCTACAAAGGGCCAGACAGTAAATATTTTGGGCTTTGTGGGTCAGAAGGCCTCTTTTGCAACTACTTACCTCCACCAGTTAGCAGGGAAGCCACCACAGAGAACACATAACCAACATGGGTGTGGATGTGTGCCAATAAAACTTTATTTACAAAAACAAGCTTCAGCTTTAGACCTGATGTGACCCATAGGCCATAATGTGCCAACCCCTGCTCTAGAGTTCTGGGGTTTAAACTTCCTTAAAGTAATTAAGCCCCTCCTTCACATGAAACAGGTAAGGGAGGGGATGCTCCTATTGAAGGTGGAAAGGGAGCCCTGTACTCAGTGATTTCCCCTCAGAAGCTCCTAAGACACCTCAGTAGGCAGCAAAAACAGAATCTGAAAGCCACTGCCCTGGATCCCACAAAGAGACTCCAGTTTCAGAAAGTTCCCTCCACCCTTTTATTCATCCTTAATGGACAGTCAGCTGTCTAAATTTCTATTTTGTCTATTCTACAAACATAACTGAGAGTCCCTAATACTGTGCTAGATATTTTGGAATCACAAAAGTTAATCAGACATGCATTTGCCTCTGGAGGAATTACCAGTGGATAGAAATGAGACATGCACATAACAAATAAGGCAGGAAGCAATATGCACCCTAGGAAACCACACATGAAGGGCCCTGGAAGCAGAGACATAGAGAAAATTACTTTCCCATAGGGATGAGGGGCATGGCCACAGGCTTCGAGAAAAAGGGTCATAGTCACAGTCTGTTTCACTTCTTAAACCAGATATCATACAGCCCCTCCATGTTACTCTCTTCTTGAGGGCCATATAGCCACATGATAAAACCTTCTACACAAAGATGCTAATTTACAACCATCAGGGGCTATGCCCTGTTCACACAAGTCAACTCGTGCAACTCGTACTCATCACTGTGGGTAAATCCATCCCCAGAAACCAACAGCAAGCCCTCACATCCATGGGTCGTCCATGCTTAGGGCAGGTGGCCATGACTTTGCTGCACATGTGGATCCTAACCAGGGAGCAGAGTTCTAATGTGGAGGGAACTGCACAGTTCCACAGGATTCTTGGAGGACAAACACTCTGACTTCAAACCTTGCTGTGATATAGGAAGAAGCAACTGAGGAGAGGGCCATGCAAACCTCATCTTCAGGAAGATTCTGGGAAAAGTATAGATTTGTCTCTTCACCTGTCATTGAGTCCTATTGGATAAAGGGAGAGATCCCACACGTGGCCTGCCTTTTACATTCTCTTCACATCTACGTGAATCTGCCTTCTATGAAGCTCCATATTCTATGTGGATGACACCCTCCACCTTGAGTACAAACCTCCCTTATTGGGAGAAGGGGATGTTTCAGCATTCTGTGAAATCTCATTTCTTAGATGTCAAAAACAACAACAACAACAACAACACTTACCAATATAGGCCTTAAACAATAGGTTTTATACATAATGTCAGCAGACCCTGGCCATCAAGAAATCGTGAAGGGTCTTGATATGGTTTGACTCTGTCCCCACCCAAATCTCATCTCGAGTCGTAGCTCCCATAATTCCCACATGTTGCAGGAGGGACCTGGTGGGAGGTAATTGAATCATGGGGGTGGGTTTTTCTGTGCTGTTCGTGTGATAGTGAATAAGTCTCAGGAGATCTCATGGTTTTATAAATGGGAGTTCCGCTGCGCACGCTGTCTTGCCTGCCACCATGTGAGACATGACTTTCCTCCTCATTCACCTTCAGCCATTGTTGTGAGGCCTCCCCAGCCATGTGGAACTGTGAGTCCATTAAAGCTCTTTCCTTTATAAATTACCCAGTCTCAGGTATGTCTTTATCAGCAGCTTGAGAACAGACTAATACAGCTCTGAACGTTGTGTGAACTATGTGAACATGTTCATTTTTCTAGGGAGTGGACATAGCTTTCATCAGATTTTCAAAAGGTTTTATGGCCTCCAGAAAACTTTAGCACTGTTGTCCAATTTATTCAAAATAGTACTGCTCAGGCTAAAAAGAATGGATTTTTTTAAATAAAATAAATGAGCCCTTTGGGGCCTCTGATTCTACTGCATTTACAACACATTAGACTGTGTTGTAAAAAAAGTCTGTTTACCATCATTCTCATTTTACAATCTAGCAAACTGAATTCCTAAGAAATTAAAGTGAATATTCCACCTAAGGAAAAATGATAGGTTAGTGGGTTAGAACCAAAGACAAGCAGGTTAACGTGCTGCTCCCAGTAATGATTGCCTCCCACTGTTAGCTCCTGCCAGGCCATGAGTAAACACAGTGGCCAAGCCCTATGGTGGGCACTTTACATACATGACTTGTTCAAGCATCATAACGACTCTGCAAGACTTTGTCTTATTTTTCATTTTTTGGAGCTTTTTTCATTTTTATTTAAATGGAATGATATTTTGTATACATATATTTTTCTCCTTTTTCCATTTGAGGAAATGAAGGCATAGAAAAGCTCAATGGATCGCTGAAGACCACAGCCCTGATAAGCGTCAGAGATGGAATCTGTTGCCAGGTTGGCCTGCCTCCCAAGTTCTACACAAGCATATACTCTAATGCTCGGATCCTCAGAGGAGGAAAACTTGTCTTCATGTCAGGGACAGTTTCTTAGACATCTTTGTGCTCCCCACAGGGCCTTGCCGTGCTTTGCATGGAAGGCACTCAATAAATATTTGTCGGATGAAGAAACCTGGGCTCAGGCTCCAATTCTGCCATGGACTTAGTGACTCAGTCTCCTGCAACTTGGAGCTGCAGGTGGTTACTCAGCTGGGCAACTTCAGGGAACATTTGAAATCAATTATGGGTGAGGAGGAACCTATTAAAATCTTCTCTTTTGTGTATGTTGGGGTTAAAAGAGAGGAAAGGAAGTTGAGAAGGCGGGAAAGGAACAGGATGGTTTCAAGGTTGGGTGCTGGAGCTTAAAAGTTACACACGTGGATGGGACAGAATTTGGCTTACGTCCAGTTCTCAGTTCCAATGGCCCAACCAAATGGGCTCCTGACCTCAGTCTACTCCTAGGTGGCCACATGGCCCTGAGCTGCCAGGCCCCTGACTAGCTACTCTTACAGAGGACTCTACAGTGGAGCAGTTGTACACAGTCCTCTCCTACACCTTGGTTGTTCTGTCTCCGCTATGGGAAATAGGCCACTTCAGAAGATCTACCTTGCAGGGACCCAGGTACCACGTCTCGCCTTCTGAGGGCCAGAGAGACGTTCAGCACCCAAAGCCTGTGAGCTCCGTGTTGTCCTCAACTCTAAATAAATGTATTCTGGCAATTCATTCTGGAATTCAACTTTCTATTTTGGAAGAATGTGGGAGTTTGGAGTGGGGGAGGGAGAGGGGAAACTTTAGTTGATTTTCTTTTCTTTACTAGTTGCTAAAGTGCAAGTTAGTCACAACCCCAAAAATGTCACTTTTGCCCTTTCACATAAGCCCCGCAAAAAACACTTGCATAAAGCTGACCCCAAGGGATGCCAACGAACAACATTCTGGGAGAGGACAATTAAATACACACAGCCCAGAGCCAGGGCAGGACAGTCCTCCAAGAAATCAGAGACATTCCCCACTACGTGGCTGCCTACTCTCCTGTGAATGAAGCAACACTGCCACCTAGTGTTCCGTGTAGAAAGTATCCTCTAAGACCCCCGCATCTGGGGCTGGGGAGGGGAATGTTCCTCTGTAAATTGCTATGGCTGCATTGCTTGAAGTCTCTGTTGAATAAAAAATGCCCTAAATTGGGTAGATTAAGGATTGGGAAACTGGGTTTAAGTTGAGTAGGTAGAAGCTACGCTTTGAGAGCTGTTGAAAAAAGTGTAGGGGCCAAGTCTTGCAGCACCTCGGATCATTCCAAGTGGAACAGCAGAATTGCTGAATTGTATGTGGCTCCCAGGGACATGATTCTATTGTCATTCTGCATAGGTGAAGGCCAGCCATCGTAGGAATAGACAATGACCAGCTCAGGGGCGAGTGCTGTATGGTAAGAGAAGGAAGATGGACTGGTCTGTCCACAGGCATGAGTAGATTAGGGTAAATGCCTTTGGCAACATTATGGTTCTCAGGCATGGAGAGCACAGGTGAAGTGTAAGCAGCTAAGCACAGTGAGTACACAAGGATGCCCAAGCCCTCAGCAGCCCTGTTGCTAGAATCCCAAAGAATGAAACCATGTTCCCAACCTCCATCTTTCCCAGACCTTTACCCTACATCTTTACTGAATATTTTCTGATGTACAGAAATCTAAAGAAAAATATAGAGTGGTAAGTGGAGATGAGATAGCCCTGGGCATTCCCTGCCCTCAACCTTTCTGGTGTAGACCTAAGAGGGGAAATACTGGTACACCACAAGGGACACTTTGATTTGAAGAGAAGGAAAATTCAGAAGCTAGACAGTCTGCAAAAGATTTTCTGCCCAATTTTACATGCTTACGGTTAAAAGAGTTCAGACGGGCACTTTAGAGAAGGATCTGAGTGTGTGCTGTGGCAGTGTTGGCAGGGGTTGGAGGCGGTGGACAGGTGGGCAAGGTAGAAAGACGTCCTGGGGTGGGGATGGGGGAGGTGCCACAAGAAATGCTGTAACTGGAATCAAATCATGACACTGCTTTCCTCTGTGCAGAGCATCAGACAGGACACAGGAGGGACAGGACAGGGGTCAAGTTTCCCCAGGTTTGGCCTCTAGTAACCCAAAGCAGCAGCCCCTTAGAGCCACCCACATAGACTCCTATTGGATCTTTCTCTCATTTTTTTTCAGCCAGGGAATTGATCCCCGGTCTTTATGTTGCTACTGCAAGAGGAGGGGTAAGCAGAGTCGTGGGTCTTAGTCTAGACTGCAAGCACACAGTTTCCCTGGCAGATGGGTACTAGGAAGCAAGATTAAGCAGCAAGAAGATGTCATCTGGGAGAAATTGTGGAGCTGCCAACTCTGATCAGATAATCATCTCATTATTTCTTCCATTTGGCCCCAGAATAAGGATTTCCTTCTACTCTTTCTCTTCCCCCACCTAACTTATAGCCCAACCCTTATTTCTCCCCTTTCCCCACTCCCTCTCCCACCCAAAAATAAAATACAGCAAAACCACAAGACTTGAGAATGCTCAGTGTCTGGGAATCCCAGCTTCCGAAGGAGAAATCACAGCCAAAGAGGGGGAGACAGAGTGTCCGGAAGGGATGTTCCAGCAACACCCCCTTGAAAGAGGCTCCCTCCTTGCCGACTTCTTTCCCTAGTCTGAAACTTTGCAGGCATCCAGTAACCTGAGAATATTTTCTTAATTCGGAAAATCTTCAAGCGATTCAAGTGTCCTGGAGTTCTATTCCCAGCCTGCCTGGCATGCCTTTTATTGCCTCAGTTTCCCCATCAATATAATGGGACTGGAAAACATGAAAGAGCACTGTGGATAATTCAAATTAAGCAGATTATATGGTTCTACTGTGCACCTTGCTTTGTGTTAGGTTCTGTCATGGGGAATTCAAAAGGATAAGGTACTAAATGATGAAATATCATGTCTAATCCATGACCCCTTGCTTCATTCCAACTTTCCCAGTAAGGCAACAGGGAACAGTTACTCTTAACCTCATTTTTCTTTGCCCTTCTGGGTGACTTTCCATGAAAAGCAAGATCTGTGTGTAGTGCAAACAAATGTGGGTCATGTTCCCAGACCAGTGCTCCTGATCAAAATCATGGAGTTATAAAAAGTTTCATTTTTTAGGTCCTTCTTACAACAACAGCAGGCCTAGAAGTCAGGATCTTGGCTTGTAAGTGCTCACTTTTTCCAGTGGACCCTACTGTTCCTAAGCTGGACACATGATTGTTGTGACAAAGTGGAGGGACCTCCAGGACCTGGACCAAAGGGCACCTTTCTGCCAAGATCCAGGGCACTCAGAGAAAAGGAAACCAGGCAGGACCTGACGGCTGTGTACCTAGCAGCCTTGTTTCCTCACCACCTGGACCAGCCCAGGCATGACTCATTGCTCAGGTCCTTGGATTCTCATCTGTCTTCAAGGTTGCCTGGGTATCTCATATTGGTCTACCGGAAATGGAGTGTGACACCCCTTCTCTTTTGGCAAAGAACCAAGGAGCTCTATCCCTTTAAAGACAGGTAAGAGAGCTAAAGTCTCCTAAGTGCAAGCACAATGTATACAAGGACATGAGATCAATACAAGGTACAGAGGCTGATATGGCTAGAGTCATTATCTCCTTTTTGATGGTGTCTGGAATCCTGCCGTGCTGATTAATAAAGGCCCTTCCCCCTCTCCCTGGCTAGCCCTTTCTGGCTTTCCTGTTGGGTCCCCTTCCCATCCTCGCTCCCTATGTCTAACCCGTCAGAAATAAAGCCAGCCATACCCTCAGGATTTCAGAAAGCCCAGGAGAAGGGTGTTACCTGCGATGATGGCTGGGTTGTTCTGTCCTCCCTCCGGTTTAACCCAGGCTTCCACTGTGAACGCCTCCCGGGGAATCTCAGCCAGCACTTCTGGACGCAGCAGCAGCCGCTCCCGCCTCCCAGAGAAGTATAAGATGGGCAGTCCTACTTGGGAGTTAAAGGTCTCTGCTTCTCGGTAGGAGCCCTCTCCACCATTTTGGTTGCTTTCCTCCGGTGGACTCTTTTTGACCCTGTGTTTAAGGGAATGCTTGGGCCAAGGTTGGAAATGTGAAGAGATACCGGAGTCTCCCTGCCCATCTTCCGCCCGCCTCTTCCACACTTGGCGACGCTGCCTGGACTTGGCCCAGCCCCTCCTTTGGGTCTCTGGTTTGGGTTCGTTCAGGGTTGTGAAAATGGCGGTGGTAGTAGTGGCAGCCATGGCTGAGCCTTTCTGAATCCCGGCCTCACCTAGAGACTCCTTGGATCTTTGATTGCCGAGATAAGCGTCATCATCTCCCAGCAGCTCAGATTGCCCAATAGGACTATCCCCTACCCATGGGGCAGCCGGCTCTTCAACTGCACCCCTCAGTCCTGCTGGATTTTCAGTCAGGTCTGGGGGAACAAGGCTCACAGCATTTCCTTCAGTGTCTGGTTTGCTGCGTCCTGTATGATGGATTTCTTGCTCCCCCACGGGGTAGGGCCTTAGGTAGTTCCCAGCCCTGCTGGGGTAGACTCCAAAGAGGTGATGCTGTGGAGAAGCTCTGGGTCTTCGAACCTTGGCCCCCAGCCAACAACGTTCTCCTTCCAACAGCACCTGATTCAGGTGTTCCCTCTCAACCAAGGATTTCTTGCGTGTCCAGCCCAGCTCAGAGTTGGCAGAACAGAGTGCCCACCCAGCCAAAATCGCCAGGCTTATTCTTAGGATCTTTAAGCACATCATACCTCCCCTAGCTCTTTCTACAGAACCAGAAGTCAACTTCTGGGTACCACACCAGAGTGATGGGCAGACGAGAAAGAGGCAGCTAGCAATGGATTTGCAGTCACCAGGGAAACTGTTTTGTTCACAGACCAAACTTTTTCAAATAGCCCCAAGAATGCCTCTGCTGGCTACCTGTGCTGGCCGCTCTGCCAGTGTGGCTTCTATGCCTCCCCAGGGCATGTGCTTCCCGCACGCTTCTCGCTTGACCTCTCTCCTCTTGCTGTACTTTAGTCCTTGCAGAACGAAGTTAATTTCTCTTGGTTCCTTTGAATTTCCTCCCAGAAAGCTCAGATTTCTTTCTTTTTTTTTCCCCCCTTCTTCTTCAGTAATCCCTCCCCTCACTGATACTAGAAGAGAAGACCCACAGGCATGAGCCAAGTCTCTCAAATACACACTCACAAACACACACTCCTCGCTACCTGAAGTCATTCAAAATAATCTTATTCTCTAATTTTCATTTCTTTCTCTTCTTCCTTCCCTAGGAATTACCTTCTCTTTTTGTAGTCCCTAAGCCAAAATAAGTTCACCTTAAAACAAATTGCTAGAACTTTTACACAGAGACACGCAATTTGATGCTTCTTATTTTAAAATGCAAAAATAATCTAGGGGCACAAAAATGCAAGCTGGTACTTAACTTTCATTCTCCAGATGTCTTCAGCCAGGTCCCCATCCAGCCTCCAGTCTGTCTGTGAAGGTTAGAATGTTTCCTTCAGTTTGATGCTTGGGGTTGTTGGTTGTTGAAGGCTTTTAATCCCTCATCCAACTTGTTGATAGGTTGCAAGTCTCCGTAAAGTTCTTTGGGGTGCCAGTTTGCTGTTCTAATAACCTTATGAGTCTGGGAGCTCTTAACTTCACCTTCTGGGAGTCTTGTGGGTTCCTGGGAAGATCGGGAAAAGAGCAAAAAGAAGAGCATACACTTCAGGGGACCTGTTCTCTCCAGTCTCTCCTGCTCCCCTTGGCTCCCTTTCTGTCTGCCTGTAAATATCTTCTTGTTTTTTGTTTTTGTTTTTGTTTTTGTTTTCATTTAAAGACAATGATGATGTCAAAGCTAGTAAGTTCAATGCATCACTCCACCTACTCCTCCCTGTCCCCTCCTTCCTCCTGAAAACCTACCCACCTCACCAAGGCACAGGGGACAGACGCTACTCTTGGTTTCCCCAGTAAACATCTCGGGCTTTCTCTTTCAGCAGCCGCAGCCTACACAATCAATAGCAAAAAATCAATAGTGTTTTGGAGTACTCTTCTCTGTGTGTATTCTCCCTCTCTCTCTCTCTCTCTCTCTCACACACACACACACACACACACACACACTTACTGTGAACAGATCTACCTACTGCCTAATAAGCCCACACTAACCTTTTAGGGATCCCTTGTATTTTTCTTTTGTTTTGTCACAAACAAAACAAAGTATTTTTTCTTACTTTGTTCAATCATTGGGGATTTAAAAGAACAATATCTTAAATTCACTTTAAATCGGACATGGGAGAAAGGAGAAATCAAGTATCCTGCTGTGAGAAGTACTAAATGGAAATGCCATGAATTCATACTACATAGGTCTCCTTTTTATCTCAGAAGTTTCTCAATCTGAAGTTACTAAAAGTCACCATATGCTGAGTGAGCAAATAAACAATGAGATGTTCAAAATAAGTAATTTACAAAAATGAACAGCTAGACCCAAGGAACCATGTTTCCAATTGATTTGAAATGGATGGAAAGGATGGGGAAGAAAATGTCATAATTTTAACCTATGCAGTGTTTGCCTAGATGCCTAGATAAAGGCTTTCTCAAAGGGCCCCCACACCCTAAGTGCATGTGCGTGTACACAAATACACACATGTATACATGGACAAACACACGGCATGGTTCTGAATTCTTAACACAAGTAAGGATATCTGACCACAGGTGGTACAAAACAGTAGAGAAACACATTGGGTCCTTCATTCACATAATAAGAAAAATCACTTACACTTTTAAAGTCACTGCTTGTGTTGCCCACATCTAAAACATGCAGTCCACATACTCTGGAGTAAGATCGCACTGCCTCTTCTGCCTTGAGTCTCATCATCATCTTCTAAACTCCTCTACCCCAGCTAAGAACTGACTTGTTTGCATTATAAATGCTGTATCTTAAACACCTCATCCCCAGCATGTCCTGTTTCCTTATGTAGCATCCACTGGAGCCTCGATGCAAGTCCCCCAAGAAGATATCAACTCAGGCACATGGATGTTACTAAGCAGATACCCCTCAATCCTAGACTGCCCTTTTTCCTTCCCTTTACTTTTGACTCAGTTTTCTCTCTCTCTCTCCCTCTCTTTCTGAAGCAGCTCAAGAATAAAGATTAGGGCTCTAGGGAGGGGGATATAGAGAAAACCAGGAAAGCAGAGGGGAGAGAGAGAGAGAAAGAGAGAGAGAGAAAGCAGAAAAGAAAGGAGGGAAGGAAGAGAGGAGGTTTAGTTCAAGTAAAGGGAAGATACTCAGGTAAGAAAAGAAGTAAACTTCCCCCTCCCGCATGCCACCCCATAACCCTCAGAAAAAGGTTTCCTACCATTCATTTCAGGAAGGAGGGATAACACAGCCAGGAAGAAGAATTCCGCCTGCTTTTCTCCCCCTTTTAATGTGTAGGGATCTTGCATCCCCTATAGGTCTCTCCTGGCTCTCAGCTTCTAGTAATCCATTCATAAGGTTTCAAGAAGCTACACAAAACTCAAGCTTCCAGTTTAGTTTCTCTCTCTCTCCCTTCATTCCTTTGCTCACCACTCTCCTTCAGCTCTTGGCAGTCCCAAGTTAAAAAAAAATGTTGAACCATTTCTGTGTTTTCCTCCTGTTGTAACTTTTGCTGTGACATCATAACCCTGCCCACCAACACCCCACCTCCCTCTCCTTTCCATCCCACCCCTCAACAGCCCCATACCCGCAACACACCACCCCACGGAGAAGAAGGACTCCTGTCAGTTCCAATGTGTGAAAAACACAAAGCTACTAGAAGGTGCCCCCTCCCTCCCTCAGCCCCCCTCCTCTCTTCCCCCTCCCTGCCTTACCCACCGCTCAGCCTCGGCTCTCTCAAGGCTTTTAACAATGATCCCATCTGTTTGACATGTGCGGAAAGGTGGGCTGGATTCAAATAATCTGTCAAGTGAATCAGATCAAAAACACAGCAACCCCCTCCTCAATTCCATCACACATACACACCCCCGAGCAAAAGTGTGAGGGAAGTCAGGCTTGCACAGCACCCACCCTCGATGCCAGGGAGAAAGACACTAGACATGCCAAGGGAAACCCAAATTTATATAGACATAAATTCTGTTGCTATTTGTTTATGACAAACACCCACACCCCAAGTCCCCTACCCCTCTTCCCCAAACTCTGCCACTCCGCAAGTGCACAGACTTGAAAGCTGGTCGAATCTGTTTTGAAATCTCCAAGGAGAGGGTTTTTCCCCCTTTTTTTCACTCCAAAGCACTATCTGTGGCGATCAGACTGAGCAGGGTTGCCAGCAAATGCAGGAGGCCCCTTCTAGGGTACAGGCTTTCAAACCAGCGAAGCTAGAGGGAATGGATTTAAGGACACACAGCAGGAGCTGGCTGGATTCATTTTATTTTGACGGGGGTAGTTGGGGGAGGAATATCATTTCTGAAATGCCCAAGGAATGAAGGGAGAGGATATGGATTTCTTAAACAGTTTTTTGCAAGAGGAGCGGTGTCTTGTTCTGCAGGTAAATCTATAAGGCAAGAAATTGGAGCTTACAGATAAACAAGGACCAGGACGGAGAGGGAAAGGGAGGGAAAGGGAAAAGAGGAAAGCGAGGAGAGAGAGGAGAGGGGATGAGGAGATGGGAAAGGGGAGAGAGAAAAGAAGGGGAGAAGGACAGGCAGGGGTAAGGGGGGAAGAAAAGAGAAGAAAGAAGGAGGCGTGGGGAAAGAGGGAAAGGGGAAGGGAGCAAGGCGAGGGGGAGGGGAGAGATGGAGGAGGAGAGGGTAAAATGGAAGGGGGAGGGTAGGAGGACTAGGAAAAAGAGAAGATTCTGGGAGGAGAAAGAACTGGAAAAGAGAAGTAGAGAAGAGAAGAGGGAAGAATGAAACAGGAAGAAAAACTAGAAAGAGATGGTGAGGCACAAAAATATGGAGACCAGGAAGGCAGTTAGATCCATGATGATTAAACATAAAGAAATCTCAGAGGCAGGTGAAGGGAGGAGACACTATAACATGGGGTCGAGGTTAGGTTTTACGTACAGAAAACAAAGGACACACAGTAGGGGGACTGTCTCTTAGTGACTGGACACGTTTTACAAAATCCGATTGCAAGGCTTCAACATTGTCTCTTTAAGGGAACTCCTCTTCCCTCCGCTTTCCCTCCCTGCATCTCTGCCTCCAACTTCCACCTCCACCTTCTTTCTTTCACCTTTCATTTCCAGCATATCTTCCCCTGGAGAATTCATGAGTAAAATTCAGACACCCACCCCCCTAAAGAAACCCATTCTTCACAGCCCCTTCCTTTATTTCTATCCACAGAGGTTCCTGGGTCCTCTTATCTAAAGATTGGGCTGTTTGTGATCATCTGCACTTCATTTCAACCCAAATTATATGATGTTTCCTTTAAGCCCAGGACGTCAGGAGTGTTTTGCTTATATTTACTCCCATAGTGGGGCTGGTCAGTTTTCATTAGCTTTGTCATCATTATTATTAAGAGTCTTTGCACAAAGAGAGGAGCCAGTCCACGCTGGCATCCACCTGCAGTATACAGCATTAGCAGAGAGAGAACGAGAGAGAGAGCGAGAGCAAGACAGAGAGAAAGAGAGATGCCCCTTAATGTGGTCACTGATCCTCTTTGACTTTCTGGTTCCAAAATCTGATCCCTTGAAGGAAAAGCTCAGCTGGGAGCCAGCCAGGGAGCGTAGTAATAAAAGCCTCCTAGAACACAACCAAATGCGGAATCTATATATAGAAGCCAGATCTGTTTTAGCTACTTGCAGTCTAAAATGACACCCGGAAACAAACATTTCAGCAATATGTTTATTGGAATCTTATTCAGCTAGTGCTGGAAACAGGGAGCTTCTCTGAAAGATTTCACTCCAAGGCTCAGGGTTGCTGCTTTCTGCTCCCCTGGCTCTGGTGCTCAGAGATGGGAGTCGGGCTCTATCTTTCGGGGGTAACTTGTGATTCCTTCAGGGTAATCTACTACGGCCCCCTTTTTTCGCAGGTAAGGGAACAAGCACTAAGTCACACAATTAATCGCAGGGCCAGACATAGCATCAGGTCTCCTAAATCTCTGCCCAGCTTTTTTGCCTTCTCTGGCTACGCACTGTCTTCACCTGTCTGGCTGGTTTGCCAGCCATTTGTCAATTGGATGGGAAGGCAGTATCGAACACTGGCCTCCCAGGTTCCACATCCCGGCAAAAATGCCCAGGGCATATATGTTGGTCATATGTGTTCTATAACTCAGAATCACATAACACTCAGAAGGAAATGCAAATCTGGATTTCACCCTCTTCCCTGTGCGTTTTGAGCCAAGACAAGCCCTATCTTCTTGTGGAACTGTTTGGTGCTCCGTATGTCAGATATTCATTTTTTTTCCAGAATACAATTACCATTATAAATTATTAGCAGTGTTAATGGTCATGTTTTAAAAGCTACATTCCATCCAAATAGATCAAAGTATGTCATGGACAGGTTAAGTTTCCCAACACCTCGGGGGAGCAGTATGGTGAAAGCAATATGCCAGAGATCTACATTCCCTGGTGACAGTCCCTATTGGGTAAGTGTTTTCTGTAAGATTTTGAGGCTTGGAACTAGCTCGTGGAGCCCTTTGGCTGGGGGAGAGCTTAACAGTGATGCTGGGTTCTTCCCCGCTCATCCGACAAACAAAGGCTCTGCAGGGTTTATACTTCAATTAGGATTGCCTTTGTACCTGGAATCTCTTCAAAAGGCAACTTCATAACAAAAATAATGAGTACATTTGTACACTTGCATTTCCTCTTACTTAATCCACATTTGTATGCATTCTTTCTTTCTAACCACAACAACGTGAATGCAAAGCAAGTGTTAATGCCCATCTTACAGATGAGGACACTGAGGCTGAAACAGGTTAAACTACTTACCCACAGACCTGCAGACAGTAAGAACACAGCCAGAAACAATTTCAAATGCATTATGCTAAGTGAAAGAAGCCAGACTTAAAGGGCTGCAAACTGTGCGATTCCATTTCTATGACATTCTGAAAAAGGCAAAGCCTTGAGAACAGAGAATGGATCAGTGGTTACTAAGGGCTGAAGGTTGGGGAAATAGTTGAATAGAAAAAGCACAAAGAGATTTGGGGCTTACACAGCTATTCTCTATCTTGGTTGTGGTGATGATGCATGACTGTATGCATTTGTCAAAACTCAAAGAACTGTGTACTAAAAAAGGTTGCTATATGTAGATTATGCCTCAGTAAATGTTGTGGGGGTGGGCAGATAGAGCCAGGGGTAAGTCTAGGGTCTTTTAATTTTGCATACAGTATTCTTCTATCTACATCCTTCAGGTGCCCAAAGACCAAAAGATTGTGTGACATTGCTTGGTGGTGGTTAGGTGCTGCTCTGTGCCTGAACTCTCCACTGGCCATCTCGCCTAGACTCTGAGGGGACCCCTTAGAGCCGGGCTGGATGGAGCACTAAGCTGGCTTAAAGTTCCAGCTCCATCAACCCAGATGGCCTCAATAAATCAAATACTCTATTACCAAATAAACAATTATGCCCCTGTTCTGCCATTCAACAGCTGCCTGACGTTGGGCAAGTTAATGAACTTCTCTGAGCTATCTGTAAAATGAGAAGATTGGAATAGAAGACCTCTAAGTTCCCTTCCAGGTCACACTTGAGATTCTCTTATTTTTCAGCCCAACACTTTTCTAAGATTCTATCTTCTCATTTATAAAAGACAGCCAGTGCTCATTTCCTATAAATATACCAGAGACTCAAGTTTACATTAGCAGTGGGCACCTATGACATTTATTTTGGTCCTGAAAGAAAGCCATATATTCGAATGTGACTTTATTAAAAACACTGATATGCAGAAACAGGGGTACTGTGTGAAGAGTTTTAGAGCTTTGCTATTATATGGAAAAAGATGTCCTATGCATCTGTAGCATTATCACATATTTTGCAACTCAAATATAGAACACATGGCATTAGTATGAAAACACTTACATGAGAGCAGCTTTTTAAATTTGGTATTGCATTAGAATTTTAAAATGTGGTGATTTCCCTGAGATGGTAGTAGTATTAGCAATAATAAAAATTTTTACTTACACACTGTTCTGGCCACTTCATATATACTAATTGATTCAATCCTCACAACAGTCCTGTGAGGTGGGTGCCTCTATCATCCCCATTTTCAAATGATTTGACTCCCAGCATGAAAAAACCAGACTTTTCATGTCTTGAGTGAGGGCCCAATGCCTCCAAGAAATGTAGCCCATTTTCATCCCCATTTACAACTAGTAACAGTAGTAGCTAGCATTTATTGAGCGCATACCACATGCCCAGTGTAGCATCAATGTAAATCTATTATCTCATTTAATTCAACAATAAACCTGTGATATAGCTCCTCTATGATCCCCATTTTTAGATGGAAACACCAAAGCACAGAGTCAAGCGACTAAGTTCATTCGCCTGGAAAAGAACTGCGCGTTTCCAGAGCTCTCACTCATGGTCACCATACTGCACTGCCTTTTCATGAAGGGTGTAAATACACGCCATGATTTGACTCCCAGCATGACAAAACCAGACTTTTCCTGGTAAGTACGACTCAGTGATTCCTCTGGAGTAATGGAAAGATCTTTCTTGGGACTTTTCCTAAAGTCTCTATTGAGTGAGGGTCCAATGTCTCCAAGAAATGTAGCCCAGCCAACAGTAGCAGTTAGGGAAAGTCCCACTTCCGCCACTGCTAGAGTATCTTCCAGAGATTCCCCAAGAGCTCTTGTTCCCACTACCCTTGCTCCCCCAGATCCAACATGCCCCCATTAAAATCTAAGAGACAAATAGCCAACCAAATATAAATGGAAAACCAGTCATTTCCCCAACTCATTAACTCCATTTAGGAGGAATCATACAAGATAAATACATGTTATGTTTTCTATTTAACTGATACTGACTTTTTATACTAATAACAGCTATGAGCTGATAGTCTTAACAATTATCTATTAAAATATTTCATTTTCATCTAATTAAAAAATTAATAAGATATGACCATCTCTAATGTATCCTGCACTTTCCTCCACATGTCTGTATTAGTCAGCTTTCACTAGGTTATGTTGTGCTAACAACCAACCCCAGAATCACAAAGACAAGAGAAAAGGTTGATTTTTCGTACATGTTACATGTAGCTGTGGGTCGGCACCCCACATTTTTTAAAAAATCCTGGAATGGAGGATAAAGGAATAGCTTCTATGGGACATACCATTGTTGTGGTAGAGTAGTGGTTCTTAACCAGAAATGATATCACCTCCCAGGGGATATTTTATCAATGTCTCCAGGCATTTTTGGTAGTCACAACTGAGAGATGGATACTGCTGTCATCTAGTGGGTACAGGCTAGGGATGCTGCTTAACATCTTCCAATGCGTAAGACAGACCCCATCTCCACCAGCAACAAATAATTATCTGGTCCAAAATGTTAATAGTGAGGTTGAGAGACCCTGTGTAGAGGGAAAATGAGCAATGACAAACCATGCAGTTGCTCTTAAAGTTTTTGCATGGGTTTGGCACAGGTCATTGCTACCTGTTTTCTATTGGCCAAAGTAAGTCATGACAACCAAGGCAGATGTCATTGAGGCAGGGCAGGAAACTCCTCACACAAGGATAGTCTACAAAAAGTCACATAGCAATAGACATGATTATATAATCTTCCTACAGGGATAGGAGCAAATTATTGGGAACAGTAGTGTAATTAACCACAACTTACTTAACTGAATTGAGGCAATGAATGAAATGATGCCCTAGGGTTTCAATCTATCTCAGAATGGTTGGTAGGTGGGTGGCAGTGGGGTAAAATGTATTGAAGGCTTAGGAGACAGACCCATGAAAAGCTGAGTCTTTTCAGATGAGCTATATGAACAGGCTGACATAAAGTTTCTATATCTGCAAAAGAGAGGTGCTAACATCTATCACACAGATTATCCAAAGGATTCATGAAATATTACATGGCAACTTCATTGTATAGTGGGTGGCATAGAGACACGCATGAGGATTGTGGTTATTAATTAACTTTTACCAGAAAACTTCCACATGCAAGCCAAAGGTTCAGAATACTTTGGCCCACTGTTTTGATTCATTTTGATCTCATCATTTTGACCCATTAAATCATTTCAATGACACCATTTTTGGTCCTTGGAAACAATTTTACCTCACATTACAAAAATAAATACTAAAATTTGAAATTTATTGATTTAGCAATAAAAAGCAATCACAAAATCAGCATTTTTCCAAAAGTAATTATATTTCAAGAGGGAAATTTATTAAGTCATGTTACTTCTTTGATCAATTCCTATCGATGTGGTTAAGTATTTTCATTATTTTCTATTTGTATGTTTATTTCACTAAAATCAATTTTCATCCAAACCAATTCTTAGCTTTTGTTCACATGAGACATCAATTACAGCTTCAACTGTCGTGCATTCTCTTTTGCAATAATTATTGCTACTGAGTCCAATTTTCCCAGGACAAATGTTTCATGTGTAAATTCACATATAAATGTGCAATTTTATTTTATTCCTTATCAGACTGATTATATTGACTATTCCTATTGTTAATATTCATTAGGAGTTGGGTAAAGTTTTTGACTATTTTTTTTGACTAATAGAAAAATGTGAGCATTTTTTCTCAAATATTCTAGAACTACTCTCTTATCCAGGACTGATTGCCCTATCATATTCCCCACCCAAATTGTTTTCAATTACTCAACTATCCACTCCAGAGGAGAAGAGAAAATAAAGTAACACCACCAAAATGTCCCAGGTAAAGAGAGTGCAGTGAGGTGAGATGGATATCTAAATTATGGCATCAAAATGGGTAGCAAAAATCACTCTGCTTCAGCAAGGGGCATTACAGGTTTTAGAGCAGTGTTTCTCCAGCTGTCCAGGAAGCAGCCCTAGACAAAGGAGAGCAAATCTCATGTTTTATCATTTAAAGTAAACAAATAAATAAAGTGTGCATGTTACTCTACAGTACAACCTGTCCATACTTATTTTGACATTAATTAACCTTGAGTTAAATTGATATTCCAGGAACAAATGCCATATTAATGCTCTGTTTCTGCCTTCCTCTTGCACACTGCCACCTTCCTCAGTTTGGTAAGTGTGCCTCAAAAGAATCCAAAGAAATTACATTTCCATGAGGGAGACCCATGTGTGCATTAAGAACTGGGCATTGGGCTGAGCACCAACTGAGACTCAATAATTTGACACCAGAAGGCAAGCAGGAAGAAAATAATTATGACTGAAAAAGAGTAAGAGAAACTCTAGTTCACTGCCCACCTTTTCATCCTAGCTAAAAGAAGGCTATGACATTGTGGTTTATAATAAGAAGTATGCATGGTCATCCCTCAGTTTCCATAAGGAATGGGTTCCAGGAACCCACTGAGGACACCAAAATTTGAGGATGCTCAAGTCCCTTATATAAAATGATGTAGTATTGGCATATAACCTACACACATCCTCCCAGATGCTTTAAATCATCTCCAGATTACTTACAATACCTAAATCAATGTAGGTTCTCTGTTAAGTAGTTGTTATACTATATTGATTATGGTATAATGGCAAGAAAAAAATCATGCACAGTTTCAGTTCAGGTGTATTATTTATTTATTTATTTATTTATTTATTTATTTATTTATTTATTTTTTCTGAGGTTGGTTGAATCCATGGATGAGGAACACAGTTATACAGAGAGAAGGCGACTATATTTGGTCTTTGTCCCAGGTACTGGCACACAGCTCCTAAAACCCTCAAGATTTCCTAAGTGATAGGGGAGACAAAGGTGAAAGGAGCATTTTTTGTTATTCGTAGCAAGCTCCTTCAATCACACCTGAGCTTATGTTAAGGAGGTGACTTTTGGAAAGCCCTAAGACTGGGGACTGATTATAAGGGAAACCAGCCATATGGTTAGAGGGCTGGAATTTTCAGCCTCACCTCTTTGACTTCCAAGGAGGGGAGAAGGGATGGAGATTAAGTTTAATCACCAACGGCTAATGATTTAATCAATCACGGCTAGATAAAAACCCAAAAGGAAGAGGTTCAATTAGCTTTCAGGCTGTTGAACACATGGAGATACTGGGCAGTTGGCTGGCTGGAGAGGACATGGGAGCTCCGTGCCCCTTCCCCATACCTTGCCATATGCATTTCTTTCATCTGGTTGTTTCTGAGTTGTATACTTTTTCAGTAAGCCAGGAATCTAGTAATAATCTGCTTTCCTGAATTATGTGATCTTTTCTAAGCAAATGATTGAACCTAAAGAGGGAGGTTTATGGGAACCTCAGATTTGTAGCCAGGTTGAAGAGAAGTTGTGGGTAACCTCTCATTTGCAATTGGTGTCTGAAAGTTGGGGGAGAGCAATCTTGTGGGACTGAGCCCTTAACTTGTGGGATCTGCACTAAGCCCAGGTAGATAGTGCGGGAATTGAATTGAATTGTAGGACATCCAGTTGTCATCCACAGAGAATTGAAGAATTGCTTGGTGTGAAAGAAAACGCCACTCAATTGGTGGCCAGAGGTATTGCATATGAATATAAAGAAAAACAGTCGGGATTTCCTACTCGAAAGTATTTGAGGAATGACACAGAGTACCACTCAGCATTTAGAACCTGAGCTAACACCTGGAATTCTAGATCAGAGCTGACTCTAAGATAGGCCATCAGTGTTTCCAAATCAAGTGTTAATATAACAACTGGCATTTATGGAACAACTCCTACATTTCTGTACTAAGCACTAGCCATGCATCCTGTCATCAGAGCCAGATATTATTAATATTGTCATTTTTATGTATGCAAGCGTTGACACTTGAACTACTTAAGACACTTGTCCAAGACTATTACAGACTGCAAACAACCGGAGTGAGGTAAATCAGCAGGTCTCAGTTACACAGTGTTTCTACAAGCCTGACATCAAGATTGAGGTCTTCCCTAGGCTCTGGATATCCCCATGAAAGTCCAGCATCTAGAGGTGAGGAAACTGGGGACACACTAGGGAAATGCCCTCTGATCTAACACTAAATCCCAAACCTAAGAAACTTAAATGATAGAGTCTATTTCTTGCTCACTGAGACCCAGTACAAGAGTTGCTGCTGATGAGTGGTGATTCAGTGACTCAGACCCCTGCCATCTGGCTTCCACCCTCCCTTACAGCCTTGAAGTCCACTGCCTTCAGCTAGTAAGTAGGGAAAGAGAGATGGCCCACTTCTTAACCACTCCATCTTGGAAGTGACACAGATCACACGTCATTGGAAAGAAATAGTTACTGTCTTCACCTCAAACCTAATGGGCTGAAAATACAACCCCTTGCTGGCAACAGCGTCCTTACAACTCTACACCATGGGAGAGGCATAGAATCCCTGACAGACAATTTGTGCCACAAGAACACTCTCAGTCCTTCCACCATCCCCAGGTGTGGCATTGGAGATGAAGGAGAGGAAGGTGGGGGTGTTCTGACCTAGTCAGTGAGGTTCTGAAAGTCTTGGGGTAGTTCCTCAAAGAAGTCAAAATTGAATAAGAAGCTGAGCTAAACCTCCACAGGAAGACATCAACCACAAAGTTAGAAGGGGAGTCTGAGGCTCCAGAAAGTGACCAAACAGAAGAGGCCAGGTGCAGAGATGAAGCTGGAATGTGGGGCTCAATATTGAGAAGGCAGAGAAAGGAGAACAAGGGGATTGAGGGTAAACTCCAGGTGGGGGCTCTGGAAGGATTTCCTTAAACAGAGTCTAGTGCTTGTGTACAAAGCAATGGAGGTGAGAGTGGGCTGGTTCCAGGGCTGGGGACAGCATGGACAGGACAGCAGCACTTTCCATTGACACACATATGGAAGAATAGGTGGCCACACATGGACTCCCCAAAGCCTAGCTGCCTCTTCATCATAACTGCACTTCTGTATAGTGCCACCCCCAAGACGACGGGGAACGTGAAGAAGCCAACACTGATGTTTAGAATTCATTTTCACTCTATCTGAAATAGAGTAACAGAG
Organism: Homo sapiens; assembly: GCF_000001405.40. NCBI lineage: Eukaryota > Metazoa > Chordata > Mammalia > Primates > Hominidae > Homo > Homo sapiens. The sequence continues at coordinate 176,543,084 of NC_000001.11, read as the reverse complement.
ATGTTGTAGGTGGTTGTGGAATTCCTCCCACACTTTGAAACTGCAAGGAAAGGAGCCACAGTCCAGGAAGTTGTGGCAATGCAAAGTTAAAACTGTCTTTTTGAAGGAATTAAAAGAACTCATACTGGAGAACTTTTGTAGAGCCTACAAGATTTTAAATATATTGGAAAGGAGTTCCTGTTGCTGGTCTGTTATTAAACAATTTGTTTTACTGATGAAACGTGGTTCATGTGTAAATATCATTTCAAAACAGATATGCCCCTAGATGTCTTTAGGAAAAGGAGCAGACCTACTGAACAGGACATTTTACCCTTCCTAAATCCCATTCCAGCCCAACCTTTCCACAGATCTCAGCCATAGCAGGAGCAGGAAATCAAACCAAGGCAGTCTGAGCCCGTAAGCTTGTCAGATGTCCTCCTACCCATTCAACAGAGATCCTGTCCAGTAGGGGCCAGGGGGAAGTTCAAGCTTGTCTTCCACAGACTAAACTGGCCAATGGGGTATCGTTGAGGGGGCAGGCTTGGTAGACTGGCAAACATTGTTCTAGTCTGGGCTCTGCCCCTATTGCCTGTGTGGCATCAGACAGCACAGGCTGTCTGACAGCCTGTAACAAAGAACATTTCTCAGCAATGGATCCAGCACAGAGGAAGCATTTGATAAACATTAGCATTACTAAAGAAGTCAGCTGCTTCAAATCTTCAATCCTACATTTTTTTTTTATTTTAAACTTTCTGTCACTCCCAAGGGTCCATTTTGATATCATTTCTCACCATACTCAAATAATTAATCCTTTCCTATGTCCCAGTTGCTCCTATGTTTGTCTAAAACTGTCACTCAATCTTGTCAGTCTCAGAAATCCCATTTTTATGGCAAATATTTGGTTTTGAAAATCCAAACATAGTATGACCTACCTTATATAAATTCAAAAAAAGTGAATGCTCTATCTATAAGAGGAAATAATTTACAATGAAATAATAAAAATGTTCATGTGTAAATACTTCTGACACAACTAGATTAAAAGACAAAGTAATCAAATGCTTGAACCTACTTCCTGTGAACATGTTCAGACTTCAGGAAAATAAGAAACTATTCAACAAACGTGATAGGTATTTTTCTTTATGTTGACATTTTGAATTAAGTGCTAACAAAGTGTATCACTATGTATTTGTAGAGTCAGCATGACTACAACAGCTCCAAACGAGGCTGATTCTGGTGTGTGGTCTGAGTGACTCAGATACTGTGGGCAGCATTGCATCAATGGTGTGACTTCCCAAAATGGAGAACAACTCTTGGTGAAATTAGTGAACAAATCAAAAGGCAAGCTTCCTTCAATAACATGGTAGCTGCCTTCTTGGGAATGTATATTTAAAGAGTACAAAAAATACTTCTCGTTAAAGTGTTTATATCAAAAATGGAATGAGCTTCTCGATGTGGATCATTATAAATGCATTTTTCATCTACGTGGATGTTTGGCATGGCATTCAAGAGTCAAGCAGGATGCAGGAAAATTTATTCAGTGGCACTATCTATGCACTAGAGGAATATCTATGATCCCTGGTGCCTGCCCAAGGATGCTAGGGGTGATTTCCAATTATTTTGATCTTAGCAAGGATGCCAGTGGTAATTTCCAATGATTGTGACATCAAAACTACCCTTACTACTTTCCAAAATGTCCCTATGGGACAGTACTTCCCCCATTGAGAACCACACATCTAAACTAAGGCCAAAATACTGTGCAGATTATTCTGGTATTCTGGCTGAATCCTGATGACAAATGTATTCGCTGTTAATGCACTGTCAAGATCCACAAGTGGAGAAATCATGTGGAAGCCTCTAACTGCATCTCTGTATGGTTTGTGGAGATAAAGCTGAAGCACATGCTCCTCAATAGTGGTTAGAACTGTGTGTCCCCTATATATACACAGATGTATAGAGCACATTCTATCAAGTGATCACTTTTCTAAATATCATCCAGGAAGCTTATCCTTGCTCAAGCAGCCATTTACTCAGTTCCATTGAGCTCCCATTACTGAAAAAATAAGTAGAGAACAGTGTCCAAGATTATAGATCTTGAAACTCCAATCATTGACTCTGGTTCTTAGCCCCAAATGCCACATAATGTGCCTCAAATTATCACTGAAAAATGTTGGTTACAGAGGCCAGGATCAACATAGGATTTGAGAACTTCTTGAGGTAAGCCAGTAAGAACTCAGAAGCCATGGTGGGGAGGCTCTAGTTGTCTCTGGTGGGAGATGATTTCCATAAAATGCTACACATGCACTCTGCTGGGGGGTGTTGGAGCTCTCACTTTACTTGGCTGAATTGAGAAGGTTAGGTTATCTGGTCACATGACTCAGAGTTTAGTGTATGGTACTGAGACATCTCAACTCAACATTTTGGCCTCATCTTGCCCTTTGAACTAGATCTTGAGTGAAAAGAAAGTTAAGTCATTGTGGCTTTACCTAATCTTCCAGGAAGCATAAGTTGAGCCCTTCTAGATACCAGCCACCACTGTAGATTCTGGGGCTACACCAGTAATGACATACTAGCACCGCTCTGGATTGCCTCACAGATACATTAGGGAGAAAGACACAGAGTGTATAAATTGTAAGACATTGCTATCAGTGCTATCTCAGAATTTCAAATGAAGCACTGCTAGGCACTAAGAATAAAGCAATCAACTCTTCACGCAGTAATCAAGGGCATTTCAAAGACAGAGTGATTTTTGAGCAGGGTCTTAAACAAAGACAAGGAGTTTTCAAGTGAAGGGCATTTCTAGAAAGGGAACAGCTTATGTAGGTAGCCCCAGTAGCTCTTTATTCAAGCCTCCAAAATACCATTTATTGCAATGTCTTGCAGTTTACCTACAGTTACGTCTTTCTACCCAATGACCCTGCACAGCAATTGAGGATGGTACTTGTGTCTTATTATTTGTGTATTCCCAGAGATCTGAAAAAACAAGTATGAAACCATGAGAAATTTTGACCATTGAGGAAAAGAAATTCCTAGAGAGAAGCAAATGGTCCCTCCCTTTCTTCTTCTTGCTAATAAAGAAGGTGGAGTCCTTCCCAGCAGACTAAGATCAGAAAGGGGATACAAAGGTTGGAACAGTACCCACAGCTTTCCAAGAGACAATGAAAACAAATACTATTTGAATAGCAAATGGCTAACTGATCCTCACTTCTCCTTTCAGCATCAGGCTCAGCCAAGGCTAGACCTGAAAGCAATGCATGGCCACAGCAAAATGTTCTGTGACTTTCCATCCAGCATGAGTTCTCCTGAGAATGGAACAGGACCAAAGTGGATTCCCCGTGGGAAAAGGGCAGAAGATCAGGTGTCCAAAGGGATCTTTGCTGGCCCAGGAGGAAGAGTGTTTTATTGGGGTAGCAGCACCCACTTCCTAGTGCACAAATCTCCTACTCATATGCCCAAAGCATACTATAGCTTGTTAGGAAAAAAAAAATCACATGACACTCAGCTGGAGTCATAACCAGCACCTTGAACATTCCTTTCTCTTTCTAGAGGTCTTCCCTCCACCCCAGACTGTGAGCCACTTAATGGGGTAGACCTTCCCTTATTTAGCTGTATGTCCCTAGGGCCTAGAACAGAGCCGGGACAACAAAATAGGAGCCACAGTAAATGTTTGTAGAACTAAACAGGAATAGAGGCCATGTGTAAGGGATTTCCTCTGCTGAGGGTGGCATCTGTGGCTCCTGCTGGATCAGGCCACCATGACATGAGCCTGTGCTTCACTTCATGTGCCTTCAACCTGCCCCTGGCAACCGCCTCTCTGGCTGGACCCCATACAATTTATTCAGCCCCAGCTCATACCCTACGTTCCATACAAATCCTGGCAGCCAGATGAGGAAATTGGAGCGACTCCTGAGTCATTTAAGCTCTGCTGTCAGAATGATTCTCGTCTGCCTAACTGCACCAGCACCCGGGCATTTGAACTGGATGAAAGGGTTTGGTGAGGGGATTATCCAGAAGGGAAATAAAAGACTTTACTTAGCACCTATTAAACTTGAATCTCCGTTTCACTCATCAGTATGTGAGCCTTAGAACCAGCCATGGAATTAGCATGTGGGTGAAAGGAAAAGGGCTCAGAGATGACTGAAGCCTCATCATGAATCTGAGGGATAATCCTTAAAGGTTATGTCAACAGCCATAATTTTAACCAAAACTTTTTAAATCTGTGAGGCCAAGCAAAAACAGGCTATAAGACTGTCAGAACCAGGATCTCAGCTGGCTTCTTTTATGAGTCTGCCTTTTAAAGACCCATGAATGAAGAGCTGGCAGTAGGGTTTATAGGTGGCTTGAATTTGTGGGATATTGTCTAGTGATGAGGCAAAGAAACTTTTAAAGGAGATTGCCTGAGTGTGAATTCTGCTGAGGAAACTTGGGCCACCATGGGTGGAGATGGGGAAAGGAATGAAGAAAGAGACTGAAGAAAACTGAGAGAAACAAAAAAGAAACGGAGAAAGGTTATACGTTCCATTTCTCCCCCTCCTCTCTAAAAGCAATCATGAGACCTTGTTCAGCGGAAAATCTAACTTGGTTTGACTTCAGGAAGAAATCTGAATTGGAAGAGTGGATCAAGGCACAGACCTTGGCATGATTCTGATGTGGTTCTAGAGCCTGGCATTGTCATCTACTCTCAATGTGACCTTGGATGAATGCCTTCACCTCCCCACATCTTCATTTCCACTTCTATACATGGAGAAAGTACAGCACTGACCACACTGGTGGTTGTGAAGATTAAATAAAATAAATGTGAAGTGCTTGGTTCACTCCTGACACCTAACACATGCTCAAGACATGTGAAGAGTGATGGTCCTGGGGTCCATCCCAACTGTTGGGGAAGTGAATGGGAAAGGAGAAAGGGGAGATTTGGAAGAGGTAATCCTGACACTTGAGAGTGTGTATGAACGGAATGAAATGGTAGGAAGAGAAGGTGAGAAATCATGAGGTCAAAACAAGGTTTGTAACACTCTGGATTACTATATTGAGAAGGTGAATAAGCAGAGTTGAGGCGAGAGTCTTCCTTAAAGCTTTTCAGGGTCTCAAAGGAGAGAGAGAGGGAGAGAGAGAAAGAGAGAGAAATATAGTAGGTCTGGCTGAATGGTTGGATTCAGGACACATAACTCCAGTAGAAGAAGGAATCCATGAAACATGAGATTAAATTATGCAGGGGTGGGTGGAGATGAAAGAAGCAACAGAAGTCCAAGTAGCCAAGAGGGTAAAAGGCAGAAAGATCAAGATGACATTATGGGTCTGAGTATCAGGGCCAGGGTCCCAGAGGTCACAGCGTTAACACACACACGTACATACACACACACACACACACACACACACACACACACACTCCATACCTACTGCCTTGAAACGGACATCTTGTTTACTTTCTCTTTTCAGCCAAAAGTCAAAAGACTTGGCTCCTTAACTGCTCAACAAAGAAGGAAAATAAGTTTTAGAACAGAGGACTTGGTGCATGGACAAGGTGCAAGGTCTATTCCATTCTGTACACCTTCTTTGATGCGCCAGGCACATGTGTAGGAATTTTAAAACATGTCAGAGTATAGAATTTATTGAGCATCTGTTGTCTTCAGAGGACCCATTTAAAATACATGCCAGATGAATTGGCGTGAAAGGAACTAAAGTCTTAAGGGACTAATTAGAAAGCATTGGATACAGAGTTGCAAGATGGTACAGCATAGATGATGACATTTCAGTACCTTCACTTTCTAACACGTGAGCCTTGTCCACTGCCTTGAGAGGAGTAGGGCTGGGGAGCAACCAGTGGGTGTCCATTGAGTCAGCCCTGGGGAACAGAATTAAATCCATACCATGTATACTCAGAGCAAAGGAGCAATTAGAGTACAAAATTATTTCAACAACATGCTTACCCTTCATTATTAGCCAGGTCTAGGAGAATCTATAAAGAAAGTTTCCTTTAGAAAACAAATCTCTAGGAAAATATCTGGTCTACCTCAATGGGGCCATGAATGGAGAAAGTATGTTATGAAGGCTGAATGCATGGGCTCTGGAATTAAATAACTAAGGTTCACACAGAACTCTACCAAATGCTATGTCTATGCCCTAAGCCTCAGGCCTCATTCTCAAAATCAGAATGATAATTGTACCTCTCTCATAGGGTTATGAACTGATTAAATGAGATAATATGTGACAAGAGCTTAGCACAGTGCCCGTGTAGAGCCTACATATCCAATGCCATTTGTGGTGTATTGCTTCATGGTTCCAATTCTTTACTCTTTCCTGGATTGGACTTTGCTATGCCCTCCCACTCGGACTCTGGGCTTGGTCAGTGGGATGTTAGCAAATGTGACCAAGCAGATGCTTGAAAAGTGCATGCAAGATTGGGCATGCTTTCTCTTGCTGCTTTGCCATGGTCTTGAGAAGATGCCCAGGTTAACCTGCTGGAGAATGAGAACCATGGAACAGTAAGGAGTGCTCCTGGTCATCCCAGTTGAGGCCTTTCTAGATCTAGCCAATGCCCACACAGGTAACCAAATCTAACCTAGATCAGCAGAGCCACTCAGCCAACCTGCAGCCAACCTTGGAAGCATGAACTAGTCTAGCCAAGGTCAGCCAAGTCAGATCACCTAAACCCCACAGACTCATGAGCTAAATAAATCTATACCATGTGTGTCAGTGAGGTTTTGTATAAGATTGTTATGTAGCATGATTGTGGCAACAGATAACTGAACATGTTGTTCAGCATCAATGTTGTTACTGTCATTATTATTACAGTCATTACTTTTAAGAGGAGTGCAGAAAAGCTCACCCGGACCCTACCTAGCAGTCCAGGGCAAAATATCTTTCTCACAACTTGTTATTCTTTCCAGAGAGAGAAAAGAAAACATTAGACAAAGCAAGTAAGTGACTGCTTCCTCAGAACTTTGTGCCTTGTTTTCCTGACAGGTTGTTGCTAATGATGCTATTATTTTTTTGTGAGTAGAGATACCCGTGACAGGGGAACCTCACAGGCTGTTATGATGAATTGTTAATTAGCTTAATTAGTGAGGAGCAGAGAGCTTCTTCCATCAGCTGAGATGCTAGCCATGTATGTTTTCCCTGGGACGTTACAGTGTGAGGTTCTAAAAAAGCACTTGTCAGGAGACCATCAAAATCGAAGGCACAAAGTGGAACATGTCCTGGGGCTTCCTGCCTTCACTTTCACATAGTGACAGGCAGCACTTACTCTGTGCCAGGCCCTATGATAAGCACTATTTGTGCAATATCTCATATATTCCTCACAAAAATATGAAAGGCAAGAATTACTCTTAGCCCCAATATATACATGAGAAAACTAGAGGACTAGAGAAGTGACACAAACTTTTCCAAGCCCACATGGCTAGTATGTGATATCACTGAGATTAGAACTAGGTCTGTCTGATCCCATTCTCATAGCTGCTATAGATACTGCTTCTCTGGCCCCACACTGCACCCTCTTCCTCTGGCCTGGTGCTCTTCTGCTCTCTGTCTCCTGTAAAAACCTGTTCTCAGAAGAAACCAGAATACTGGCCCCCACATCTCTCATGTGCCTTTAGGATACCACACTCCTTTTCCCAAGCTATTTGTGTATTATGTCTCTGTTATCAGTACAGTTAGTTATCTGTAAAGGAGAGCAAACTCAAAAAAGTAGTAGAGAAAGTGTGGTAGAAAATGTCGAATTCCGCTCTTACAAAAATGAAATCTAGAGGTTAGCAAAATAGGGTGGGTATGGGCTTCCCAGTCATCTGGAATCTGGGTTCCCTCTCTCTTTTTGCTCTACAACCTCAACACATGCTTCTGCCTCATAGTGCAACATGGCTACTAGAGCTCCAGCTATCACATCCACATTCTAGCCAGCAGTAAGGAAGAAAGGAGAAGAGAACATGCCCCTTTCTTCTGAGGACACTTTTTTCGCACATTTTATTCTTTTATCCTTTACCTCTTTTTTGCTTCCTTCTTCCCATTTTTCTCCACCCTGTAGGAAGCTGATTCATTCCTTGGCACTCTCTATTTTGTATTGCAACCTTCTACAGTCTCCCTCTGGTTCTCTAATTCCTGATGGGAACCAGAGCACAAGGAACACAGGGAAGAGTAATTTTGGATCCTCTCGCACCCCAGTAAGCAAGACATTCAGCAATTTGCAAAGGATTTGAGTGTAGTTCAAGCAGGATTCCCAGAGCTAAGCATCTCTATTCCAACTGTTTGCTAACCTTCCTTCTTCTCCTTCATTCTTCTTTCAAGATACCCTCAAAGCCACATCTCTATATACTTCCAGTTGAAGCACATGATTCACAAAGTTTTAGGAGTCTCCATTAGAAATGGATACCCATGAGAAAGCTGCTCTGAATCTGGAACTCTTGCTACTCTCAGAGATAAACCGCATTGCTTCTCTCAAGCACACACCTCTCATATACTCCATTCAGACTAGCCACAGCTCATGTTGATATTGGCTTTCTTGTAGTTAGCAGTCCTAAGTAAGATGATTCCCTCCTAGTTGTGAGCCTATTCTATCTGTTATCAAATATCTTCAAATGTGTTCATTATTTTCTTACCTCTTTCTTATCTAAAGGCAGCCGATCCTTACAATACATTCTTTTCCTGTTCTAGGCAGCCAGAATTGCTCTTCCAATCTGGGCAGATTTTAACCACTGTCTTGCTGAGGCTGTGGGAAGCTAGGGATCATGGATACTGAGAGAGGTCGGGACTGGAATAGAAGCAAATGAGTAGGCTGGGCCCAGAGAACACAGAGAAATTAGCAGTCAACTCAGACTCTAACATTAGAACCTGGGAAAAACAGGCAGGGAGCTAATGGGAATCCAATATCCTGGGGTGACAGGGGAGAAATGCTAGGAGGTACCAGAACATGGGATAATTCTGACAGAAGCTACTTTTCCCTACTGCTTCCTGTGGGTACGGTTCTCCAGATCAGTGCTATCCAATAATAGCCCTTTGTATAATTTTAAATTTTCTATTAGCCATATTTTAGAAGAAGTAAAAAGAAACATTATATAAAAATTTTGTATAATCAAATACGTATATCCAAAATATTATCATTTCAAAATGTAAGTCAACATTTAAAAATGATTAATGAGACAGTTTACATTCTTTTATATGAGCTAAGTCTGCAAAATCTGGTGTGTATTTTACACTATGGCAAGTCTCTGTTCAGACTAGCAGCATTTCAAGAACTCAATAGCTACGTGCAGCTAGTGGCTGCTCTGTTGGACAGCATAGGCCTACACCCTTTCTGTTCAAAGTGTGGTCCAGAGAGCAGCACCATCAGCATCACCTGACAGCTTGTTAAAATTGCTGAATCGAGGGCCATTCCACTGAATTAGAATTTGCATTTTCACAAGCTCTTCAAGTGATAGGTACATTCAAGATTGAGAAATGCTGCTGTAGGCAAAGGCAGAATCCATGTAGAAGGAAGTTTTAGGTGACGAGTGTTTATGAAGGTATAACCATGGCTGTAGAAGTGGCAGGGAGGAGGTACAAAACATCCTCACGCCTCCAGCTAGTTGGTCAAAGAAAAGTAATTTAAATAGCACTACAGTTGAATAACAAATAGATCCAGAAGGAGTGGTCTGAAGAAACAAAACACTTATCTTAGTATCTCAGCAGTAGCTGAAGACCTTTCAGTTGTCCAGCACTATGGGCTCAGCTTCAATAAAATGGCTTATGGTGATGGTGACCGTGACCTAGTCCTTTGCCAAGGCAGAATCTATGGACAGAGTCACAGGGAATATTTCAAGCAGAACCATGTACTTGCTCCCAAAATAATTTCTTCAACACTCTGCCAAGGTGCCTAAAATTCTTAGCATTTGACTCACACCTTTGGATTGAGGTGTTATTTCCAGAAAGCCTCTGGCAATGTGCAAAGTTCACCCCTGAAGAGGGAGGCTCATAGGCTTACCTACACCATGTTCAGAATTTGTTTTGCAGGACACAGGCAGGAGGAAAGGAGTAGAAAACCAAAGCTTTGACAGGAATAAGGGAAAGTTTTGAGTTACAAAGCAAGCAAAGAATGACCCTGAGGAAGGGCAGAGGGGCTGCAGAGAGGAATCAAATAGAAACCTCAACAATCCTGATGTGCCTCACTGTGAACCACCCACAAGATTGCCATGGGCAAATCTAGAGTGAGCAGGGGGGCTGGAAGCCTAGTGCAGGGTGCCCACAGGGGGTGGGCAATAGGTGTGTGTGGAATTGAGTGATTATACTGATGCTGAGCATCAGAGATGGAGACAGACACAGAGGCAGAGGTGGATCTAGGGAGCCGAGAACAAAGTCAGGTCAGGCCACATAAAAAACATGACATGACGTGGCTGTGTGAGTGTCAGGCATGCCTGGAAGCAGCCAGAATCACACCCTTACTGCGTCTGAAGTGAGAGAGTGATGCTGCGTTGACCCACACCATGTGGGGACAGGAAGCTGGGTTGCCTTTTGGCCCTTGTTGTGATTAAAGGTGAGTACCCAGGAAGGGTATACACGTAAGACTTCCCCTGGCACACATTTGTTACCCACGGCCAGAAGGAGAATCAAACAAACACTGTTTAAGCAGGTGCCTTTTTCCGAATGAAATTGCGTGTGTTATTTTTAATATCTCTTGTCCATCTGCTTTGGTTGTTTCCTCTGGCCCAGATGGGAAAGCTCCGTCACATTACCTGGACGCAGATTTGACCATGCAGTCACCTTCGCAGAGCTGCAGGGACGTGCTTGGCTTCCCTAATACACAAACCCCAGGAAGTATAAATAGAAATGTTGCTTTTATTTGTAGATTTAATGCTTATGGGGAAGCTGGCTCAGAGGCATAAAAGCTTACCTCTTCCAATTCACTGAACTTTGGGCCCATAATTCTTGCAGTTCAGAAAATTAAATAGAGGTCAGCAATTTATGCCTAAGGTACCGGAGGTAGAGAGAGGGAGCAGGGCTATTAAACCCGGCAAATGTGCTTATGTGTTTTCAATTTTCTCTTGTTATTTCTGCCGGGGTCTTCCACAACCAAATTGCTGCTGGTTTATGGACTGAAAAACCTCGGAGTGAGAGACAGCTTTTCTTCAGCACCACTGCCAAAATGTCAGGGCCAGTTCTTGAGCCCCAGGCAGCCCTTACACAGGAGGCCTCTAGGAAGCCCAGTTCCCAAGAAATGGATGTGCTATCATTAACACCAACTGTCAGTCAGTGCCCACATGTGCCAGAGAGCCAGTGAACATTCAGTATGAGTGCTATAAAATACTAAAGAGTACTCGTTTCATTTTATATTTGTGTCTTTTAAATTTTTTAACTGATCTGTTTACCATTCCCACTTCAGTTGGGAAGAGAATCCTGGGGATCTGTGTAAAGAGAAATACTGACATCTAGACCCCCTAACCAAAGTCAGATATCAGTTGCTTGTTCAACAGTGACCTCAGCATGTCCTTGTAAGGAGTTGCCACAAATGCTAGAAAGGAAACCATCTCAGTTACTGTTCTTCATGAAGGTGGAACAGTGGCCGGTTTGCTTGATAAAATTGATTGAAAATCTAGACACTATGGGAAAACTTGAAACAGACAAATACTACATCCAGAAAGTCATCAGTGCTATCCCAGCACCTAGGATAGGTTCTCAGTAAATATTGATTAATTCTCAGAATATAATTCCAGGATTATGGCCATCTTTATGTCATGGTATAAGCATTCTATACACCCTAGCGCCCAGACAGAGCCTTTTCTCAGATCCCAGCCTTGTTCAGGAAGTCGTGTGTCCCACAGCCTTGGACTTTGATACAATACACTGAAAACCAATGATGGTGAACCTTGAACATCCCACAGGAGCAAGCTGGACTGACTTACATCAACATTAATGAAGAGCTACTGGAAACAGGCAGAATCCAAGTTGGATCTGGCTTGCCTGCCTGCTGCTAGAAACTGTGTTGGTGTGAACACTCCTGTTTACATCAAAAGAGCTCCATATTTGCTTGGCAAATAATTCAATACAAATTAGAACATTCAGTTCCAGTTTGGCCTGGTAGCCTCATGTAGACAGAACTAAAACTTTGGTTGTCTTTTATGAACTACCAAAGTGGCCTGAGATATTGTGCTTAATGAGACTTTCATGTGGTCATAGAATTGATTCTCCCAGTTGGAAGCAAGAAGTAGAAATGTACAAATGTAGGGATAAAAAGAAAAGAAAAAATGCATAAATTTCCTTAGTCTTATCAAATTTGGGTTCCAGTGTTCAGACCCTATTTTCCATACCAATTCAACCCCCATCTCTAAGGGAACTCCATGAAATGTATGCCCCTAATATAGAATTATGTCATTTTTCCAACTCATGTAATTTATCAATTGAAAAGTGAAGATCCAGAGACTTTAAATGATTTTTCCAAGACCACAGAGCTATTTGGTGGATGTTGCTGTTTCTTAGTCTCAGCTTCTTTCTACCACATAATTTAAGGGGAAAAGAAGAGTTCTACAGATTTTTTTTTTTTGCATGAGATGAATATATTTCTACAAACTTACTGAAGATGGATTGCTTTATTTTTGATTTAACAAGACCTAAAAATGGACAATAGTTACCAAGTGTTCTCTAGGCACAAAGTAAGCCAGGATCTCTAGAGGATGGGATGCTGACTTCTGGAGTTGTTTTTTTCTTTTTAATTAATTAATCGATTTCTAATTGGCTTGGCCCTTGCTTGTGTTCCTCACTGTTCCTGTCCCATTGAGTAACTGTGTGGGTTAAAGCAGTCTTCTAAGTTTTCTTAAAAAGTAGATGAGTCTTAAGCTTCACAGAGTTCATAGCTCCTGACTTTAGCCAAAGGTCAAAGCCCAAGGAAAATGTGAGGTTTTAACCTGTCTTCCTTGAAATTGTGACTTGTAGGTTTGGCCATTCCAAATGACTGGGAAAATCATGTCTCCCTGGGACTGTAGGCAGCAGCCAGGACCCTGGGCCTCCTGATTTATGTTTCAAGAGCAGGTAGCCTGCCAGCCCTGTTGAATTGTGAGCTTTATTTATCTTCTCTTGTGGCCCCTATCACATGCCCACTTGCAAAAACGAAAGAGAGAGAATGTGTGTGAAGTAATGTTGTTGAGGTTTTTAGCTGGTCCCTGTACATTAAGCTTTGGAATATCTCCAGTCCATTGGTATTGCTTCTCCTGGCATCAAAGAAGGGATTAGAGGAGAAAAACTCTTTAAAAATATGGCACAGATGGCAAAAAATCAGGGGGAAAAAAACTTGGCCTCAAGAGACAGTAAGTAGCAAAACGCATGCAAACTTGCTGATAAAAAAGGCAAGTGGCCATCTTGAAGGTTTAAAAAAAAAAAGCTGGTGATGGATCACCATGCTGCCAAACGTTCCACGGTATTGAAAACAGAGCTAGCCACAAAATCATTTTTCTCCAGGTGTCCTGTTTGGGATGGAGAATGCAACGTCAGGGCACATTTGGAAGAGATGTGTGTGTGGCAAGGGAAGGCAGCACTGGGCTCTTGCTGAGCACCAGCTTGTGCAGTAGCTCTCTTGAGCTAATAGGTGCTCTCCTTCCCTCCTCCTCCCCTTGCCCCAGCATAGAAGAAAATGCCATATAACCTTATGTAACTGACATCCCCAGTACTTCAAAGTGTGGATCTCGGTGAAATCGGCAGCCAGGAGATCAGATCCAAAGCATTCCCCTAATTGTCTGCCTCCCTTAGTTTACTAAAGGCTGGAAGGAGAGCTTCAGAGTGGGCTTTCAAACCACAGGGCAATGTGTTCCAACACTTGGATAAAGGTCAGAGAGATCAGTTTCTGGCTCGTTCTGAGACTTTCAGGGACACTCAGAAATGGGCTGCTGGCTGCACTCTCTCACCTCTATTTCTATCGTCTCTTTTTTTCCCACCTGATTTTCCTCAAATGCACTTCACCAAATTAGCTTTTGTCCCAGTTCTGAGTCACACTCTAGGGAAAATCTAAAGACTTCCTTTTCTCCTTAATTCTTCCACTGCATTTCAACAAATATTTATAAAGTGTCTATTCTGTGCAGATTGCTATGCTAGGTTATTTTGGAGGCTACAAAATAAAATGCATGGTCTGCTTCCTGCCCACAAGTAACTTGGAATCCAATAAGCAAGACAAGCTATTGTGGCAATAACTGGATGCAAGGTGCTTTTAACTGCAGGGAATCATAAAAGGGAAGGATCAAGGAAGGCTTCACGAGGATTTGAAGGATGGCAGCGTCTTGATAAGGTAGGTTGGAGGAAAGGGCATTCCAGGGAGAAGGCATGGCAAAGTAGACACACATGGTGGGGGAAGCATGAAGTAGCCTTGCTTGGAGAAGGAAAAGGTATGTGGAAGAAATCATGGACTGTAGACCTGAGAGAAGATAGGTTAGGGCTGAAACCAGGGAAGTCTTGAATGTGAGACTAAGAAATTTGGACTGGAGGGAAGGGAAATTGGTGCCGTATGTAAATCAAATCAATCAGATGAAACAACAAAAGACAGAATTGTGAATGATTGCATATCTAAAAGTCCACTTGAATGGACAAATTACTTCTCATTCAGTGTTTGGGGCCACTATGCCTCCTAAGGGAAAGAAACCAACATTTGGGCCAGACACACCTGTATTCAAATGGTAGTTCTATTATTTAGCTGTGGGCCTTTGGGCAAGTCTTTTGAAGCTGATATGAATTTGCTCACCTCCTTAGGTATAAGAAACATCACATTGCCTCTTTCTTCAAGTCAAATTAAATCTAGCTCTGGATCTCCAAAAGAAAGCAAGAAATGTATTCTCTATCATGTGTAAGGGGATCAGGGGATGAGCTGCCCTCCATAGGAAAGTTCAAAAATCTCAGGAGAGTATAGTCACCAGACTATGAGGAAGGGCTTCTGCTCTTCAGTCTATCTTGGACCACTTGAGTTCTTAATGTCGGAGCCCTCAGGGTCCATTTGAATGCAGAACCATTCAAATGCAGTCCAATTGAATGCAGCCCATTTGAATGCAGGGTCCATTTGAATGCCAAGCTTGGCATGATGCTCTTTCACTATAAATCCTCAGATATGGCAGTAGAGTGGCCAACTGTCATGGTTTACCCAGGACTAAAGGGGTTTCCATGATGCAGGACTTTGGGTTTTAAAACCAGAAAAGTCCAGGACAAGTTGAAATGAGTTGGCCATGCCTGGCATTCAATGTCCACCAAACCAATGGCTCTCACATCTACTCCATCAGAAGCTCTGTTCCCGCACAGAGGTCTGTCAGGGAGCTGGGCAGAGCTGCCAGCCTTCAATGGACTTGCTTCTACCCTCCTATCTCTCAGTGCCAGTTCTGCCCCTTTAAATCAAAGCACCAGTCTTGGTGGAGGGTTTCTTCTGAATGGAAACTTCTTTTTGGCTCTAAAACAGTCATCAAATAACACTAGGGACACAGGGGTCTAGAAATCTGAATATATAGGCTTAGCCATTCTACCTGCAGGTGAGAGGAATAGAGTGTGGGGGCAAAACCAAAGGAACAAATAGCTCTTTTATTCTTCTGAGATATTAACCAATCATTCAGCCCAAAACATATGCAGTGAGCATATACTCTGTGCCAGGCCCTGTGATAGATGCTTGGCATACAGGGAGAAAAAGACAGACAATAGCTCTCTCCTCATGGAACTTACATTCTATCTATCTTTATCCTGAAGCAAGACAGAAGTAGGAAGAAACATCTCAAAAAATTATCCACCTACAAACTTACACTTGATGAGCCTTAATTTCCTCATCTCCAGTGTGGAGATGATAACACATACCTCACAGAGTTGTCATTGGGTCAAATGTGATAATGCAGGTTAAGCCCTCACTATAGAGCCTGTCACATAGGACTCTGCACAATATGGCTGTGGTGGCATCCACTGGCTTTCTGGACTTGCTATTTGAAGCTACAACCTGTTCTTCTTCGATACAATATCTTTCACCTCTGCTAAACTTTTGCTGCATTTCTAAAGACTCTTTAGGTTTAAATAGTTTTATTCAAGACACGCATAGTGGCTCATGCCTGTAATCCTAGCACTTCAGGAGGCCAAGGCAGGAGAATTGCTTGAGCCCAGGAGTTCAAGTACAGCACAGCCTGGGCAACATAATGAGACCCCATCTCTACAAAAAGAAGTTTAATAAAAACAAATTAAAAAGTAAAAATAAAAAGTTGTATTGAGCACCATTGCCAGATACCTTTACATATGTTATCTCATATTATTCCCATTTCACAGGGGAAGAATCTCTGGCGGGACAAGCATTTAGTTTATGTCACACAATTAGGCAGAAAGTGAGACTTGAATTCATTTCTTCCAACCTCAAGCCCTGTGCCATGTCACTCTCCTAGTAGCTCCTGTGAAAGACCTCTTCCTTTTGCCCACTGGCTTAGGGATCTCAGATCAAAAATTGTCATTACAGTTGCAGAGGTGTGGAACAAGGGGAGGGCAGCTTTATTAGTCAGGGGAAGCTCTCTGCTGTAGCAAATCACCCCGAAACCTCAGTGTCTTAACTCAGTAAAAGGTTTTCTCCCCACAAGATCATCTACTGAGGGTCCACACAATCATTCAGAGACCCAGCTCCCTCCACAGTAGCTCTCCTTCCATGTGGTACTGTCATCTTCTAGGGCTTTTTCCTTTGCTGCATTCAGCCTACAGATGGCAAAAGAGAACAAGCCCAAAGGATTACACTGGAGCTTCTTAAAGTGCTAAACTTGGAAGTGGAACATACCAGTTTTGCCCATATTCCACTGGCCACAACTCTGTCACATGGTCACACCTAACTGCAAGGGATGCTGGGAAACATAGGGTAGCTGTGTGGTCATGAGAAACAGCAATGGGTTTAGTGGATACAAAGCAGTCTTTTCCACAGCCGGCAATGGCCCCAGCATTTACATAGCAGCAATCTCCTGGAGATGGTCAACTCTTGGAACACTCTATCCACAAAATGGAGGACTCCAGAGACCATTTTCTTTTCAGGGTTGTTGCAAGGAGTAGAGGAATCCATAAACAGCTTCAGAGTTATTGTAAGCCCTCAGTCAGCAGTCACCAAGGAGAGGCAACAGGGTATAGTGAGGCAAACATGGCCTCAAGAGCTTCAGGTCACTGGGCAGCTTTTATAACCTCCATAAGCATGGAGCTTCATCGTAAAATACAGATCCTAGCAGCCCACCTCTACTCAGGAGAAGAACAGGGAAGATCACCTAAAACTAGAACTGGTTCAAAATTCCAAAGTAGAGGATTACCTAAAACCATTCAGAGAGATTGAACACGCAAGAAATACACTGTTAGTGGAAGAACCAGGTGAATACCTGCAGCAAGAAGTGTAACTTTCAGAGGGACCCAGACTTCCCTCTCAAAAGCGACCTGGCTGTACCCTCAATGGGCCTCTGCCACATGATTGATTTCTAGAAAATTTCCAGTAACTAGGAATTTTGAAATTTCAGTTGTATTTTAAAGATTAAGGTAGTGTTTTTCAAACCTGTCTGTATATCAGAATTGTCTGAGGAAATTTTCAAAATTACAGTGGAAGTGGGGCCCAGAAATCTGGATTTTTTTTAATGTTCTCCAGGTGATTCTAAGGTAGTCATACCGGCATTTTTCCATTAACCTCATTAGGAGCCACTATCCTAAGGTACTGAAAGAAATCCTGAACATCTTTTTGACATTCCTGTTTAACTTCTTTGTAATTATATCCTAATGTATCCTAATGTATCACATTATATCCTAATGTATCACACCTTCTGAAGTGATGAACTACACAAGCAAATGCACCAATTGTGAGTATAGGCACTTTAAACTTCACAGATAAATGCTTGAAATGAAGATATGGAACTGGTCAGAAACCAGAAGAGTCTTGCTCAACTGAGTGATTGATTCATCTATTCATTCAGCCAATCCATCAGCAAGTTATGATTGTGCCGTTTGCCAGCAACCGTACTAGGGTCTAGGAATATAAATATAAGTAAGAGATAGTTCCTATATTTCAAGAAAGAAAACCTACAGCCACAGCTTGCTTCCTTAAAGTGTCCTGTATAATGCTCCTAAAATTTTAAGGCTGTAACTTTTTTTTTTTGAGACGGAGTCTCCTTCTGTAGGCCAGGCTGGAGTGCAGTGGCGCGAACTCGGCTCACTGCAAGCTCCGCCTCCCAGATTCACGCTATTCTCCTGTCTCAGCCTCCCGAGTAGCTGGGACTACAGGCGCCCGCCATCACGCCCGACTAATTTTATTTTATTTTGTTTTTTTTGTATTTTTTTAGTAGAGACGGGGTTTCATCGTGTTAGCCAGGATGGTCTCGATCTCCTGACCTCATGATCCGCCCGCCAGGGCCTCCCAAAGTGCTGGGATTACAGGCGTAAGCCACCGCGCCCGACCAAGGCTGTAACATTTTATGAGGAGCAAATGCAGCTCCATAAGAAAGAACCAGACTTCTGCTCTCTTAATCACACCTTATTTACCTAGAAAAAAACTTCTTTACCCCATGCTGAACAGTCTCATTATTCATTAAAAGAAGATAGTGTCATACCAAAGCCTTCCTCCTTCAGGAAGTCTTTCCCAATCATCAGAGCCAAAAATAATAGTATTCTATAATATTGTTTTATTTGAGGTCACTATCCTATTTTTGCATATTTATTTTAACATCATCTTCCTTGTAGTGTTGAGTTGTTATAATGCTGTTTTCTTTGAAAATTTAAGAAAAAAATTCATTAAAATGTGCTACTCATATAGCTCTCTTTCCCATGACCTGAGGGCTGGCCCATGAAAGCCAACAGAGCAGCCAGATTCCAGCATTCTTGGACATTGTCATGGCACCATATTGCAAATTCTCCCTGCCAGAGGAGGTGCTGCCATGCTAGCCTGAGCTGAGTGCACTCTGCAGCGTATATGGCTTATTACATCAGATCTGCTATATGCCATGTGTTTATAGACAACAGTTTTAAGCCATAATGACTGAAAAAAAAAGTCTGAAAACGACAGTGCTGCAAAGAAATGCAAGAGTGCCATGCTGAATGTTAAAAGGTAAGTTTTAGAGCAGCTTGAAAATTCTTCAAGGAAATGGCCATGGATGAGAAGACAGAGAGGGAAAGTAGAGACTGGTGGGAGTTCTTTGATATATTACAGGGTCTAAAACATCACGGTCACCTAACAGGGTGGCAATCAATTGTATGAATGAGGCTGAAGGAACACTGCAGTTCACAACTTCAGAGAATCTGGAGGGAAGAGAAGAGCCATTTGCCAAGGTACAAAAGTGGGGATGTAATTCTACAGGGACTATGCCATAAGTAATCCTTATGTCTCTGATTCAGTTACAGCTCCCATTTCCACAGGGGCATCAACTTTGCTAAATGGGGTAGGTATAATTGTTTTATTTCTTCTACTGAATCATAAGCTCTTTTAACAAGGAGCCCCATGTCTTATTCATATTTGACTTCCTCGAATGTCTACTACAGAGTCATGGCAAAAAAATAAAAATTTAATGAATGAATAAATGAATTTCCAAATGAAAGAGACCACTCACTATCTCTGGTAGTCACTTAGAAAAATTGTTTAAAAAAATTAAACTCAAAAGTTGTGAGCACAGATCATTTCTGTCAGAAATTTCCCAAGTGTCAGCATCTCCCAAAGAAGACAAATAATGTTGAGCTGGTGATGAATCAGGCTTAACCTGTGAAGAGAGGCTCAAGCTTGACACAGTCTTACTTTCAGAAACCAGAGATAATCTGACAGTCTCTGGGCATTTTAAATGTGACCAGTGGAAGAATTAGGGGAAATTTAGCTACCATCCAAGGGAATAGTTCTTTCCATGCCAGATTAGAGAACAGACTTCTTGGGAAATTGGGAGGAGAAAGTGGAGGTAGGGAAAGTGGGAAAAGGCTGGTATCAGATATAGCAGCAGTTATACCTCAGACATGTGCAGACTTCACAAAAAGATGCTAGAACTCATCAGCCTACTCAATAGCTCACCAAGAACAAAACTGTTTGATTTGGTTTGGTTGAGGTGCCCCTGAAAGCTAGGCTAGAGATTCAGCCCACCCTGCCCACAGAGAAGCAAGCGCACATGTAAACAGGCATACCAAGAAGTCATATTTATCTGGTGTATCAGGGGAAACCTTGCCTGATGAATCCAGCACAATAAAAGTGGATCCTTCATGTCAAGCTAAGAAGTTGCTGTGTTTGATCCTGAGAAATGCCCACCCATGCCCCTCGTTTGCCAAAGGCCACAAGGATCCTCTGATGTCCCCCAGTCTAGCAGAGAAGGCTGATGTGGGGTGGCAGATCCTCTGTGTTGGAAGTTGCAGAAACTCTTCCCTCTTCGTCTACACAAAGTGGAAGAGTTAGAAAGAAACAACACCCTAAAGGGCACCTACCAGGACATCATCTCCCCCATCTAAGAGCAAGAAGCAAGAGGCATGGCAATGAGTCAGGTGAAGCCCAGGTTTATTATGTTTGCTTTTCCTCTTGCCTAACACTCAGAGAGAGAGAGAACAGCACTGGGCACCCTTGCAGGAAACTGCAGTGATTTGAGTAGGGCAGAGAGTGGAAGACTGATTTTATTACTATAACAACTGACATCGTAATTGTCTCTTGGGGGACAACTGTCTTTATGGACTAACATACCTAGACAAGCTGCTTAGGATGAAGGGTAAAGCGTTGAGCATAATAAGCAGATAGCTGTTCTATATGAGAAAATGAAAGGAGTTTTTTCTACTGAAAGATGGAAGGGAGAGAGAGGAACCATGACATAGAATGAGGCTCAGGCAGTACTTACAGAGTTGTCACTTGGAAAAATCTCCCCCAGCATGGCAACCAAAGGCATTTGAAGAATGAGGATAGTCTCAATTTCAATTTGAAGTCCATATTGCTACAAGTTTGAATGTTCTTCTTATACCCTCAAATTTCTTATTAGTCTGTTAGTCACAAAGATTGCTTTTATGAGTAGAAATTGTAAAAATAAAAGGAATGTTTAAATGCTGTGTTCAGGTTGATTTTAAGTGAAACAGAAACAGCATAAAAGAAACAGTGAGACTTTCCACAGATGGAGGAAGCCAGAGTTTGGATCTAGGTCTAACAAGAGGGAAATAGTTCCCCTAGAAATTCATAGTAATGTTGGGGAGTCTTCCACAGGATGTGCAAGACTTATCAGATATCAAGGAGAGGGAGGCCCTAGATAATATCAGGATTACAATACTAACATGAAAACCAGCACAGGCTGGGGTTCTCTCGTTCATGCCTTCTCATTATTGTGCACTCTAAATCTCACCTTCAGTCTCATCAAAGTCCCCCCAAATCTTTCTAGAAGTTTCTCGAAGGCATTCCTCATGCATTCTAGTATAAGGACTATCTGCCACCACTTGGTGGTCATCACTTTCCCCCCTTCCCTTGTTGCCTTGTGAGGGTGCCTGCCTCTTACCACAGGTGTAATAAGCTGGTGGCTGTCCTGCCATTCCCTTGCCAAAGCTGCACGTCAGTTAAACTATTCCCTCCAAAATATGGGAATTCCAGAGGTTTTGATTATCTGTTATTATATAACAAGCTACCTCAAAACTGAGTGGTTTAAAACACAACTTCTTATTTCTCATGATTCTTGGGTTGACTGAGCATTTCTTCTGCTTCATGTGGTGTAGGTAGGGCAGTGGGATAACTGGAAGATCAAAATGGCCTCATTCACTGTGGCTGACAGTTAATGTGGGGTGCTGCTAGGAGACTTGGTTTCCTGCTAATGGGTCTCACCATGTGGTTTCTTGGGCTTCCTCACAGGGTGGTTGCTGAGTTCCAAGAAGGAGCATTCCATGAAAGGTGAAAGCAGAAGCTGTATATTTCTGAAGACTTGGACTCAAAAGTTACATAGCATCACCTCTGCTACATTATATTGGCGAAGTCCAAGAGGAAGGAAAATAAACTTTGCTTCTTAATGGGAAGAATGGAAAAAATAAAAGGAAAATAAAAGTTGTAGTTATCTTTAATCCACTACACCGCCCTACTCTCTCTCTCTCTCTCTCTGTCTCTGTCTCTCTTTCTGACACACACACACACACACACACACTCCAGTGTTATGCTTTCTTACATCAATCCTCAGAGCATCCCTCTACTTTCAAGCTCTTGCAAAGAGAAAGTCTTACGAGAACCACTAGGTCTATTTCTCTTTTTTATTTTATTTTTTTATTTAGAAAAGGAGTCTTGCTATGTTACCCAGGATGGCCTTAAACCCCTGGGCTCAGGTGATCCTCCTGCTTCAGTCTCCCGAGTAGCTGAGACTACAAGCACACGCTACTGTGCCCAACTCACTTGGCCTATTACATTTGGCAGGTCCTTAAGCCTTAGAAACAATTCCAGGAGAGGCTGGTTGCAAGACCAGTCCACTAAATCAGTCTTTCCCCACCAAGCAGTCTTCTTCTCCCCTAACTCCCTTGCTTTTCAGTCACTCACACTTACTCTGCAACCAGCTCAATTATCACAAAGTTTGCATGTCTTCTTGAAACTTTTATGTCATTAGCTTACCCAAAAAACATGAGTTCACCTTAATCAGAAAGATCTGCACATTCCATCTTTTATAAGTGTTAACTATGAAATGTCTCTGCTACTGATCCAACACTGACACAGAGATGACAGGATCTTCAATGTTGGTGATAGCCATGTATCACTGGAAGTTCCCCAAATCTATTTCTACCTCAATAATTCTGCTCTCTGAAAGTGTGGCTTAACTGTCAGAACCTGGATGACATTAGAAAGACTTCCAGTAAGTCAGGTTTCCAAACCCAACTGAATTGGGGTAGTTCAAGAATTTTCTGGTAGTTCTGAGAAGCTAAGAGGGTGAACATTTTTGACCAGAAACAAATCTCCAGCATGGTACAGTCTCTAACCAGCCTTGTATGTGGATCCAAGACTAGCAGGAGTGAGGAGTGGAGAGGGGAGAAGCAAGAGGCAGAGTTGGACAAGGAGGAAGAATAGAAATGTAACTTTTCTTATTCCCACTTTGTTCCTTGTCTAGAGTAAGACAAAACTGGTAATGCTACAAAGGGATGACCTTCTTCTTGTCCCCTCTCTGTGCAGCCAAAATTCTGACCTGAGCCAACTTCTAAGACTTTGCCCCAAGGACTGTCCCTGATTAAACAAATTGAGCCAAAGATAAGGTACAGCTTTTCCCAGTCCAAGCTTCTCAGTGCTAACTTCTCTGCTCCTTGCTCACCTTATAGAAGAAACACAGTCAAGTAGAAGAGTACTTGATAACAACCAAAGGAACAATGCCAAGGGTTTCTTTTTACTATAGCTCCCAGCCAACTACCAACTTTCAACTTCACTGTCTGGTTAAGAATATTAAAAAGGAAAAAATGGAAAAAATACTACCAGCAAATGTGGAGGGTTTGTGATAAATCACCATATCTTGGCTTCTATTGATTAGTTGTGATTAATTATGTGGACAGGTGATAGGCAGTCATGTTGTTTCTACTTCCTGGGGATTACCAGCAGCCAAGTCTTCCAAAAATGAGCAACTCGGGACAATGCATATATAATATTATGTTTTATTAGTTTTTCCTGCCTTCATGGCATGGACGGAGAAATTTCTAGTTTAGATGACCCTGGACCTTCATCTGAAGCAAGAACAGCAAAATAGGCATTTCCCTAATGAGAAAAATGATATACACTGGGAAAAGCATACCTTTGGTATTGCTGTTAGGTCTAAAGGTCATGCTCTCTCCCCTCCCTGCCTCCTTCACTTCCACCAGCCCCACCTCCTCACCTATTCAACTCATTCTCAGACTCTGTAGTCTCCAGGAGTCTCCCGCAGCCCTACAGGGAGGGCCGAGTGTAGCTCTTCTGTGCTCATTTATTCCCTGTGCACACTACTACTACTGCACTTGACCATGGTATTGAAGTTACCTGTTCATGTGACTTGTGAGAAGAGTTGGCTGATAAAGAGCAGGATTATGTCTTACTCTATTTTGCAAAATTAGATTCTAATGTCATGTCTGGCACATGGAAGGTATTGAGGCCATATTGAATTGAACTGCAAGGATATTTACCATACTCTGTGTGACTTTTACCATCTTCCTCATTTTCCTCCATGTTACCAAATAAATTATATTAGTATGTCTTATAGTCATGATTGTAAGTTAAGTACATCTCAGACATTTTAAGTCTGCCTGGTCTCCACTCTCTAGAACGACATATGTGAACATTTACCTCATTCTGATATAGCAGTAGTACTTTTCTACTGTTTTTTTTTAAGTGCCCTTTAAGTTGCTTTTCCAGTAAGAGGTACCTCTTGCAAAGTCATCCACATTCTCTCCTGAATTCCTATTGAGCCTAAGGCAGATTTTTGTGAGATGTATGTCCATTCTGGGAATGCAGTCTCACAGCCTGATGGGACCAAGATATGATTTGTTTTCACCAACACTTTACATGCACACTTCCACACACATGTGGGCTCATGTTCAGGAATATGCTAAATGCAGATGGTTCCTGAGTTTAGCCTTAAAAAACAAAAACAACTTTTCAAAATAAGGACCCTTGATTGGATTTCAAATGCATAGTATTATTTTTAACTGCACTTAAAGGCATTATTTTCTGTTTAGCTTCCTTTCAAACCCACCAAGTCAAACTTAAAGGCCTGAAAGTTTCAGGGTGTCTTCTGGTAAGTTTGTTTGTTTTTTTTTTTTTTTTTACCTGTCAAGCTTTCCACAATTACAGGTAACTCCATAAAGGCACTGAAGTCCTTCTGGACATTCCAGTTTATCAGAATGGACTTTATCAACTCTTCGCATTTGGGTTGAACTATTCTGGCTTGGGACGTGGATGCTTTCATGATTACATAAGGTCTACACAGCATGAGGTATTCCTAATTTCCTCAAATGTATTCTTATTTAAAGTTAGGAGGGTGGCAAGAAGTCCTAGAAAGTTCTCCAGATTGTGAGTCAGAGACCTGTGGGAGGCCTCAAAGGCTTTATAGAAAGAAGTAGTACATGAACAGACGAATAGGTAAGTAGGTAGGTAGATATGTAGGTAAGCAGATAAATAGAATTTCCCTACCAATCCTCCCACCTTGGCCTGTTTCAAGCTCTCTAAAATGAAGGGGGTTAGACAGTTGGTCACTAAGTTCTATTCGAGCCCTTTGAGTCTAGTAATCCATGACTGGCCTTTCCTTCTCATTAACTTTCTGGTTCTTCCTGAGGTCCTCTTCCATGGATATTTTCAAG